>NW_012132916.1:0-373699 GCF_000001405.40 Homo sapiens | reverse complement strand
GAATTCTTTCACCTTTTCTGTCTTTGAAACTTTCAGATATGATGTCAGGACTGAAAAATACCTGATTCAATTTAAACGGGAAGAAGGTATTTTGAGAGAAGGAGGGAGGAGGATAAGATTTTCCTTGGGAAGTTGGGAGGAACTGGACCCTTCCAGAAGCTTGGACCTCCAGCGTGCTTCTGCATGGTTCTGGAGGCTCAGCCTCGGTCTCCTGCCTGGGTTTCCCATCGTTGCTGCATATACCTCGCTGGAGCCGGCCCTGTGCCCAGTCCTCAGATGAGAGAAATGGTTAATTCCACTTGGTCGTCTTTTTCTCCATCAGATCAAGTCAGGTTGTACTGTGCACTTAGTCATCCTCTGGGTAAATTTCCACAAGTGATGATTAGAAACACACTTTGAGTTGGAATCGTGAAAATGCACCATGTGAGCCAGCAAAGCCCTGGGATGGCAGCAGAAGGCAGTAGAGCCGATGGCGCTGTGCTCTCCACGGGTGGAAGAAGGGCGGCAGGAGCCTGCAGAGCCTAGGGGTTGGAATCCTCGCTACTGCCTGGCCCCAGGCCCTCCCCATGTATCCTCTCAGTCCTAACTTGCTGTTTAGGAACATGCTGTCTCCACCCTGAGTACCCACTGTCTTCCTGGAGTCTGGCCTCCTGTCTGAGGTGGGTTTCATGGTGGAAGAAGTAGGAAATCCTCAAAGGCGTTAGCCCCACACGTCCAGGGCGTGTGTAGGATGAGGCTTAGCCCTTTCTACATGTGTCTGATCAAAGATAAATGTCAAATTTGTTTTCCCGTTTGTTCCTGTGGTTCAAATGGAATATGTCCTTGTGTCCTGCACAAATGCTTAACGTCGCACAGGGATGGCCCAGCCTTCTCTCCTAGGCTTTCGTGAACAGTGCCCAGGCTGTTCTGCCTGACTGCACGGAAGTGCCCTCTTGCTGGGGAGCTGGAGGTGCTTCTGACAGCGGAGAGTTCTCCATCCAGGCTGAGTTCCCCCCATGCCTGGCGCAGCCAGCCCTGACCCCCATGCAGGGTGCACTCCTGGGAGCTGCCCTCCCCAAACACTGCATGGGAATTGACCATTTCCTCAGGGATGGCCGTTACAGCCCTTCCGCCACCTGCAGTGACTCCACAGTAGGACAGCCCTCCAGATGGCTCTCAGCAGAACGCTACCTGCCCGTGAAATAAAAATGCAAACTCTCATGCTGATTTTAAGATCTAATATGGGCCAGCATCCCAGTTATAATGGCCTTGAGATAAGTTATTTCTGTTTTTGGAAAAGCACTTTCCAAAATTATAATTATTTTAATAAGATGCCCAACTCATCTAGGGGTGATGGGGAACATGAGGAAGAGTGGATTTTACTTAATTTAGCCTTGGGTCATCTGCTTACACTTCATTCTTCCTTGCTGTGACAGTTTCTCTGCTCATTAGAAATCTGGAGAGAAACAGAAGAAAATGGAAGGCCAGTCCATTTGGTTGCTTTGTTGATGTCTGAGGACAGTGGTGGGTGGAGAAGGCAGCCAAAGTCGTGCTCTTGGCCTGCATGATGTTTTTGGAATTTCTGCGCATACCTGTGCCTCCTGTTTGTCACCATGTACCAGAGACAGTGTATTGCAGGGAAGCCTGTGTGCTCTCTTTCCCAGTCTTCCCTTATCGTGGGCCAGCCATCATTCTTTAGCTCACAGCTCTGAGGTCTTCCAGGAACAAGGCAGCTAGACTCTTGGTTGACTTATCTTCAAGTGACTCCTCAGGAAGGAATGTCCGCTGAGATGGCGATTCCGATTTCTGTTTAAAAAGCTTATCCTTAGTTGCTGAGAAATGAAAAAGAAAATATTCTCTGTTTTGGTTGGAGCCCCACAAAGCTAAAGTTGTGCATTCTCATGCTCCCTGGGCAGTGGCAATTAACTAACAAGCACTATTTAGGGAGCAGAGCCGAATTCTGCCGGCCCCCTGAAGAATACTGGTGCAAAGATCAAGGCACAAACAAGAGGGTGGCACAGTGACGGGGCTTATTACATTTGGAAGTAAGAAAACATGCAGCTTTGCCAAATGGAAAAGGAACAGCCATGAGGCAAAAGAGCCCTCCTCGGAACTTGTTGCAGAATTTGGATCAAAGTCTCAGGCCGAGTTTGGAAGCTCCAAGTAGTTTATCAGGAAAGTGGGAAAAACCAGAGGGGGGATGGTGGCAGCATAGCACTGTTGGATGTATCAGAGGTCAGGAGAGGTCAGAAGGCAGCCCAGGGTCACACAGGAACAGTGTCTGTCCCAGAACATGGCATGGATAAGCTCCACGTTGCTGCTGCTCCAGTTGCGGTCCTTGGGTCAGCAGCCCCAGCATGATACGTGAACTTGTTAGCAGAGTCGTGGGTTCCACTCCTGACCCACCCAATCAGCAACTGCATTTTTTCAAAATCTCCAGGTGGGTTATATGCACTGCCCTGGGAAATTGGAGAGGAAGTGTGAGAAAAACCATTTCCCCCTTCCAGCTTGCTGATGTTCACTTGAGAAGCTGATTGGAGGCGACTGATCATTGTGTGTGTGAAGGGAGTGTCCCTCCTTTGCGGCTGCACCTGAAGCATCCACTGTTGTGTTTCTTTCAGCCATATCAGCAGCGACAGCTTCCTGTGTGACTGCCAGCTGAAGTGGCTGCCCCCGTGGCTAATTGGCAGGATGCTGCAGGCCTTTGTGACAGCCACCTGTGCCCACCCAGAATCACTGAAGGGTCAGAGCATTTTCTCTGTGCCACCAGAGAGTTTCGTGTGCGGTAAGACTGTCTTTGTAACTTTTTCTCTCCTTCATGAAGGACAAGGAAGCCAGGAGGTACTCTTCATTATGGGAGTAATTCCTGTGATCAGAGTAAACCCCAGCCCGTGGTTACAGATCAGCTGCTGGATGCAATTTATTTCTTGCTGAAACCACACACAGTATTTACCGTAGAGTTGCCTCATTATGTGGTTCTTGGAGGACATGCATTTAATCAGAAGGGAGTATAAGTTGGTTCAGTTACAAATCAGAATAATCAGTTACAGGAAGATAGTTCTGTTGTTTCAGAAGGGCTCTGGTGCCCGGGTTTAGCTGCGAATGTACTCCGCGTACGAGGCTGGCGTTTTAATGTGTGTTTCTTTCCGACCCCAAGAATGAAAGGTTAAATACAGGAAGAACAAGTCTCAGGAGAACAGTTGCTGTAGTAAAAATAATTCCTTGATGTTGACTTGTACTCTTGCTGTTTCTCCAAACCACTGAAATCTGCACTTGCAGCTTTACATTCTTTTTGCCTTCTGATTCCTGGAGCGTAGCTCTTGCCATCTTTTTGACTGGGAGTCGGGATCCAAGTTTGGTTGCAGAGAGCACAGAAAATGCTGAACAGCTGAAAACACACACGCAGGCTAGCTCAGACAGGACTGACACAGGCTCACGGTCAGGAAGACATGGTCAAAAAATGAGATGAATTTTGAGTTTTTCCTGTTTGCTTGCTCTAAGCAGGAGCAAGAGTGGGATTCCCAGGCCTGACTGGAACTGCTGGGCAGGTGTTAAGTCCCTCCTGCCTTTTGTGCTCACTGGTCTCCCTTGAGCCTTGAGATCCCTGCTGTGAGGATCCTAACCAGGAACTCACCCATCCATATGGCAACCCTTGTGGGCCACTTCTGTCTCCTACTTTCTGGCCATAGCAATAGCCATTGTGCCTGCTGGAGTAGCCAGTGTGCCTGCTGGAGGCAAGATGTGTGTGCCCTCTCCATGCATCCACCCCTACCTTCACCATCACCACTTTTGAGAACAGGCCTGCTGAACTTCCTCTGGATCCAGACCAGGGACACGTCTTAAACCCACTGCGAACATGGCAGCAGCTCTCCAAACTGACTTTTCATACCGATCTGTCTTATGGAGCCTTCTGTGTGGAATCTAATGCTCGCACAGCTCCATTATCCAGGCACAAAATGGCTGTATAATCCATTGTTCATTGGCCCATTGTCATCAAGTCCTTGACCCTTAAATTGTTTATAGACCTCCCTCAAATAAAGCTTTCCATCGCTCCCTCCCCTTTCCTGCCATAGGGCAGGCTTTCCCTCTGGGTGAGCCAGGTAGGACTTTGGTAAGTTCACCTAGCCCCCAGCCTGTGGCCCTGGCATATTCTGGATTGCAAGAGTTGTTTATTTCACATCTGTCATCCCCACCCCCACATTTTAGCTCAAGCTTCCCCCCCTCTAAAAACGTCAGGTGTTAATGGGAATCATGAAAACACTTGGCAGAAGATCAAGGTTTCAGGCTTTATGGGAGTCTCCCACTCCTTTTTTAAAAACGGAAACATAAGCACTCCACATCCACTAGGACAGCTAGAATCCAAAACTCAGATAATAACAAGTGTTGCTGAGGATAGGGAGAACCCTCCTACACTGCTGGTGGGAGTGTAAACTGGGGCAGCCACTTTGGAAAACAGTCTCGGCAGTTCCTCAGTTCAACATCCAGTTACGACATGACCTGGCAGTTCCACTCTTGGGTGTATACCTAAGAGAAATGAATGTATATGTTCACACAGAAACTTCTTCATGAATGTTCATAGCAGCATTATTCATAATGGCCAAAATATGGGCACAACCCAGGTATCAGTGGATGACTGGATAAACAAAAGGTGGTATAGCCATACAATGGAATATTCATTAGGCTGTGAAAGCAATCAGTAGTCCTGCAACATGAATGAACTTTGACAATGTCATGCTAAGTGGAAGAAGTCAGCCACAAAAGACCATTAGATTATATGATTCCATTCATAGAAATGTCCAGAATGGGGAAATCTGTGGAGGTAGAGATTAGGTTAGTAGTAGTTTAAGGATGGGGAGGGATGGAAAGAGAGGGGTAATAGCTAAAATGTACAGCATTTCTTTTTGAAGTGATGAAAATGTTGTAAAATTGACTGTAGTGATGGTTGCCCATATTGGTGAGTATACTAAAAACCATTGAATTGTATACTTTAGATGAGTGAGTTGTAGTGTAGATGAAGTATTCTCAATAAAGCTGCTTTTAAAAAGAAATATAATTTATATATCATAAAAATTTACCCCTTTAAAATATATAAATTGATGGTTGTTATAATAGTCACAACTGTGTAACCATCACTATTATCTAATTTTAGAACATTTTTATCACCACTAGAAGGATCCCCATACCATTAGTAATCACTCCCTATTCTCTGCCCCCAGGCCCTTGATAGCACTAATCTCATTGTGTCTCCATCATTTGCCTATTCTGGGCATTTAATATAAATGGAACCATACAGTATACGGTCTCTTGTAACTGGCTTTTCTCACTTAGCATAATTTTTAAGCATGTATCAGTACTTCATTCCTGTTTTTCATGGCTGAATAAATGGGTTTACATTTTATTTATCCGTTTATCAGATGATGGACATTAGATTGTCCCCACTTTTTGGCTATTATGAATAATGCTGCTGTGAAAATTCATATACAGGGTTTTGTGTGATTCTCTTGGGTACAAACCTAGGAATGGAATTGCTGGGTCATACGCTAACTCTGTGCTCAGCTTTTTTGAGGGACTGCCAAACTGTTTTCCAGAGTGGCTTCATGATTTTACATGCCCATCACCAATGCATGAGAATTCCAATTTCTCCCCATTTTTGCTAGCATGTGTTATTAACTGTCTTTTTTATTTTGGATGTACTCGTGAGTGTAAAATAGAGTCTCATGGTGGTTTTGATTTGCACTTCCCTAATGATTAATGATGTTAGGCATGTTTTCACCTGCTTATTGGACATACATATATATATATATCTTCTTTGGAAAAACAGCTATTTAAATCATTTGCCAGTATTCATTTGTCTTTTCAATGTTTAGTTGTAAAGTTCTTTATGTATTCTGGATATGAGACCTTCATAAGATACATGTTGTGCCAATATTTTCTCCCAGTCTGAGGGAGGGCTATTTTTCATTTTCTTGATAGTTGAAATGCAAAAGTTTTTAATTTTGGTGAAGTTCAATATCTCTATTTTTTCTTTTATTACGTATGCTTTTGATGTCATATCAAAGAAACTATTTGCCTGAGATAAGGTCACAAAGATTTCCTCCTTTATTTTCTTCTAAGAGTTTTATAACCTTAGTGTTACAAAGCCCTTTGATTTTATTCTTTTTCAAAATTGTTTTGTCTATTATGGATCCCTTGCCATTTCCTTACAATTTTTTGGATCAGCTTGTCAATTTCTGCAGTAAAGGAAAGTGGGATGTGGGTTGCATTGAATCTATAGACTAATGTGAGAAGTATTGCCATCTTAACAGTATTAAGTCTTCCCAATCCATGAAGATGGGCTGTCCACCCTTTTTTCTTAGCTTCTTAAAAATTTCTTTCAGTCATGTTTTGTCACTTTCAGTGTACACATCTTCAACTACTGTTAAAGGTATTTCTGTTTTTATTCTTTTTGCTATTGTAAATGAAATCCTTAATTTCACTTTTGGATTTTCAAAAATGAAATATTTATTGCAAGTATACAGAAATGTAATTGAATTTTGTATCTTGATCTTGTATCCTGCATATATGTTGACATCATTTATTCTAAGTTTTTCAGTAAATTTCTTAGGATTTTCTTTATATGTGATCATCATGTCATTTGCAAAAAGGTAGTTTCACTTCTTCATTTCCAGTCTGGGTGGCTTTCATTTCTTTCTCTAGCCTGTTGCACTGGCTAGAAGCTCTAATACAAAGAAGAGTGAATTTGTGAGAGTTTTGGTGGGAAATCATGAGACATCCACCTAAAAGTCCTAATTTGGCTCCATCTGACTTCTTTTTAGTTATTATCTTTAAAAATCTTTAAAGGGCACCCAATTTTCTTCAATTAATAATGTAAAAAAGACTGCATTGATATGTCCCAGGACCCTCAGTTCTTTAGGGATGGACTAAATGGCTGGTATCATCACTCAGGAGAGTTTCAAACTTGATGGAGGTTATGTTGAGAAATAAAGTTTATAATTCGGTTTTCCATGAACTTTTTGAAGTCCCCTCATAGTGTTGTTGAAGTCTTCTGTTTCCTTGATCTTCTGACTAGTTCTATCCGTTGTTGAAAGTGGGGTATTGAAGTGTACAAACTATTATTGTTGCACTATTTCTTCCTTTAATCTGGTCAGATTTTATGTTTTGTGGCGCTCCATTAGGTATATATGTATTTATCATTTTTACGTGTTTCTGATGCATTGACCCTTTTACATTATAAAATATTATTCTGTCTCTGTAGTAAAAACTCCTGTCTTAAAGCCTATTTTGTCTGTTAGTAGTATGGACACTTTAGTTCTCTTTTGGTGACTGCTTATTTGTATCTTTGAATCCACACTGTGTCTCTTGTAGGCTATAGCTGGATCATAGTTTTTTTTATCCATTATGGTAATCTTTGCCTTTTGATTGGAGTGTTTAATTCATTTTCCTTTAATGCATTTACTAATAAGGTAGAGTTTGCCCCTTATTTCTTCTATGTGTCCTATCTTTTTGTTTCATTGTTTTTCCAATACTGACTAGTTTTTTTATTGAAAAGATATTTTCTGTTGTACTATTTTAATTCCCTGTTTTTTAAATACACGGGTATTTTTTAGTTATTTTCTTAGTTTTGCCCATAGGAATTAAAATTAACATCTTACAACAATCTAGTTCAAATAAATAATGAAATTAACTTCAGTAATATGCAAAAATTATGTTCCTATTAAGATCCAGTTTTATTCCTTTGTGTTACTGTTGTCGTACACATTACATTTTCATTAAGCCCATCAACACAGCCTTATAATTACTGGTTTATGTAGTTGTCTTTTAAATCAGGAGACGCGAGTTACAAAAATACACGTATCCTGTGTGTTGTATTACCTGTGTAGTTACCTTTAATGGGATTTTTTATTTCTTGGTGTGGATTGGAGTTGCTATATGATGTCCTTTCATTTCAGCCATACTAAATACTCTCCTGGATTTCTTGTGGGGCAGGCCTGATAACAGTCAACTTGCTCTGTGTGTGTTTAAAATAAAAACATCGGAATGTTTTAATTTCCCCTTCATTTTTGAAGGATAGGTTTTTTAATACATAGAATTCATAGTTGAACGTTTTTCTTTCAGTAATTTGAATATCTTCCTACTGCCTTCTGTTCTCTGTGGGTTCTGGTAAGAAATCAGCCGTTAATAATAATGAAGATCCCTTGAATGTGATGAGTTGCTCCTCTTTTGCGTTTTCAAGATTCTTTGTCTTTGGCACCTGACAGCTTGACTATGATGAATCTGCGTTTGGATCTTTGAATTTACTCTACTTGGAGTTCATTAAGATTCTTGGATGTGTGGCTGCACATTTTTCATCAAATTTGGGGCCATTGTTTTGCAGATACTTTTTCTCTTCCTTTTTCTTTCTTCTCCTTCTTGGACTCCCATGATTTGTATGTTGTTGTGCTTGATGCTGTCCCACAAGTCTCTGTGGTTCTTTTCATTTTACCTCATTCTTTTTTCTTTGTTTCTCAGACTACATAATCTCAGTTGACTGTCTCAAGTTCCCTGCCCCCTCCTTCTGCCAGCTCAGTTCTGCTGTCAAGCCCCTCTAGTGAATTTTTCATTTCAGTTATTGTACTTCTAAGTTTCAAAATTTCTACTTGGTTCATATCTATAATTTCTCTTTATTGCTATAAAATTTTCTCATACTTTATCCTTTTTTTTTTTTTTTTTTTTTTTTTTGAGACAGAGTCTTGCTCTGTCACCCAGGCTGGAGGGCAGTGGCGTGATCTTGGCTCACTGCAAGCTCCGCCTCCTGGGTTCATGCCATTCTCCTGCCTCGGCCTCCCTAGTAGCTGGGACTACAGGCACCTGCCACCACACCCGGCTAATTTTTTTTTTTTTTTTGTATTTTTAGTAGAGACAGGGTTTCCCCATGTTAGCCAGGATGGTCTTGATCTCCTGACCTCATGATCCTCCTGCCTCAGCCTCCCAAAGTGCTGGGATTATAGGCGTGAGCCACCCCACCTGGCCACTATCCTTCGATATTTTTTTTAAGACATGGTTTCCTTGAGGTGTTTGAATATGCCTATAATTGCCGATTTAAAAAGTTTATTTAGTGAATCTAAGTCTGGGCTCCCTCAGAGACAGTTTCTGTTGACTGCTTTTTTTCCTGTTTGAGTGTTTCATAATATTTTGTTGAAAATTGGGCATTTAAAATAAAATAATGTGGCAACTCTGGAAATTGGATATTCCCTTTCTCCTCCCCCAGGATTTGCTGCTGTTGCTGTTTATTGTTACAGCTTGCCTAGTGACTTTTCCTGGACAAAGGCTATATAAAGTCCGTCCCCTTAAGTCCCTGCTTGTTTAGTTTAGTGGTTAGCTAATGGTTGGACAGAGAAGTCACCACAACCACTGTCTCCTATCCTTTACCGACGGCTTGTGTGTTTGTGTTGGGGTGTGCCATCACTTCCTATTTGTGTAGACAGTCATGCTCAGCCACAGGTGACAAATGAGGACCCCCTCACGTCTTTCCTGGGTGTGCACATGGCCTTGCACCTGCATGTGGCTGTCTAGATCCCCAGGAATGTATTGGACCTTTTCAAAGCCCACCATTAACACTGTATTCCCCACATTTTCCTTTATAGTTTTTTGGCCAGCTGCTTGTTTGCCCCATGGGTATTGTCCCCTCAGACAGCTGCGCTGTTGAACAGTGGCTACTGATTGTTGTAGTCATGTGCCCTGGGGCTAGGGCTTCTCCTGCTCGGCAAACTAGATCAGGGCAAATCAATGCAAATCCTGTGAATGGGGCTTTCCGTGTTGCTGCCAGATAGGCCACATGGTGTCAGTTCTGAGGATGGGGCTTTTGGGGAGCCCATTCTGACCCTTGAGTGGTTGCTAGGCTGCTGGGTTTCAAGGCTACCATGGAGCTGGGGAGGGAAGAATGGGGCTTTGGATAAGTTAAAATACCACAAAGCTCACATTTCTGAGATGTTGCTATTTGCTTGAATCAACAATCCATGGATTGTTGTAAGCCTTTGGTTTTCCAGAATTCTGAAAAAGTTGCTTTTGACCATTTTTCCAGGTGTTTTCCTTGTTTTAATGGAGGTGCAGATTTTTGGAGGTCCTTATTCTGACATTTTGGAAGTGTTTTACACCCCCTCCTTTTGGAGTAAGGTTTGTGGGTAAGATCTCTGCAGTCATGACCAGTGGTGCCTGACTGTTTTGTGTGAAAGTCAGCAGGCAGAGCCAGTTGTCTTAAGGAAACTGCCGGCTGGCTGGTTTGAGAACTGAGAAGTGGTGGGTTAATTTCTAATCAAGGAGTGTGATCATAAAGGTGATCAGTACTCACAGACTTCTAATTAGATGAGGTCAGATGTCCATGGTGCAACTCTTACGGCATCTGGTTGGTGGGGCTGAGGATGCACAGGGACCTCAAGCTCTGGTTCCTGCTTGGTGTCTGTGTCAGTTTCTGTTAGCATGAACAGCAGCTGGTTCCTCTGTGTACCAAGAACCCAGCGCTTTACAGTTGACCCTTCTCTCCCCAGATGACTTCCTGAAGCCACAGATCATCACCCAGCCAGAAACCACCATGGCTATGGTGGGCAAGGACATCCGGTTTACATGCTCAGCAGCCAGCAGCAGCAGCTCCCCCATGACCTTTGCCTGGAAGAAAGACAATGAAGTCCTGACCAATGCAGACATGGAGAACTTTGTCCACGTCCACGCGCAGGACGGGGAAGTGATGGAGTACACCACCATCCTGCACCTCCGTCAGGTCACTTTCGGGCACGAGGGCCGCTACCAATGTGTCATCACCAACCACTTTGGCTCCACCTATTCACATAAGGCCAGGCTCACCGTGAATGGTATGGAAACACCATCTTTGTTATAGTACCAGAATCCTACAAAGCACACTCCTGATTGCCCTTTCAGCTTTCCATGTAGAGATGACTGAGACAGGACACACACATGCTTCTGTGGGGCACTGTTAAATCCTATTGTTGCCTGGGTTTGCCCCAGAGCAAGTTTTGCAGATTTCAAGGGTTATTCACAATGAGTTACTTGTTTTTGGTGAGTTTTAAAAATCTAGTTATTGGCCGGGTGCTGTGGCTCATGCCTGTAATCCCAGCAGTTGGGAGACTGAGGTGGGCAGATCACTTGAAGCCAGGAGTTCGAGACTAGTGTGGCCAACATAGTGAAACCCCGTCTCTACTAAAAATACAAAAATTAGCCAGGTGTGGTGGCACATGCCTGTAATCCCAGCTACTTGGGAGGCTGAGGCACAAGAATTGCTTGAACCCAGGAGGTGGACGTTGCAGTGAGCCGAGATCACTCCACTGCATTCCAGCCTGGGTGTCAAAGTGAGACTGTCTCAAAAACAAAACAAAAACTAGTTATTAAGTCAAATTGTGGAGAGCTAAGCCTTGTTTTGTCCAGTTCTTATCCTCTATAAGCCAAGAGATCTGGCTTCCAAATTCCAAATACCCCTTAGCCTGGGGAAGCTGCTGTTCTTTGAGTAGATGGCACAGCATTGGAGTCAGAGGCTAGCTACTGCTCCAGAGACTGTGGAGTGCAAGGCTGGTGTGAGCCCTGGCCTGAAAGACACAGTGTCCTGGCAGTTGACAGGTTTTTACTCATTAACCAGCCTTGGAGCTTGTCAAGGGGACCATGTGTTATTGTGTGTTTGGAGGAGGGGGGTGGGGAGTAGATAGCTTGAAGAGTTTACTGTCCCACCCCAGTAACCTAATGGGGTTATCCTGATTACTAACTCTCTAGTTAAAAAGAATTGGCTTGAGAATCATCAGAATGGTGGATCTGCTTTGCTCTTTAAGCCCCCACAGATCACAGCGAAACACCTTCTTTACCACACTGTAGTGGGGTTGTCTTGGCTTATTCCAAGTCCTCACAGCTTCCGAAAGACTCAGCTGTTTGTTAGACTCTCCCCAAAATTGACGTTGACAGGAACTCTGGTGGTGCCTGACACGTGGCTGGATGCGTCCCACTCTGTCAGGACATCGATCTTTAGGCTGAGCAAGCTAGCAAGCTGAATGCTTCCTGCCTGGGTATACGGCAGTGGGCAGGAACAGCCTGGGTGAACAACCATCCAAATGGATGAGCCATCCCATTCATCCCATGAACACCCATCCAAACGGATGAGCCATCCCATTGCTCTCCCAAGGTGGAGGCATGCCCACCTTCCCTCTGTAATTCCATCTCCACAGCCTCTCTCTTGGTGGGTAAAGCAGGCAAGCATCAGGCCTACCTAGTGTGGATGGGCACCCCCTGCAACTCCCGTATAGGCACTGCCATGTAGAGTAAAAGCCTTTGCTTTGAAGGGACTATAGCCAGCCTAGGGTGTACAATGCAAGGCTGATGGGATGGAAGTGTTCCAACTGTGGTGGGAGAAGCTGGGGGTTCCTGATTCACAGGTGGCAGGAGTGGTCCTGGGCAGACATTGGGAGAAAAGAAGTGAACTGGCACTGGGCACAGTGACAGGTAGGTGTTTGCCAGAGGACTTCCTGGTTTTGCATCTAGCTGTCCCGTAACCCGACCCTGTATACGTATGTTTTCCAGTGTTGCCATCATTCACCAAAACGCCCCACGACATAACCATCCGGACCACCACCATGGCCCGCCTCGAATGTGCTGCCACAGGTCACCCAAACCCTCAGATTGCCTGGCAGAAGGATGGAGGCACGGATTTCCCCGCTGCCCGTGAGCGACGCATGCATGTCATGCCGGATGACGACGTGTTTTTCATCACTGATGTGAAAATAGATGACGCAGGGGTTTACAGCTGTACTGCTCAGAACTCAGCCGGTTCTATTTCAGCTAATGCCACCCTGACTGTCCTAGGTTTGCCTATTGCTCTACTGTGTGTGTGTGTGTGTGTGTGTGAGCGAGAGAGAGAGACTCTCAAATGCTCTGTGTGGCCAGGGGTGGTATGCGTTGTGGGCCTTTCGACCCTGTTTGAAATTTGGGGCTGCTTTTTGAGTTGAGTTAATTTTTCTTAAACAAGTGTTTCTATCTCTTTAAAAGAAATGATAGCTGGTGAATTAAGAGTCTTCATAGGGTTTAGCTACAGAACATTTTAAGAATTGGACAGGATGGATGTGGGCTTGGTCAAGAGCTACAGAACATTTTAAGAATTGGACAGGATGGATGTGGGCTTGGTCAAGAATAAGGACACAGGCCTGACACAGGACAGTTAGGGAATAGCAGGGGCTTTTGTCAGCAGAGGTTCACTGTCCCTGTGGAAGCCACTCCCAGCATGGAGATGACTCAGTCAATGAGTTGAAGGGTCTTCTCCAAAGCTTGCCACTCTGAGACAGAATCTCAGATGCATCTCATTGATATGTTGGATTGTCCGTTGTCCAGAAGACCGGGCAGAGCCAGAGCAACGGAGGCCCTGAGAATGACTAAGATCTCTGTTGCTCTCTTGTAGAGACCCCATCCTTGGTGGTCCCCTTGGAAGACCGTGTGGTATCTGTGGGAGAAACAGTGGCCCTCCAATGCAAAGCCACGGGGAACCCTCCGCCCCGCATCACCTGGTTCAAGGGGGACCGCCCGCTGAGCCTCACTGAGCGGCACCACTTGACCCCTGACAACCAGCTCCTGGTGGTTCAGAACGTGGTGGCAGAGGATGCGGGCCGATATACCTGTGAGATGTCCAACACCCTGGGCACGGAGCGAGCTCACAGCCAGCTGAGCGTCCTGCCCGCAGCAGGCTGCAGGAAGGATGGGACCACGGTAGGCATCTTCACCATTGCTGTCGTGAGCAGCATCGTCCTGACGTCACTGGTCTGGGTGTGCATCATCTACCAGACCAGGAAGAAGAGTGAAGAGTACAGTGTCACCAACACAGGTCAGGCCCTGCCAGCGGAGCTGACTTTCAAGGAGGGAGGAATGGCAGTGATGCTGGGGAACTGGGCCGGGTTCCAGTGGCTTTTGAAAGAATTGCACTGTGTTCAGAACTCCTGAGGGTTTAGTCCCACTAATTCCATTTTAACTTTGAGGAACTTAACCTTAAACAGGAATACTCTCAAATTTAACCTTAAACAGGAATACTCACAAATACAAGTAACTGACGCACCATGCAGTTTTCCCTCTCCTTGCTAACTCAGAGGCCGCCTATGCACAGGCCCTGCTGCCACGTAGTAGGTTGTTCCTGAAACAGTGCGGTACTTCTGTGAGCCCCGGCTTTCCATCACTGGTCTCCACTTCTTGTGGCGTCTGGCATCTGCTGGCTGCGCTCTTCACGCTGGGTGTAGAGTAAAGCTGAGCAGGCTCTGGGAGGGCCTGTTGCGTACATGGACTCCATGTCATCTCTCTGCACAGCGCTGATGGTCGTCACTGGGAGGATCCCCTTTCTGAGCTTGACAGTGAACGTGTGTCTGCATTTCTTGTCACTGAGACCCTGGTGTTCTATTTGTTCTGTCTCCTTGCAGATGAAACCGTCGTGCCACCAGATGTTCCAAGCTACCTCTCTTCTCAGGGGACCCTTTCTGACCGACAAGAAACCGTGGTCAGGACCGAGGGTGGCCCTCAGGCCAATGGGCACATTGAGAGCAATGGTAAGGCCTCAGTAACTGTGAAGCAGAGCTCTGCTGTGACTGTGTCTCTGGGTGCTGGAGGTGGCCTCCAGGTCTTTACAGGGCAGGTACCTGGCATTAGATGGGGCAAACTTGGTGAAGTAGAAGGCGGTATGACTAAGGGCTGCTATTTTGGACCCAGTCTTCATGAGTTCTGCAAGGTTTTAAAGTCCTGTCCCCTCAGGAAGCCACTGGATTGGGCTTAGCATCTCCCTGGCAGGATAAAGTAGGCTTGCCTGGAGTAGCAGCTGGAAAGGGCATTACGGTGCATGAACCCAGCCAACCCATTCCTTACATGGGGAACGTGCCCAGGTCTGCTCTGTGATCCAGTCTTACACTGGAAAGCTGTCACCAGGATGAGGTACTTCCAACGGTGGGGGCCTCTGAGCACTTGCCTGAGACTGTAGAGGCTCACCCTGAGACAGCTGCTCATTTCACAAGGCCAGCCTGCCTGCTGGGAAGTAGTAGCAGAAAACACGCTGCTTGCCAGACCAGCAGCCCCACCGCTCTGAAGAACTTTTTAAAAAAAATGACTGTTCTAGCGGCCTTGCTCATTCCTTTCATAAGGCTTACTGTGAAATACCAAGCCCAGAGTTTCTAATCGTGTTGGAATCCACTTGCAGGTGTGTGTCCAAGAGATGCAAGCCACTTTCCAGAGCCCGACACTCACAGCGTTGCCTGCAGGCAGCCAAAGCTCTGTGCTGGGTCTGCGTATCACAAAGAGCCGTGGAAAGCGATGGAGAAAGCTGAAGGGACACCTGGGCCACATAAGATGGGTATGAGATGCTTCCCATTGGAAGTAGTTTCTTTCTGAAATGGAAATTTGGGCTGACCTAGTCACTACATCAAAGGGGGAGACACATTCCTAGTCCACAGCTGTCTCCAAATTTGGTATTCAGTATATACAGGGGAAGCTCAGGCCTGGCTCTCTTAATTCCAGGATAGTTTCTCCTAAATAAATCTACGCCATGGTAAGCCTGAGCATGAATTTTCTAGATGTATAAGCAACTTAAATAAGGGGCAAGGCACAAACGAAGTATAGAGTTTCAGTCAGCACTTTTTCACCAGGGCTATTTTGAGGCTTATTTCTAATTGTTGAAAAGACCCAACACTGCATGGTACCTAAGGCTAATGGCTTTTCCCCCGTGAAGCAGTAAGACTACATTGTCTATGAAATTCACTGTAAACACGAAAGACCCCACAGTTCATGAGTGACTTGGTGTTTGCCCAGTCCTTTCTCTGGGGACATAGTTGGGGAAAAGAGGAAGCATGCATACAGTGTTTGCAGTCAGGGTTCTCACCTTGCACAGTGGAGCTGAGCAGCCTGTCCTCTGTGTGGGGACGAAGACTCCCACAGCAGTGACTCTAACCCATCTTTGGCGCTGTCCTTCAGAACACGGTGGCCGGGTCGTATGCAGTGACTGCAACACCGAAGTGGACTGTTACTCCAGGGGACAAGCCTTCCACCCCCAGCCTGTGTCCAGAGACAGCGCACAGCCAAGTGCGCCAAATGGCCCGGAGCCGGGTGGGAGTGACCAAGAGCATTCTCCACATCACCAGTGCAGCAGGACTGCCGCTGGGTCCTGCCCCGAGTGCCAAGGGTCGCTCTACCCCAGTAACCACGATAGAATGCTGACGGCTGTGAAGAAAAAGCCAATGGCATCTCTAGATGGGAAAGGTAACTTTTGACTGTCTTCTAACAGGTGGGTTGGGAGCTGCTTAAACGGTCAAGTGGGGGTCTGACAGGTTCGTTCTTTCCTTGTAGGGGATTCTTCCTGGACTTTAGCAAGGTTGTATCACCCGGACTCCACAGAGCTACAGCCTGCATCTTCATTAACTTCAGGCAGTCCAGAGCGCGCGGAAGCCCAGTACTTGCTTGTTTCCAATGGCCACCTCCCCAAAGCATGTGACGCCAGTCCCGAGTCCACGCCACTGACAGGACAGCTCCCCGGGAAACAGAGGGTGCCACTGCTGTTGGCACCAAAAAGCTAGGTTTTGTCTACCTCAGTTCTTGTCATACCAATCTCTACGGGAAAGAGAGGTAGGAGAGGCTGCGAGGAAGCTTGGGTTCAAGCGTCACTCATCTGTACATAGTTGTAACTCCCATGTGGAGTATCAGTCGCTCACAGGACTTGGATCTGAAGCACAGTAAACGCAAGAGGGGATTTGTGTACAAAAGGCAAAAAAAGTATTTGATATCATTGTACATAAGAGTTTTCAGAGATTTCATATATATCTTTTACAGAGGCTATTTTAATCTTTAGTGCATGGTTAACAGAAAAAAATTATACAATTTTGACAATATTATTTTTCGTATCAGGTTGCTGTTTAATTTTGGAGGGGGTGGGGAAATAGTTCTGGTGCCTTAACGCATGGCTGGAATTTATAGAGGCTACAACCACATTTGTTCACAGGAGTTTTTGGTGCGGGGTGGGAAGGATGGAAGGCCTTGGATTTATATTGCACTTCATAGACCCCTAGGCTGCTGTGCGGTGGGACTCCACATGCGCCGGAAGGAGCTTCAGGTGAGCACTGCTCATGTGTGGATGCCCCTGCAACAGGCTTCCCTGTCTGTAGAGCCAGGGGTGCAAGTGCCATCCACACTTGCAGTGAATGGCTTTTCCTTTTAGGTTTAAGTCCTGTCTGTCTGTAAGGCGTAGAATCTGTCCGTCTGTAAGGCGTAGAATGAGGGTTGTTAATCCATCACAAGCAAAAGGTCAGAACAGTTAAACACTGCCTTTCCTCCTCCTCTTATTTTATGATAAAAGCAAATGTGGCCTTCTCAGTATCATTCGATTGCTATTTGAGACTTTTAAATTAAGGTAAAGGCTGCTGGTGTTGGTACCTGTGGATTTTTCTATACTGATGTTTTCGTTTTGCCAATATAATGAGTATTACATTGGCCTTGGGGGACAGAAAGGAGGAAGTTCTGACTTTTCAGGGCTACCTTATTTCTACTAAGGACCCAGAGCAGGCCTGTCCATGCCATTCCTTCGCACAGATGAAACTGAGCTGGGACTGGAAAGGACAGCCCTTGACCTGGGTTCTGGGTATAATTTGCACTTTTGAGACTGGTAGCTAACCATCTTATGAGTGCCAATGTGTCATTTAGTAAAACTTAAATAGAAACAAGGTCCTTCAAATGTTCCTTTGGCCAAAAGCTGAAGGGAGTTACTGAGAAAATAGTTAACAATTACTGTCAGGTGTCATCACTGTTCAAAAGGTAAGCACATTTAGAATTTTGTTCTTGACAGTTAACTGACTAATCTTACTTCCACAAAATATGTGAATTTGCTGCTTCTGAGAGGCAATGTGAAAGAGGGAGTATTACTTTTATGTACAAAGTTATTTATTTATAGAAATTTTGGTACAGTGTACATTGAAAACCATGTAAAATATTGAAGTGTCTAACAAATGGCATTGAAGTGTCTTTAATAAAGGTTCATTTATAAATGTCAGTATAGTTGGTGGTCCTTCTTTTACAAACGCAGTCATTCTGCCTTTAATTATCTTCCCCCAAAAAAGAAAAAAAAAATAGGCGAAGCAAAATCACATACTGTTTGTTTGCTCCAGGGCAGACAACACTGCTAGATTCCTGACATTTTGTTTTGAATTTTTCTACACCTGGAGCTTGTTAGTCAAGGTCTAAAATCCCTAAGTGTGGTGACCTTTCCATTTCATCCTGCCTTTTCAAAGCTGGCCCAGGCCCTCCTTTCAGTCTGACATGAGAATGGCGAGAATGGCTCACCCACCGTGCCCTCCTGCACGAAGCCAGCTGGGCCCACCTAGTCACTTGAGTTGCAGCTGCTTTCTCTCACACACCACAGGGGGCGCTGGACACATCTCTGTAAAATAATACAATTGTGCGTTTTTATGGGTGAAATCTGAGGGTAATTAAAACCAGCAGCCTAGTTACCCAGAAAGAGTGCTTGCTATGCACCTGTAGTTCAATCTTTCTTTCTTTTTCAACAAAGCCTACCCTTACACAACAGGAATTAACTAGGGGGAGAAACACCCACATACACAACTCTTCCCCAAGTCTCCTTTTCCCAAACAAACAAACAAGCTATTCTTTTAGAATTATAACCATCTTGCCTTCTGCTGAATCCACCATCAGGTGGCAGGAAATGAAAGATCAGATACAGATCAAATGAAAGCTCTAAAAGGCCTGGCCTCAGCATTACCAAACTTATTTATTAAGAGGTTCTGAGGAAATTGTTCAGAGTACCGCCACAGACCCCGTTTTCTTCTCTTAGCTCTCTGGCATACAGGCCAATGACTTCATACCAGCCAGCCTATACCACGGATGGCACAATCTCCATGCCGGTATCTTAGCACAACTGGTCTTCAGCACTGGGGCCTATAGTTCAGACAGCTGCTCAGCGGAAGAGGGTTTGCACTGCAGGCCCCTCTCTTGACAGAAGTGGAGGTGAGGCTTGTCTCTGCTTCAAGGACTCTTTCTGCCAACTTCCAACAGCAAGCTGTGCGTTCGGTCATAAGCCCCCAGAAAGATGAAACCTCCCAGACTGATGGCTGCCATTCGAGGGAAGACACCTGCAAATAATCTAGGGGAAAAAACAGGATTTTTAATGTTGTGCGTATTTTAAAAAAAGGTTAAATTCCAATACCCACAGCTTGCTCAGCTCAATACACCATGCTCATTAGTGGCTAACTACCAAACAGCTTGTGAACGCTCCCAAATAAGGCAAGTAATAGCTGTGTCCCAACAGTAGTTCTAAAACTTTCATGCCATTTTTCCCTTTGAAACATGAAATTGATTTTTTTTAAAAAGGTGTTAAAGAGCTGAATCCTAGGTAAGGCTGGAAGGCACTTCCAGCCCACACCTCTAAAGTGATCTCCAGGGGTTGCTCAGTGAAGAGATTTTTGGGCAATGCTGCCGCTCCACCCACTGACTCAGTTGCATTTTGTCCTTCGAGACCCCAAAACATGACGTCACGACAACGAGTTGAACCTCCATGGATTCCCTGTGTTCCTTTTCTGTCTAAAGGCATGAAAGGCAAATGGGCTGTGGCTGTGAAGGGGGCAGCATGCCTCCACCTGCACAGTCCCCTTGGTATCACAGAAGGTGCTGCTAACCAGCCAAGGTGCAATGTAGAATAATCAGAGCAATGCAAAGTAAAACTACAATGCCACGAGGATACAAATTGGGGATTCATTCTTTAAAACTGCCCCCCCTCCCCATACCTACTCAGATATTTGTTCAAAAATTTTCATTGTGGCATTGCTGATGGTGATATAAGTTATGGCACAGTATAAACATACAGTGGATGATTATGTAGCTGATAAAGATGAGGAAATCTACAGATGCCAACATAAAAAAATTACAAAACAGGTTTAAAAAACTAAGTCCAAGGACTATGATTCCATATCTAAAAGGCAAGCCAGGGATGTGTCTTAAGCCCTAAACTGAATGCCTGCTGCCTGTGGATTATAGGACACATTCCTGGCCCACGCTTCCATAACCTTTGAACCTTTTCACCAAGAGTACAGGCATGACTCAGAGATATTTCAAGTTTGGTCCCAGGCCAAGTTTGGCCACCATAATAGTGAATATTGCAATAAAGCAAGCCATTCAAATTTCTTCGTTTCCCAGGGCACAGAAAAGTTATGTTTCTACTACAGTCTATTAAGTATGCAGTAGCAATTATGTCTAAAAATTGTACATACCTTAATTTTAAAATGCTTTATTGCTAAAAAATGCTCATGAGCATCTGAGCCTGCAGTAAATTGTAATCTTCTGGCTGATAGAGGGTCTTGCTTTGAATGATGGCTGCTAACTGACCAGGGTAGTGGCTGCTGAAGGTTGGAGTGGCTGTGGAAATTTCTAAAAATAGTAATTGTTGCATTGATGGACTCTTCTTTTCATGAAAGATTTCTCTGTAGCACACAATACATTTTGCCCACAGTAGGACCTCTTTCAAAATTGGAGTCAACCGTCTCAACTCTGCCACTGTTTTCTCAACTAAATTGATGAAATATTCTAAATCGTTTATTGTAATTTCAACAGTGTTCACCGTATCTTCACCAGGAGTAGATTCATCTCAATAGATCACTTTCTTTGCTCACCCATAAGAACCAACTCCTCATCCGTTCAAGTTTGATCATGAGATTGTGGCAATTCTTTACATCTTCAGGCTCCACTTCTGACTACGGTGGTCTTGCCATTTCCAGTACATCTAGTATGTGTTTCCCTCCACTAGTCAGCCATGAGGATTGGAATCAACTTCTTCCAAAGTCCCAGCATGGTCAATATTTTGACCTCCTATGAAGCCACTAATGTTCTTACTGGTATCTAGAATGGTGACTCCTTTCTAGAAGGCTTCCAATTTACTTTGCCCACATCTAGCAAAGGAATCACTGTTGATGCAGCTGTAGCCTTATGAAATTTAATAAAACCTGAAAGTTAAAGTAACTCCTTGATCCACAGGCTAAGGAATGGATGTTGATAGTAGGCATGAGAACAACATTCATCTCCAGCAGAACTCCAGGGTGACCAGGTACACTGTCAATGAGCGGAAATATTTTAAAAGGAATCTTTTCCTCTGAGCACTAGGTCCCAGCAGTGGGCTTAAAATATTCAAGAAAGCATGCTGTAAAGAGATGTGCTGTCGCTCAGGCTTTGTTGTTCCATTTCTACAGCAGAGGCAGAGTCGATTTAGCACCATTCTTAAAGGCTCTAGGATTTTCAGAAGAGTCAATGAGCATTGGCTTCAACTTAAAGATACCAGCTGCATTAGCCCCTAACAAGAGAGTCAGCCAGTCCTTTGAAGCTTTGAGGCCAGGCATTGATGTCTCCTCTCTAGCTAGGAAAGTCCTAGATGGCATCTTCTTCTAATCGAAGGCTGTTTCATCTACCCTGAAAATCTGTTGTTTAGTGTTAGTGCCTTCATCGATGATCTTAGCTAGATCTGGGTAACTTGCTGCAGCTTCTCCATCAGCACTTGCCACTTCACCTTACACTTCTGTGTTACAGAGATGACTTCTTTCCTTAAACTTCATGAATCAACCTCTCCTAACTTCAAACCCTGCAGCTTCCTCACCTCTCTCAGCCTTCAGGGAAGAGAGTTAATGCCTTGCTCTGGATTAGGTTTTGGCTTAAGGGGATGTTGTGGCCGGTCTGATCTTCTATCCAGACCAAACTTTCTTCGTATGTGCAATGAGGCTGTTACACTTATCATTTGTGTATTCACTGGATAGCACTTTTCATTTCCTTCAAGAACTTTTCCTTTGCATTTACAA
This sequence comes from Homo sapiens, assembly GCF_000001405.40. Taxonomy (NCBI): domain Eukaryota; kingdom Metazoa; phylum Chordata; class Mammalia; order Primates; family Hominidae; genus Homo; species Homo sapiens. Next base: position 351,890 of record NW_012132916.1, on the reverse strand, counting down.
TTTGGTTAACTGTCACAAGAGGCCTAGATTCTGGCCTATCTCAGCTTTCCACATGCCTTCCTCACTAAATTTAATCATCTCCAGCTTTTATTTTTAATTAATTAATTTTTTTTTTTGAGATAGGGTCTTGCTGTTACCCAGGCTGGAGTGCAGTGGCACGATCGTGGCCCACAGCAACCTCTACCTGCTGAGCTCAGGTGACCCTCCCACCTCAGCTTCCCAAGTAGCTGGGACTACAGGCACACACCAACATGGCCAGCTAATTTTTGTATTTTTTGTAGACAGGGTTTGGCATGTTGCCTAGGCTGGTCTTGAACTCTTGGGCTCAAGCCATCTGCCACCTTGGCCCCCCAAAATCCTGGGATTACAGGTGTGAGCCACCATGCCCGGCCCGAGTTTTTTATTTAAAATGAGAAAGGTGTGATTCTTCCTTTCACTTCAACACTTAGAGGCCACTGGAGGATTATTAATTGGCCTAACTGCAATATTGTGTCTCACAGAATAGAGGCCTAAGGGAGAGAGAGAGGGAATGGCTGGTTGGAGACACAGCCCGAACCCACACCACATTTGTCGATTAAGTTTGCCGTCTTCGGTGGACACAGTGGGTGATGCCCCAAAACAATTACAGTAACATCGAAGACGGCTGATCACAGATCACCACAGCAGATATGATAATGAAAATATTTGACAGGTGAGAATTACCAAAATGTGACACAGACACAAAGTCATCATGTGCTATTGGAAAAGGGCTCTGCAAGACTCGCTCAACGCAGGGTTGCCACAAACCTTCAATTTGGAAAAAAAGTGCACTGAGAAGTGCAATTAAACAAAATATGCCTGTATTACTTCTGTAAGCAGAAAGAGTTAATGAAGGCAAAACTAGTGCATATGCCAGTGAAAAGACTTCTGGTCAGGTCTATGGAAGAAAACTGAAAATGGTCAAGTATGCCAACAGTAGCTATGCATCCTTTAAGATACAGGAAAAGCCTCCATGACAAGCAAGCTGGTGGCCTGGAGAGAAACATGGCAGGAAGACGGTCCCTGCAGGCTGCTCCCAGCACCTGACTGCATCCTTTCTCCCAACACCTTTGAGCTGTTGGGGGAGGCTGAGCAGCCTCCCTCTGTTTGCAGCACTTGGCACTTCTAAGGAAAATGAGACACTTAAGAAGAGTTTTGTGGGCCCTTTTTAGTTAGCTAGCTATGGGTTTAAATCATTACAATACTGCACATAAAATTAAGGACCACGATTACTTGTCCAAAAATAACCATGAAAATTGTATTGAAAACCAAACTACACTTGCTTAAAAAAAAAAAAAAAATCAGCATCATGCAAAGGGTGGGTGGTGAGGACAGAAACTTATAAATTACCACTATGTCCTTCCTGCCTGAAAGACAGATGAGCCTCCCTGCTCCTACCTTACGAAGGAAAGAGTGCTAGACAGGCGGCCAGCAGATGCCGAGCTGTGGGAGACCACTCTGGCCACAAAGTTCTCCCACCTTTACTACCTTACTTATTTCTAAACGCCAGTGTCTTGTTCAGCTTCTGCCACTCACAAGCTCAGCTGCTCCTGGCAAGACACAGATGGAAGCAGTTTATGGTTTCAACAGATGACCACTGAATCTATTAACGTAATTACGGCCTTAACGTGGAGTAATTTGTACAGTGAGGGCCCCAGCCAGTCTCGCAGGTGAAGACTTTTGAGTTGAGCAGGAGCGTGTTCTAGTGCCCACAGATTAAATGAGAGCAAACGTAAGCACTTACAATGCCAGACAGAAAGGGATGCTCGCGGCAGTGGCAGCTACTACATAAAGGGCACAGTCAACAAAAACAGAAAGCCAGCTGATGAGTGAAGAAAACCAGAAAGGGGCCATCCGGGGTGGGCAGGCTCCCCATCTGCCTTTGGCTACGGGGCTGAATGAACACGCGGTGTTTGTTTAGTAATATATTTCTGTTTATATGTGTACTCCCATATGCGCCAGAACAAGGTCTTCACCTGCGTGGACCACACGGAAAGATAAAAGTGGTCGCCACTTGACTTGACCCCGAGAGGGCAGCACCATTCCATCCTAAGGTGAGGAGATGGTGTCTGCTGGAAAACCCAAGTAGTACCTAGTAAACTTAGTGCACGCCCCGGGGAGGAGACAGGAGGTGGCAGCAGCGCTGTGTGCTTGGAGCACAGAGGAAGCTGGCAGAGATACCTTCAGGCTGAGGGTGCCTGGGACCTCTGTTCACAACAGCCACCCAGGTTTTTCTGTGACTGTTTTTTAGTCAAATTATTTATTGTCTTTAATCATTAATAAGTGGCTAATCAAAACTCCCTTAAGTGACGACCGCTGCTGTCTGTAATGCTCTTAGGGACTACACTGTACAGACTGACTAGAGCCCATGACTTCTGAGACTTTCCGAAGATAGATAAGCAAAAAAAATTCCACATGACCTTTACAGAGCTGACAATGGGGACAGGGACAGGCCCTTGACCTGAGGAAGACACCCCTCCTCTGCCTGTATTTCTGGCACTGCTTAGTATTATAACGTCAAGTATAAGACATGCCACAACCAGGACAGGGAAGACTATCTTCAATCATCTACTCAACATAACTCCTACCAGCTTTTGGGGCCATGGGGTTGCCAGTCGATCATGCCATCCCCACCTGCCACCACTGTCTCCAGAAAAGGCTGAGGGGCTGCAGCTCTGCACAGCTCCACAAAGCTAAGGTCAATTGAAGTGGTTTGCCCAACAGTTGCCACAGAATCAAACATGAACTACACTGAAATCAGTAGGACAGTGAAATTTGGCAGTTTGGTTTTACAGTCTAAAAAAGCCACTGAATGTGACTTCTCCATGTATGTAGCCCAATTGCTATTTGAAACACAGAAGAACTTTTTTGTTGTTGTTTTTTTGAGACAGGGTCTTGCTCTGTCACCCAGGCTGGAGAGCAGTGGCACAGTTGTAACTCACTATAACCTCGACTTCCCGGGCTCAAGCGATTGCTCAGCCTCCTGAGTAGCTGCGACTACAGGTGCGTGCGACCACACCAGGCTAATTTATTTATTTATTTTTTAGAGACAGAGTCTTGCCATATTGCCCAGGCTGGTCTCAAACTCCTAACTTCGAGCGACCCTCCTGCTTCAGCCTCCCAAAGTGCTGGGATTACAGGTGTGAGCCCCGCACCCGGCCCCTAAGCACCTTTTACCTGCTACTGGCTAAGTAGCTTCAGGACTCATTTTTTCTCACCCCATTCCTTTGTTTGCTGTGGAACTGGCAGCAGAATTAATGTGCCACAGATAGAAGCACCCCTCACGATATGGCAGCCCTAAGTGGCAGGCTCCCAGCACACATGCCCCCCACTAGGCCCTTCCCACGCTCTCACTAGACGTCAACAGCCAATTATTCCTCTGGCTTTGCCCCAGTTCTTGTTTCAAAACCGTGACACCCTTCACACCCCCAACGTCAATCCCTCAGAGTTGTCACATTCAACAAAACCATCCAATATCACCTACTTTTCAAACTTCCAACTGGAAAATTTCAATCTAGGATGTGCTGCTCTCCTATAAAAACCTTAACTGGGTCCTGACTCACCTACTTCATGTCCTCCAGATCATCAAATAGCTGAGATTAAAACTGCCAAAGGTACACAAAAACTACAATCACATAAGTGATCCAACTCGGCATCAGGATGAGGAGGTGGCACTGCCAGCTGAGACGCCCGAAGTCCAGGCAGCTGCCGACCGACCCTCTGCAAAGGGAGGCCACTGCTTTGCTCTTGCAAGAAAATCCCTGGTATATGGTCCCTAAGAGAAAAATCATCATTTCACATGCCTGTAAGATCTCAACATTCAGGCGGCTTCACAAGTTTATGGTGTCAAAGCAATGTTTTAATCTTGCAGAGAGAGCTTTTAGGACATGAAGCTAGAAGTCTGAGGCACTTCTGTAGCACAATGGTTCTCAATTGATGCTAATAGTGGAGTCATCCCACCTGCACTATGGTATGTTCAAAGTAATTTGTTACTAATAATAGTTAAAAGCATCAAAACCACAAATGCTTTCTTCTAACAATGTTCCCTTCACTCCCTTGTATTTCTGCACTGTGTAACCTCTGAGAAGCCCATTTTATCACTGCTGCAGCCCAGACCCTGGTGAGAGCCACACATGTGAATTTCATCTAACATCAAGATGGGCAAGGCTGAGAACTGCCTGGCTGGAATAATCCGTCAATTTGATTTGCTATGTTATCTCATATATACAACATCAACTATAATATTTTGCACAATAAATAGAAACTCAAAGCAGAACATAAGCAGAAGGGAAGGAGAGGTGTTCATCCAAAGTTAGGCTAAAGGAGGAGGAGTGGTGGAGAGGAAGAAAGGAAGGAGGGCATTCCTCGTCTTACCCTGCCAGCCCCTGTGACCGCCAGACCCCATGCAGGACAGAGAGCACATTCCCATCAGCAGTGCTGGAGCCAGCCTGTGTGAACAGACAAAGAGAAACCCGTTATCTTCTGAAGCTCCCAATCACACACTTGCCTCTCAGATATCCTCAGACACACAGCTCCCCGTCACCCTCATCTAGAACACAGTGTCAGATACCAGGGAGTTTCTTGGCAATCAGGACCTGGCTCGCTCGCCCAGAAGTGCTTACACTCCGATATGCAGGCAAGCAGGGATGTGGCCCATGCCACACAGGTGGCTGCTTATCAGAGCTCACGAGATGACTGATGAACTATTTAACAGCAGAAAGACAGAAGCACTATGAAGCAATGTGAGGAGGGCGGGGAATCATTAGTGTAAATGGTACAACTATGAAACCTGCATAAGCAGCTAATAAGCATATTTAATAGAGTGCCGTTTAAATGTTCCATTTAAAACGTGATTAACATTCTTAGGTTGGATCCTGCCACCTCCATACTAAAATTTGGCCCATTATTTGTTCTACTTTTCCACAAAGATAGGACTTTTTTGTTTTGGTTCAGTTCAGGTATGTTATACGTATGGCATTCTTTCAACTCTCTATCTAGCAGGGTTTTTTAAAACAATTTTTCTCTTAAACAAAATGGTTTCAACATTTCTGACAACTGTCTTAACCCATCCAGTTAAGGCCAACCATGACCCTAGGTTCAAAGCCTGTCACTTACCTGCCACATAGCAGGAGGCTCGTCAACCTCTCTGACCCTTAGGTTTGTCACCAGTAAAAACAGAGTTTATTTGAAGATGGTACTGCCAGGCAGTGGCTCTACCAGCCCTATGTGAAAATGACTGTGAAATGGTACAATATTATGTAGACACTGGGGACATTGTTCCATCAATGGCAGTTTTGTTAGAGGTTGCACAGGCAGCATAAGATGCTATTACAGGTAAATGGTAGCCATTTGTGTTCACTTTATACACCTGTAGTCCTAGTGCTAACAGATATGAGCATCTGAAGTATCTCCATTACATTATTTCACCACTTACCTTTGCCAGCGTAATTCTTGTCTTTGCCACGTCTAGAGGGGTGGTGACTGCAGCGGCAAATCCACCTGTACAAATAATACCCAACACCCAAGTGAGATCCTGTTTACTGTATAATTTTGTAATTTTTAGAATTCCTGACTCTGCCCAAATCACTTCGTCATTATGTACACCTGGCTGATTGAAGAACAGGATGCACACATGCACAATCTTTATCCACACGCTTCATTTCTTTTGCAGCGATACAGAACTGCATGAGAGAAGAAAATGCTCTACCCACTCAGGTGAAAAATACAAGGCTCCACAATTTATCTTGCTCTTTCATTAACTAGCAAACTAATGAGTGTGTATGTTTACATACATGATGAATGTGTACACATGACATACATGTATGTGGCCAGATGCCCACTCTCAATATGTGAGACACACTGCTCCTAATGGTTCTCAAAGGGTTCATGACTTTCTATAGGCCACTGTCTTTTGTTTTTTTTTTTTGTTTTTGTTTTTTTTTTTTTTTTTTGAAAAGACAGGGTCTCACTGTGTCTCACCAAGACTGGAGTGCAGTGGTGTGATCATAACTCACTGCAGCCTCACCCTCCTAGGCTCAAGTGATCTCTCCACCTTAGCCTCCTCCTGAGTAGCTGGGACTACAGCTGCGCACCACCATGCTTGGCTAATTTTTAAATTTTCTATAGAGACAGGGTCTTGCTCTGTTGCCCAGCCTGGTCTTGAACTCCTTGCATCAAGCACTCCTCCTGCCTCGGCCTCCCAAAGTGTTGGGATTACAGGCATGAACCACCACGCCCAGCCTGGACCACTGTTCTTTAAAGTGACTCCAAAATGCGTCTATCATTTCTGTTTTGCATATAGCAAAATGGACAAACAGACTCACATGTGACATTGTGGGGATTTTGGGTATACATGGCTGGATTCTTTGAATTAAAGGAGCAAAGCTTTTTGTGTTTCACGGGCTCCTGACAGCAGGCTAGTCAAAGTTACCTTTCTAAGCTCTCTTCTACATCTTCTTAGCCTGAGTCTCGCTTCAGCACACATTCCACATTATGGCTTCCTTCCTAACCTTCTCTCTCATGTTTGCGTTATCTGAATGTCGTGATGGCTGAACTGTACACAGATTGGACTTTTTGAAGGACTTTCTGTTTTAACATAAACCAAGTTTATGGTGTCAATATTACATTTAAAATGCAGTACAAAGATATATTCTAAATCCGAAGAGGCCCTACAGAGACAGAAATAATAAAAATCCTAAAAGGCATTACAAAGATTCAGCTTCCATGAGCTAGGGGTAAAGAGGCAGTGTTATAAGGGCAACAGGACACCCGTGTGTGAAGGATACTCCAGAAATAGCACTACTTTCCTTCTCGCTTTTGTGGCTTGTGGACAAGAAGGTCATCTGATCTCTGCCAAATATCTAATTATGATGCTGAAATAAGATTATACCAAGCCTCCTCCATATGGTAACACTGATTATGACACTGACTTTTTGAAAGGTGTACCTATTTATGCCCTCATGGTCCATTTCTGGTTACCCCTGAATGTCACACACCTTAGGGGTAATACTATCAACTGACATGAATATTTGAATCCCCTTGGGTTTAGCCATTTCAAATTATGACTATGTAAAACTCTTCATCTCCTATCCAGAGGTTGTCTGAAATTCAGAGACTTGCTAAGCTTTGTGTCTTTTAAATTTTTGTGGACTTGGTCTTGAAATCCTACTCTTTTAACCATATATTCTGCCCTGGAAAAGTAAATATACTTTTAGTTACATAACAGGATCCATGAACACTATCTGTCTCTCTCTCTCTCTCTCTCTCTCTGTGTCTGTCTGTCTGTCTGTCTGTCTATCTATCTATCTCCCCCAAGAAAGGAAGAAAAGGAAAAAAGACACAAGACACAAAGGCAACAAACTTTACTATCCCAAACTTCCCATACACCAAAATAACAGATTTGGTTTTGTTTCCCTTACCAGCAGCACGGTCTAGCCTGAAAGAACCCTTCTTTGGAGTTGGAAAGACCAACGCTTAAATCCCAGTTCTACCAGGTGTCTAGCCTTAGGTAATTACTTATTCTGTGGCTGAAGTACCTTATGAGCTAGGAACTCTTACATCCCCATGCTACAGGTGAGGAAACTGAGGCTTATGGAGGCTAAAAACTTGAAGATTTTACTTAGTGCAGAGCTGAGACGGGATCTAAAGCCTGTACTGACTCTGGAACTGGGACTCTTACCCACTGGTCTCCTAGTGGCCTCAGTTTTCTGATCTGTAAAATGCAGATAGTAGTATGACACAGGAATTAAATGGGCCTACGCAACATGTTTGGAACAGCATCTGGCTCACAGCAGTAATCACAAAATAATTAACTCTTTCCTTGGTGGCCAGAGCTAATGAGTGCTTTTTCTTCGTATCTTTAGACCAGCACACTCACAGCAGGCACTCGAAAACGCTTAATCGGTACCCTGGTCTATAGTTTTTATAAACTGAAAATTTCAACTCATCCTCTAAAAGGCAGGGAAAGGTAAAGGTAGGAGCTAATATCTGCAGTGCTTACTTCGTATCTGGCATGCCAGGAATGCACTAGGCACTTTCATTGATTATTTGATCTCATTTGCATAGGTGTTACTATTCTCATTTTACAACCAACTTACTTGCCCAGGCCACACAGCTGGTGCGGGACCTGGGACTGTCACATGTATGATGACTCCAAAAGTAATGCTCGTTCCACTACATAATGACTTTGATATATAAGACAAATTAAAATTTGTCCAATTGTTAAACCCACTTTCGTATGTGAAAATGTTCACAAACGATCCTAAACCAATTAAAAAGACCTAAAGGTTGATAAGGAACATCTAATAAATTTAGTTACTGCAAATCAAACTTATTTTGGCCATTAGCAAAGATTTACCATTCCTTTAGTGGGGATGCCTACCAATATTCTCTTGGAGATTTAGGTTTCATGAAAGTAATATGAAGAAAAGTTACAGACAGAAACATGTATGCTTCAATAGGTCCTAACTTTACTACCATGAGAGAAGTTGTATTTTATGTGTTACTAATAGACCAATTTGCCTGTCTTCAACTATCAAAGATTTCTCTAATTCACAGACCTCACAATGCTTTTGTAAGGCTGTAAGGAGGACTTGTGAAGATAATAGAATAGAATAATGGTCATAACGGGGAAGGGCTGGGGGCCAGGACTTTCAGTTAAAATGTAGTTATTTTCTACGTTTTATTTAAGGGCACTGTAAGCTACTGGTAATAAATACAAGGAACAGTCTAACATATGAGACAGGAAATAATTATTTGGTACAGCAATTACAGGCTGCTTTTGTGTTCAAAGCATCTGTGAAACAGTTTTCTATGGTCTCCACTGGAGTTAGGTTTGTACTGAATGTTAGGCTAACTGCTTTCGAGGACAGGATTCAGGAGAAACTAAAATTTTATGATAAAACTATTATCTCCTATTTCCTTGGGGAACAAATGCAGATTCCCTAACTGCCCCTGCCCCAACACCCATAAAGACAAAGTAGCCACCTTCCTACAATAAGGCTGGAGCTGTCACCTCTAAGCAGTGGCTGAGAATGTGGGGGCAGCAGTGGGGAAGTGCCCGAACCCACCCCTGGGCAACCTTGCTGCCATTCATTGCTCCTCCAGACCCTACGTTGCCCCTGATTAGTCTGGAAGGGAGAAGAGCACCACCATACCCCTCTTATGTGCGTGACCTCCAGTGAAGTGTGCAGATGTGGAAGACTTCCCCATCAACAAGAAGGAAAGTGTTTTTTGTTTGTATTTTAATAGAGATTGTGTCAGGCCTTCTCATTTGTTACCCAAATAATCCCTCACCCTGTTCTCGAATTTCAAACCCATGGAGAGATCGCAATCAATGTCTCTTTCCCTGCCTCTTTCTCCCCCACCCTCTTCTCTCCTAGAGAATGTACAGAGGTGTTTATTATGAGAAACTAATCAAAATATACTAGAGTACCAAATACCACTATAGTAGCAAATGTCATAATTACTTAGGCTGCATTATGGTTTATGTTTAGAAGTTAACTCGAAGCAAGGAAGTTGCAAAGTCCTTTTATCCCCCTAGTTTCACCCCGACCAGAAGCCAAGGGAATTTCTGTGCATGACAAGCCATCAACACCTCCAAGATCACGGGACATTTTTGGATATTTGCGCCAAGTAGTTTACAAAACAAGCATGAACAAGAAAGAGTGCCAAGGATGGCACACAGAATGGTTCATCTGCAATGATTTAGCCAATTTAAACTTGGAAAAGCACATGGGGATGAGAAATCTGATTTCTGATTTGAGGGCAAGTTTCATCACTGCTTTTATGGCCATGTAAGGGTAAAGTCTGCAAGTGCAGCGTGTATTTTAAAGGGACTTCACAAGACATCCTTCATCTCTATATGCTGTAAGGCACCATGTTGCAACTCTTACAGAATCTCACTTTTTCACAAATGGGAATATTTTCAAGTGATGTTTATCCTTCAGAAATGCCTTAAAATAGTAACCTCCTCTGGATCAACAGTTGTACCAAATAAAATTTCAAAATAAGGGATATAAATAAGCAATCTATTTATCTTTTGCTAAATATATGTGGTTCTACTGACAACAGATTTTTTGCAGGCCTTGGACAAACTCCTTCACTTATCAGAACTTCAGCAGAAAAAAATAAGATGCTTATATTGGAGGCATTTTAAAATTTACGAGCTATTAGAGGAGACTGTTGTGTACAGTAACTTTATTGATATGACATTCCTTCACTCAATCAAGAAGATGAATTACTGTGAAAGTAGGTTTTCATTTTCTGGATGTTAGTTGTTCTTATTGAAATAGTAGTAATTCCTTACATCGACTCGGTTTTGCAGAGTACAGAGTACTGACCATACATTATCTCAAGCCCTGAAGTAATCCCCTAAGGTAGGAATTGTTGCTTCTACATTACAGGTAAGGAAACTGGCACTCAGGAGGGTCCCAAAGTCTCATTCCTGAGTTGGGGAGCAAAAAGAGACTTCAGAATCCTGTAAGTCACACAGCTCAGCCTGTGCTAGATGTGTAGCCGTGGGCACCTCGCTCCCTTTCTCCATACCCCAGCATCACTGGAGCACCGGCTGTGCTGCCACACTCCCCAGGTGAGTCACCTTAACTGAAAGGGCCTGGATGGTAGGATCCTACCACATAGATAGAGGATGTCTGATAGGAAGTTCCCTTCTCTCACTCCTTCTGACAGTACAAGTGCTTAGTGTCTATTACAGAGTATTATTCTGAAAAGGAAACTGTAATTAATGCAAATTTCCTTAATAGTAACAATGTCTCTGCAAGCAAATCTTTGAATTGGGTATTCAAGGAATAGGACCAGAGAATATGTTCTTATTTCAACACATGGAAGTTTTATAGTATTGCTAACTTTAAAAAGTAGCCTTACTTATCCAGGATGACTTAATTTCCATAATGCGCTCATTTTGTCCCCAGGGCCCAGGAGAGTGTCTACAAAAATGCACATCTCTCTTAGGGACTGGGGAATAATGACTCCTGACCTCTGGAAAATGAATCAAGACCACCTACTTATTTAACACAGCTAATGACTATGTGTCATGTGGAAACGATCATCATCATAATCAATCTGGATTGGTTTCATGTCTACAGGCAAAATTCTTATTGTTGATTATCAATTCTACAAGTCAAATGAGTCTATTAATAAAGAGTACTATAAAATGAACATTTTGTTTTCTCAATCACGACAACAACAACAAAAATGACCATTAAACAAATTGCAAAATAATTATTTTCCAATAAAGTTAACACCCTAAACCTCCCCTACTGGCTTCACATCTCAACTAAAAGTTTCCTTTTCTGGCAAATTTCCATTGTATTTCAACTATAATTCTAATTTAACGTTGTAACAACAAAATATACTTCTCTCTTAGGCTTTTAAACATATCACTTATTAAGCTCTTTAAAGCATTTGAGTTCTCGTTAAAGCCTCACTTGAAAATTCATATGACTTAGTGATGGATAACACGGTATTGCATATTGTCACCTCGCTCTTGCTTTAATGTCTCGAAAATGCCCAGATGTGTAGATCTCCATACTTCCTACACAGAACAGTTTACCCTTCAGTAAGTTATGGAGGAGCCTCTGCTCTCCTGACACTAGTTAATCTACAGTGCTGTCAAACATGTCACACAAACCGTGAATCATGGCCTTCTGCAGAAATCGCTTAAACCCCCTAAGCACTGCCCAAGGCAGACAGCTGCATGGTGAGCCCTGCACCCACAGCAAGTCTCTTCCCACAGAGGACTTTATAAATCATCTTTAAGGTAATTCCAGGGCCTGAGTGAAGGCTTTAATAAAGATAAAAAGAAAAAGAAAAATTTGTCAAAAACAAATTGGTTGTCTTTCAGGCAGACACCTTTTTAGCAGTTTTTTTTTTTTTTTCCCCTCTAAGACACGTTCTTTTCTCAAACAACTAGTGGAGCGCTCTTCATCTAAACAACCTGGAATGTCTAAAGAATGTTGTTTTTGCATAGTTAATATTTTCACATTTTTCCCCCTCTTTGGTCTTTCCCAGTATAATATAATCCTTTGCACCTGCAAAAGCTCCACAGACTGCTGACTGCCAAGAATCCACCACATGATCCTGCCTCCAGGACCAGAGGGCCTGTGTTTAAGGAGAAAGAAAAATACAAGTTATTAAATATTTGAATTTATCGGAACCTCCTGTGGGTTAGCTCTGGGGATGGGAACTTAAGTGAGAAGCTATTTTGGTGGCATTCTTTACTGATGACATAAGTGACTTTCCCAAAGACTTAACAGCTTTCTAAAATAAGTCACAGAAATGAGAGTGACAGCTACATTAGAGTGCTCAAAGTAAACAATTTTCAGAGAATACATATGTGTGTGTGCACGCACACAAAACATCATCGCCACAATTCAGATAGTGAACTGACTCATGACCCACAAGTTTTCTTGTATCCCTATGTAACCCCTCCTTCCTGTCCTTCCTCACTATCCCCCAAGCAATCTGATCTGTCATTCTAGATTAGTATGCCTTTCCCAGAATGTTATATCATTGTAATCACATATTTTTTTTAAATCCAACTTCTTTTATTCAGAATTATTTCGTGATTCACCCACGTCATGCAGATATCAACAGTTGCCTTCTTCTTCATTAGTAATATTCTGTTGTATGGATATACCGTGATTTACGCATTTACCTGTTGATGGACATTTGGGATTTTTCCAGTTTGGGGCTATTACAAATAAAGCCACCATGAACATTTGTATACAGGTCTTTATATGTATACATGCTTTCATTTCTCTTGGGGAAATACCTAGCGGTGAAATCACTAGATCACATGGGAGTTATATGTTTAACTTTTTAAGAACTGCCAAACTGTTTTCCAAAGCGATTGTACCATTTTACATTCCCTTGAGTTCTGGTTTCTCCACATCTTTCCCAATACTTGTTATCATCACCATTTTAAAATTTTAATCATTCTAGCAAGTGTGTTGCAGTATTTCTTTCTTTCTTTCTTCTTTTTTTTTGAGACAGACTCGCTCTGTCACCCAGGCTGGAGTGCTGGAGTACAGTGGTGCAATCTTGGCTCACTGCAACCTCCAGCTCCTGGGTTCATATGATTCTCCTGCCTCAGCCTCCTGAGTAGCTGCGACTACAGGCGCCTGCCAACACGCCCGGCTAATTTTTGTATTTTTAGTCCTAGACACGGGGTTTCACCATGTTGGCCAGGCTGGTGTCGAACTCCTGACCTCAAGCGATCCACCCGCCTCAGCCTCTCAAAGTGCTGGGATTACAGGTGTGAGCCACCGTGCCTTCATTGTGGTTTTAATTTGTATTTCCCTAATGATGTTGAGTTGCTTTTCATGTACTTATCTGCCATCCACAACATACTGTCTTTGGTGAAGTGTCTGTTCAAATATGTTGCACATTTGTACTGGGTTACCGTATCTCAATGACTGCATTTTAAGAGTTCTTTACATATTCTAGACATAGCTCACTTACAGATGTTTTCTTCTAGTCTTGCCTTTTCATTCTTTTAACAACATCTTTCATCATTCTTTTAACAGCATCTTTCAAAGAACCGAAGTTTTTAATTTTGATGAAGTCCAAATTATTCTTTTACAGATCTTGCTTTTGGTGTCACATCTAAGAAATCTTTGCCTAACTCAAAGTCACAAAGATTTTTTGATCCTGTGTTTTCTTCTAGAAATTTTATGCTTTCAGGTTTTACATTTGTATCTATCATCCATTTTGAGTTAATTTTTATATATGGTACAATATGTAGATTGAAGTTATTTGGTTTTGTTTTCACATATGGATATTCAGTTGTTCCAGTGACTGGGAAAGATAATCATTTCTCCAATGAACTGCCCTCTTGCTTTTGTCAAAAATCAATTGTCCACATATGTGTGGGTCTATTTCTGAACTCTCTATTATGTTCTCATCTATAGGCCTATCTTGATATCAATTCCATACTTTCTTCACTACTGTAACTTTATAATGAATCTTGAAACCAGGTAGTATTTGTCTTCCAAATTCTTTTTCAAAGTCCTTCTACCTATTCTAAATATTTTGCATTTCCATATGAATTTTGCAATCTGATTATCAATTCCTACGAAATAACCTGCTAAGACTGTGATTGGGAGGCACCAAACCCATGGATTATTTTGGAGAGAACCAGTTGTTAATGTTGAGGGGTTTTCTTCTCACAGGCATGGCATCCCTCTCCATTTGACTAAGGCCTTCTTTTGTTTCTCTCCACACTGTCTTAGTTTTCAGTATACAGGTCTTGCACTGGTTTTGTCAAATTTATCCTTAAGTAGTTCACATGTTTTGATGCTACTGCAAATCGCACTGTTTTTTAAATTTCAGTCTCTGGTTGTTCATTGCTAATATGCAGAAACTGAAACTGGTTATCAACACAATTGATTTTTGTACACTGATCTTGTATTCTGCAGCCTTGCTAAAGTTACCAACCTCATAGCTTTTTTTTTATAAAGCTCATCAAATTTTCGACATAGATGACCGTATCATCTGTGAATAAAGACAGTTGTACTTCTTCCTCTCCAATTAAGGTAACTTTTATTGTTTATTTTCATTTTTGCCTTACTGAATTGAGTAGGACCTTCAGAATAATGGTATGCATTGCAATAGTGACCACAAATATTAACAAAAAAGACCTCTTTAATATATTAATTTAAATGGTTAGAAAAGTATAATGACTTTCTGAGAGTGGTCTGACATTTTTAGGGATAATCAAATACACAGCAACTAAAAGAAGAACAGCAAAGTTCATTTTAATTTCCTACTCTGAATGCTTCTCCACTGACAACTATCTCTGGAAGGTTGTGAGGGTCACTGAGGGGATGAAGAAGATGCCATAGAAATTCATTAGGTACAAGACTCTGTTTACTCTGTCAACTTTCACAACTTCTCTTAAGTCAGACAGCTACTATGTTAACTATCTAACAAATTAAATATGTGACAGCGTGTGGTTTGAGGACCAACATTTCCCTCTATCCATACTAACGTGAATGATTCTCTGAAAGTGTATTAATTCAATTTACTGCACTGAGAGTGCAGCTATCAAATAGGTATTTATCACCTTACTTGTGAAAGCAGATAAGCTAAAAAAGAAAAGACTTATTAGAGACTGGTTTCTAAAGATAATATTGCCATTAAACAGAGTATCTGGTATATTTTCAGAAAATGCTCTAATGTTTGCAAATACATCTGTATGCTTTAATAGAAACCATTATTTTTTCCAGAGCTCCTAGAAGCACTGCAGAAAGAATAAGAAACAAGACAATGGAATCGCTTTTTCTTTACTTTTAAGGTGGCAAAGGGTGTATTTTATCAGGCTAATGCCAGTTTTAACACCAACATTTACTTCACCAACTTAGTAGAAAAGCAATGCAAAATATAAACTAGATTTCTGTTGATGACTAAAGGTCACTTTCAGTTAATCTACTTATATCTTTAAATGTTCCAAAGAGTAGAAGGCTACTCCAAATAGACTTGAAATGCTGGTAATAATGCTGAGTTTATAAGCAAAAGTAAATAACAGTAAGATGTGAATGTGATAAGAAATCAAAAATGTTATGCAAGTCATAAATTCAACAACTACTTACTAGGTGTCAGGTATTGTAGTCAAGAAAAGAAAAAGTAACAGTCCCTAGGTCTAATATTTGATGAAGGTATGGTGGGGGCAGAAGAGGATTATACAAGAGAGAAGTGAGGTGACAGAGAAAGCTTCACAGAGGTGCCTGTTATAATCTAGGGAGAAAAAAATTGGTTGCCAGGGGGCGAAAAAACACAATCCAAATAGACTCAGATGGCTGAAGACAACATTTAAAAACAGAATCTCCACAGATAAGTCTAACTTTCCACTATCACCTGGCCAGAATAATGAGCCTACAAAAAACACATAAAGAAATAATTTGGTATTTGACATGGATACTAATAAATATCTTAAAACAAACAAAAAATCTCTAGAAGACCCAAAACGTTTAAAGTGAGAAACTTCAGTGGCAAACACAAAGCATGACGTAAAGAATGACTGTAACAGCAACCACAATACACACTTCCATAGAACATACAGAACTTCCCACATTCCAGGTGTGAAGCACTTTACATACATCAGCTCATGTAATTCTCTCCAGAATCTTCCGACTTACATGTAATTTTTATTATCTTGTCATTTTATAGACAAAAACATTGTGGCTCACGCCTGTAATTCTAGCACTTTGGGAGGCCCGGATGGGAGGATCACTTGAGGCCAAGAGTTTGAGACTAGCCTAGTTAACACAGTGAGATCCCATCTCTAAGAAAAAAATTGTCTAAAGATGAGGCTCAAAGATGTTAAGTAACTCACAGATTAAACAGCGAGTAGGAAAGCTGGGATCTGGATGGGACACTCTGGTGTGGGCATGAAAACACATGGGTTTGGATCTATAGGATATAGTTGTCCTGGTAACACACAGATAAGCATTCATGAGACACTTTACTTCCACACGCAAATCACAATTTCTACCGGAATGACTTAAAATATCCAAGTGAATGAACAAACTATGTCAATGTCTGCAACAACTTGCTTAAATGAGTTTGAAATGATTTTTCTAAATGAGGAATTGTCTGAATACAGAACTTCAGAAATGTAATATTGAGACCAATCTAAAAAGAGTGTTATTTACAAATTATTCATTTGAGTGCAACCTTAAACTCATAAAACAACAATAATCAGAAAGTGACTCGTAAAAAATACATAAATTATGGAAATATTTTGAAATTACATATTTGCTCATCTATTTGGAGGGACAACAGAATTGTAATAAACAAAATACTCTAGCTGGAAGACATTACTCACAGGAAGACTATGTATTGATTATGACATTCACATAATTTTAGACTGGAATGTAGGATATAGTACAGGTAACAATATAAATTATTACTATTGACAATATTAGTTGGGATTTACTGACTACCTACAATGCTCTAGGCACTATGCTAAAGATTTTACATGTATAATCTCATTCAATGTTGAGAAGTATATTATTCTCCACAAAAACAGGTGAGGGGCAAGTTCTAGGAGATTTGCCTGAGGTCACATAGATAGTAAATGGGAAAACTGAGGCTGGTTCGTCCTGCAAATAGCAGTCTGTTTCCTCACTATCATATACAGCTCAACTTCTAGTCGAACTACATCATAATACACACGTTATTAAATATTTTGAAGTTAATACAATGAATTTAAATAATGTGGGTTTACAAAAGTTTTTTTTTTTTAAGAATCTGCCGAAAATTTTCTAAATTTCCATAATTTCTCAACCTAAATAAGTAATTTCATTGCCACAGAGGTCTAATGATCATTTCTGTCAAGGCGGATAAATGATTAGGGGAGGAGAGGGGCATTAAGGGGCCCGAATGTGAAGAAGCAGTATTGGAGTCTCAACTCACGGAGGAGGCTGTATACCAAAATAACAATAAGGAATTTAAAAAGCAAGGGGCCACATTTTCCCTGATGTTTGCTTATTTATCCCAATTCAATGTCCCATTTCCTTTTTCTGTTCAAATGTAAGTAACTTAAGAGACAGGATCTTGTTCTGTTACCCAGGCTGGAGTGCAGTGAAGTGATCACAGCCCACTGCAGCCTCCAACTTCTGCACTCAAGCGATCTTCCCGCCTCAGCCTCCTGAGTAACTGGGACTATGGGCAAGGGCCATCATGCCCGGCTAATTTATTTTATTTTTTTGAGGCAGCATCTTGCTATGTTTGCCCAGGGTAGTCTCAAACTCCTGATCTCAAGTGATCCTCCCACCCCAGCCTCCCAAGTAGCTGGAATTACAGTATAAATGAAATTTTCACATGAATCTATGGTTACATTAATGAGAAATATCAAGTTTAAGTAATGAGAACAGAAGTCAAAAATGTTCTTAGTTTCACTTCGGTAATTTTTCTTAAGTAAAGCTTCCTTAATACAGGTTGATTAGAAACCATGTCTACTAGGTTGTATGACACTTATTTTGAAATAATTTTAGATTTACAGAAGAGTTACAAAAATAGGAACATTCCACCGAGTGCAGCGGCTCGTGCCTATAATCCTAGCACTTGCTGGAGTCTGAGGTGGGAGGATCACTTGAGCCCAGGAGTTTGAGACCAGCCTGAGCAACACAGGGAGACCCTGTCTCTACAAAAAAATTTAAAAATTAGCCAGACGTGTTGGCACACCCCTGAGTCCCAGCTACTAGGGAGGCTGAGGCAGCAGGATTGCTTGAGCCTGGGAGGTTGAAGCTGCAGTTATCAGCGATCACACCACTGCAATCCAGCCTGGGTGACAGAGCAAGACCCTATCTCAAAAAATAATAATAATAAAGTTCCCACATATCCTTCACCCAGCTTCCATAGTATAATGATCAAAGCACAAGACTGAGATTGGTACAACACTATTAACTAAGCTACAGACCCTAGTTGAGTTTCACCATAATAACTATTGTTTAAAAGTAAGCAATTTTTAAACATCAGCTTGACTTTTTACATTAACAGTATTTGTATTATTCTTTAGGATACTCAGTGATACCACTACAAAAACAATCAGGTTGTAATTTCCCAAGTGATTCTTCACTTAATGCTAAAGGCCTATCAGAGGAAGAATAGCATGAAGTAGTTTGGCTCCCCGACCCCCACCCCAAGATAATAGCTATTAGCACCAGTAGTCATAGGCCAGAAAGCCAACACCAGGCACAATACTATGAAGTGGCTGGGAGTCCAACCCCAGACCAAGTGTCTTCTATTTAAAGTATAGCCTGAAGAGAAGGCTTTGTTTTTCACTTTTAAAAGACCCACCCAAATAAGCACTACTGTCTTATGAATAACACACTGAAAATAACTGTTTTGGCTCCAGTGAACAAATACTTACAACTTGGGACTTCTTTAGCTGCTCTATTCAAAAGCAGTTATATGGCTTCCAACCCTACAAGATGATGATATTTTACTATATGCTTTTTATACATGTAGTAAAATAAGTATGTGCACAGAATCATCTACTCAATTCCAAATTAGTAACATCACATGACAAAATTTAAGATAATGGAAAGGATAATGCTTAGTTTTTTCAAACCTAGGCTTGCTCTTGATATCATCCTCTGGGTAGGTCTCACTGCTGTGAGTTTACCACCAGAAGTTTATAACAGATTAAAGACAGGAGACAATGATTTTCGTGCACATACTTTCCATACTGTAGTTGATCAAGCTATTGTGTAGCTTTTGCACATATATTTTTAAAAACAAAGCAACAGCTGCCTATAATTTTATCATTCAATCAGATGAACCATCTCTCTGTGAAGTACTCACATACTACTATGTCTACAAAAGAGATTTCTGATAGCAAGTTCTGAAACTGAAAACAGTATCAAACATAACTGGGAACCACAATTTGGCTTTCATTCCGCCACACCATAGCTCTTGCAATACGAGCTAGTGGCTAAAAGGCTAAAATGAATTTTTCATATAGCACTACTTTTCATAATTAAAAATGGATATACCTAACTGATAATTAGGAATCCCTTATGGTATACAGGCTGACTTGGGTTATAAAGGCAGCTAGACTGAAACTGTTCTGGGATGTGCAAGCAGCATCAATTTTATATGCGTTGATGTGTACCTTGTTTTGGGCAATAATATATGTTGGCTGGTTGAGATATTTAGATATTTGCATTCTAGATAAGTCGGTAAAGATATTAAGAATTTATAAGAAAATCTTGAACTAATGATTGTGCTGGTAATTACAGGCAAAGACATTGATTATTCTTAAGCAAAAGCAAGATGGACTAAAATGCTGGGTTTGCTTAGTAATATTTAGGTTTTAGAGTTTATACAGTGATATTTTTGGAACTGACTGGGCTAGATTTTAGATATGTGGGGGGATATTTATTCTGACTGGGGGTTCTATGAGCTTTCTATCTGTGGTTCTTATTAGTTGTATTAGTCCATTTTCACATCGCTGATGAAGACATACTCAAGACTGGGCAATGTACAAAAGAAAGAGGTTTAATTGGACTTACAGTTTCATATGGCTGGGGAGGCCTCACAATTATGGCAGAAGGCAAGGAGGAGCAAGTCACATTTTATGTGGATGGCGGCAGGCAGAGAGAGACCTTGTGCAGGCAAACTCTTGTTTTTTAAAGCTATCAGATCTTGTGAGACTCATTCACTGTCATGAGAACAGTGCTGGAAAGATCTGCCCCCATAATTCAATCCCCTCCCACTGGGTTCCTCCCCGACACCAGATTCTCCCAGTCTCATGAAATGGTATAACTGCAGACCCTGAGCACTGAGCCTCTTCTAATTCTTGTTTATATTACTAAAAGTATCAGAGAAATTTGTTGTGGGTAGGGTGGTGGTAGACATTTTAACTACTATTAAAACAAGAATCAACAAGAAAAAATGCTATTTATTCTTGAACTTGAAAACATAGCTTTTATGTAGTACTGCACGTTTAAAATACTTATAAAACATAAAAGAGAGATCTAAGTAATTATTATATACATTGAACTATTGATATAAGTGAAGTGATAATGCATTGGTCCCTGATTTCTATGACAAAGCTATGATTTCATCTTAGAAAAGTATTAGCATAATGTTGCTGTCTTACAAAACCAAACTGATTTTATTTTCATTTTGCTTTAAATACTGCTTAGCTTAAAGATTACATCTCATCTAGCTATTGCTTTGTAACACCCTGTAGCTGTAAGCAAAACCACTCGGACCTGACAGTATTCTTAACAGTTCTCCACACTGCAATATAAACTGATGTCTCACACTAAGAAAATAGAAAAAAAAAAAAATGCATTCTCACAGGAAATTTTATCATATCCTTTCATAATATGCTTACTTTTGACTTAAAGCTTGATAAGAAAAGATCTGTATGGTTAAAAAGGGAAAACTCTTTATAGCTGTGAACATACCTTTAAAAGAATGTACAAATAAAACAGTTAACGTAGATACAGTTATCCAACTTTGCATTCAACTTGAAAAAGAATGCTAACCTTCAAACAATTAGCAAATAGTTACATAAACACCTGCTGTGTAAAAGACAGAACCATAAAGAATAAACAGAAGACATAGTTTCTTCCTCCAGTAAGCACCGTCCTGTGGGGAGTTAAACACAAGCACGTGGAAAATTCGGTTCTGGCTGAACTCATTAACTGTGAACTTATCTGTGCTCTCCAGGGTTGGTCTCTGAGAACTGACTCAAGTGAGCACAGTTTAATCCTTGCCCAAGCTCAGCAGATTCAACGGATACTGGGGAGAGGTGGTCTAAGAAATATGCTGGCCAGGCTTTCCTAAGCTACATGTCATCATTAAGGAATCAATGCAATTTACAGAAATGCCTTCAATGAGCTGACTAAATATGACCTCAACTTTTTATCAACTTTTGAGTATACGACAATACAAAAACGTTATGAAACACATCATGTGCGGTGTGCATAATTACATGTAACGTGATTAAGAATATCAAGTCTGGAGTTAGATCTGAACCTGAGTTCAAATCCTGGCTGTACTCCTTAGTACTCCCATGGCCTTGGGCAAGGCGTTCAAACTCTCCTTCCATTTTCACATCTACAGAACAAAGACCAGGCCAGCACCTACTTCACAGGACTGTCATGAAGATGAACAGGAGATGTGTGGGAAGTGTTACTACAGTGCCTGGCACACTGTAGCTTTGAAAAATGTTGGCTGTTCTTGCTTTTATTATGGTTGTTATCATCACTAAAAAATCACCTGGTAACCTGAGTCACCTGTCTGCTACGCAGCACACAGTAAAAGGTGCTCAGGCAACTAGGTGAAAGACAACCTTATTGAGCCCTGCTTCCCTGGTTTTAAGGTGGGGATAACAACAAGGCCCACCTCTCTGGGTTGTCTGTGGTGTGAAGAAGACAGTAACAAATGCATCGTGCTTAACCCAGAGCCTGGCACACAGTGTCTGCTCATCACACCACTGATGTCGTAAATAATTATTCCAATGATGTAAGTGCATAACTAAATAAACTAATTTATTAAAATACCAGTACGGAAATAAATAGGTGTTATGATTACAGAGGAGGGAGGAGGGGAAAGTCCTACTTTGGAGAGGGGTAGACCGGGAACGTCTCTCTGAGGTGACATGTGATCTAAGGCCTGAGTAATGGGGAAAGAGGAGACATGAGAGAGGTATGGGGAAGGGGGATGGAGAGAGGCCTAGGGAAAGAGCTGGAATGAATGCTCCATGGGGTCAGTTGTGTCAGTCCTCTTCATCACTGTATCCCCAGACCCTGGAAAATGCCTGGCACGTAATAGACACTCGGTAATGACATATACACTATTTATATATTTCAAAACATCATGCTGCACACCTTAAATATACAGATATTATTTGTCAATTTTCAAAAATATGAAAAAAATCAAAATTAAAAAAATTATCACACATAAAAAATGATGTATATAGAATGAAGGAAGAAAGAATATTTCTAGCAGGGAGATCTACAAATGTAAAGGCCTTGGTACATCTCAAAAAAAAAAACAAAAAACAAAAAACAAAAAACGAGGGGAGGCGCTAGGCAGCAGCACAGTCAGCGCAACGTGGCCGGGCACAGCGGGTGAGTGGCACGGGATAAGGCTGAGGCAGACAGAGGCCAGATTACAGAGTGCCTTGCCAGCCAGAGCTTAAGCTCTGGGTTTATTTTTCTTTTAACGAGATGCCACTGACAGGTTTTAGCAAGGAATAGTATGGTCTAATTTCTTTTTCTTATTTTTTTAAGAGACAGGGTCTCACTCTGTCGCCCAGGTTGTGAGCTCAAGTAAGTCTCCCACCTCAGCCTCCCACATAGTTGGGACTACAGGTATGCACCACCAATCCCAGATAATTTTTTTTTTTAATTTTTGTAGAGATGGAGTCTATGTTGCCCAGGCTGGTCTCAAACTCCTGAGCTCAGGTGATCTTCCAGCCTATGCCTCTCAAAGTGCTGGGATTACAGGCATGAGCCACTGTGCCTGACCTAATTCATTTCTTTAAAAGATCACTCTGGCTGCTGTGTGAAGAAGATATTTTGGGAAAGCCTGAGTGAAATGAGGGAGACCACTGGAGAGGCCAGTGTAGCAATTCAAACAAGGGGTGTTAGAGGCTTGAACTAGAACAGTGAACTTGTTGATGGGCTAGATGATGAAGGATAAAAGAATACAACTCTGGAATCATTCTTAAGTTTCTATTTGAGCAAGCATAAGACAACTTTGCTATTTACTGAGAAGTGGACCAACTAGGAAGGAACAGATTGGGAAGAAGACAAATAAAAACTGACAGTTCTGTTCTGACCTAGCCACTCAGAGACATCCTGAGTGAGGATGTCAACTAGGCAGCTGGTGATCTGAGGCTGCCACTCAGAGGAAGGGGCTTGCCATGGAGCTATAAACATGCAAGTTGGTATAAAGATGGTATCCAAAGTCAAAGGATAAGATAGAATAGCAAGCTACAGGTCTTTGTCAGATAATAAAAACCATGAAATCTATCATGCTTCTCTTCTTGTTGGGCTGCCAGAAAGTTCCAAAGTAAATATAAATCTTCAAGGAAAATTATCTTCTCTAAGACTTTGGATATGATAATCTACCGCTTTTGCTTCCCCATCTCTTTATGGTGTCTTGTCCTCTTTCATCTAAAACATACTTTTGTAAGCATATGTATAATAAAGAAAAGAAAAACAAAGGAAATGATGTAGCACAGTAACAGGATTTGGGGAGCAAGTATTCTGCAATAAGAGACACATTACATTTAAGTTATCAACGAGTTGGGTGCCACTCTGACGGACTCTCAGCTCCTCAAGGGCATTAAGCCATTTCTTATTCATCTTTGCATTCTTGTGACATGCAACCATATCCAGCTCAGAGTAGACAGGCACCAGAGCTGCAATGACAGCAGGTATCATTTACTTGTAAATTGAAGGGGTTAAGGCCTTATCTGAACACTATAAGATGTTTTAAACACAATATGGTGGGTGATTAAATACGAGTCAGTGACACAGACAAATCTGTGGTAAGGGCAATTCTTCAAGGCCTTCATTAGAAGACTTCAAGCAGGAGATCAAACACTGAATTGAGATTTGAGTGATGCATCACTTTTGGATCCTTGGAAGCATACTTCAGAAAGGAGTCAGAGAACAGAGAAGGGGAGAACATATTTAGAGGCAGTAAGGAGGCTATTCTGGCTGGAGGGGAAGAATTTTGTGTGTGCGTGTGGGTGTGCGCGCACGCGCGCGCTCACACACACACACACACACACAGAGTATAGGGCAGAAGCTGAAAAAACCAGTCAAGGACAGGGTGTTGAGAAACTTGAATGCCAAGAACTTAATGTTTTAGAGTTTTAGAAAGTTATATGTTCCTGAGAACCTAAGTGTTACTGAAAGAAAAGTTTAAGGAAGATCAGACACATCCAAAATGTAGAATGGATAAGAAGAGAGCCTATTAGGATGTGGGAAAACATAAGGTACTAAGAATCAGGTGAAATGTGGCCACAAATTCCCAACAGTGAAGTCAACAAAATTTGTTGAGTAATGTGATATAGAGAAAGAGCAAGAAGGGAATCAAATTTTAATCTGAGACTTGAGACCAGGTGGCCAGGAGAATACTGATTAACAGAAATGGGAGACAGCAGGAAGACATGATTTTACAAGAAAGATGATGACTTTTAGACAGAGTTGAATTTAAGGTAACAGTGGCCACCACCACCTCCAGCCCCTTACTCCCTGCAGTGCCATGTGATGCAATCTGCTAGTCTTGGCTAAGAAAAATTTTCCTGAATGGTATTCCCACATAAACACAAATAAACACAGTGGAGAAATCCTTTCATATAATACAATCTCCTTCTATAGCTGCAAACTCAAGTTTAAATAGATAAAATTGTAAACACAAAAATAAAAAAGTTCCAAAAACTGTCTACTTCTACAAAAGCACTGTGATTGTACGTTCAGATGTTTAAAAAACAGTATTATATGAAAAGATGCTCAACATTATTTAGTCATGAGGGAACTAGAAATTAAAACCCCAATGAGACACCAATTCACAAGTACTAGAATGGCTGGAAAAAAAATTTAACCTAATAGTAACAAGAAATGACATGGATGTAGAGCAACTAGAACTCTCATACACTGTTGGTGGGAATGCAAACTGGTACAGCCACTTTGGAAAACACCTTGACAGTTTGTTTCTTATAAAATTAAACATACACCTTCTGTATGACCCAGGGATGCTACTCCTGGCCTCTGACCCTAGAGAAGTAAAAACCTACATCCATACCAATACTATATGCAAATACTTACGACAGCTTTATTTATAATCATCAAAAACTGGAAAACAACTCAATGTATATAAACTAGTGAATAAATTGTAGCATATCCATACACATATGGAATACTACAAAGTAATAAAACAAACTACTGGTACAAGCAACAACAGGAAAGCATCTCAAAAATATTACATTAAGTAAAAAAAAAAGCAAAGCACAAGATGGTATAATAGTACCCTGTATCTATTTCTATGATGTTCTGGAAAAGAGAAGACTACAGAACAGTGGCTCACAGGGGCTGTGGGTACAGAAAGGGCACTGACGGCATGAGGGAACTTTCTGGGTTGATGGAAATTTGGTGGTGGTTATAAACATTTATTGAAACTCACAAAAATGTACAGGTATAAAGGGTGAGTTTTATCATATGTAAAGCGTTCCTCAAGAAACGACTTGACAGAAAAAAAAATGGCAGCATCTTAACATTTGCTCAAAGAGAATTTTTAAATCTTAGCATTGTCATCTATGATTACTCTGAAAAATTCTGGACATTTCTTAACTAGCTAGAATTCTACAAATGTCCTTAATATTGAAAAGAAATAAACACTATGCTTTTTCCTTCTTTAGGCCTCAAAACATTCCTTTGCAGAATTAGGGCATAAGGATGTTAGAGTGTGCAGAAACTGTGTGAATGCTGGTTATTGAGACACTAATAAAGTAAGTCTTGTTTGCTGGACAGCTGTTGGCTTCATTGTTCTTTTGTCACACACTAAAAAGGAGAGCTGTTATACTAATGGAACGTGACCTTCTCATTGGATAGCTGTTACATCATGCCCTGAAACACTGCCAGAGAACTCTATTTTCACCACGCACCACATAGGAAACAGTAAAACAAACAAACAAGACAACAAAAGAGCCAAAAAACTATATTAAATGAGCAATACTACGCCTTAAAATCAGATCACTTATAAGAAATACTTCTTGATACTTAACATCTCATAATTTACTTTGTTAATGAGTAATGTTTTTTCTCAATTTAGTATCCTTTAGTATATACCTCAACAATTTATTTCCAAGTACAAATAATTTTTATGATACTCTTCAAAATGCATTTTGTATGAGCACTCCATGACTAGTCAATCTATAAAATTATGAGAGTAACTCCTTTATTTTTGTATTAGCTAATGCCTACCTAGATTATTTTATAGCCTGGTCATTTATGAACCATTTTCACTAGAACAAGGGCTTTCAAAGTTTTTGGACCATTATCCACAGCGAGAAATACATTTTACATTGCAACCTAGATACATATGTGTGTGCACGCATGCATAACATTCATTGAGGTCTTACAAAATAAGACTTACTCTTACCACGTAAGATGCCCTCTACTATATTCTTCTTGATTATGGTCTTTAAAATGCTGACAAAGACCCACACAATTTATATCATGGCCCACAGTTTTCAGTATCACTGCACCAGAAAGTGAAAAACCAATGTAACATCTCTGCATGTTTTGAATGTAGGCTTTTTAAAATGTCTTTTGCTGTTGTTGTTGTTGTTGTTGAAGTTCCAGGGTATGTGTGCAGGATGTGCAAGTTTGTTACACAGGTAAATGTGACCCATGGTGGTTTGTTGCATGTATCAACCCATCAGCTAAGTATTAAGCCCAGCATGTGTTAGCTATTTTTCCTGATGCTCTCCTTCCCCCTGCACCCCACAACAGGCCCCAGTCATTGTGTGTTGTTCTTCTGTGTCCATGTATTCTCCTTGCTCAGCTCCCACTTATAAGTGAGAACATGCAGTGTTTGCTTTTCTGTTCCTGCATTAGTTTGCTGAGGATAATGGCTTCCAGCTCCATCCATGTCCCTACAAAGAACATAATCTCATTTCCTTTTTATGGCTGCATAGTATTCCGTGGTGTGTATGTACCACATTTTCTTTATGCAGTCTATCATTGATGGGCATTTGGGTTGATTCCATGTCTTTGCTATTATAAATAGTGCTGCAATGAATATATGTATGTATGTATCTTTATAACAGAATGATTTATATTCCTTTGGGTATATACCCAGTAATGGGATTGCTGGGTCAAATGGTATTTCTGGTTCTACGTCTTTGAGAAATCGCCACACTGTCTTCCACAATGGTTGAACTAATTTACATTCCCACCAACAGTGTAAAAGCGTTCCTTTTTCTCCAAAGCCTCACCAGCATCTGTTGTTTCTTGACTTTTTAATAATCGCCATTGTGACTGGTGTGAGACGGTATCTCATTGTGGTTTTGATTTGCATTTCTCTAATAATCAGTGATGTTGAGCTTTTTCTCATATGTTTGTTGCCTGCATGAAAGTCTTCTCTTGAGAAGTGTCTGTTCATGTCCTTCGCTCACTTTTTAATGGGATTCTTTGTTTTTTTCTTGTAAATTCATTTCAGTTCCTTGTGGACTCTGGATATTAGACCTTTGTCAGATGAATAGGTTGCAAAAATTTCCTCCCGTTCTGTAGGTAGTCTGAACGCTCTGATGATAGTTTCTTTTGCTGTGCAGAAGCTCTTTAGTTTAATTAGATCCCATTTGTCAATTTTGGCTTTTGTTGCAATTGCTTTTGATGTTTTCGTCATGAAATATTTGCCCATGTCCATGTCCTTAATGGTTAAAACATGTTGTTTTTTTTTTAAATAGCTCACTGACCTTCCCCAAGGTTGTCTGACAACTCACCACACTCTGCTCCTTCCCTCTGGAGGCTCCTAGTCCTGGCTGGAGTGAGCAACCAAGACGGAAGGGACAGTCAGAGCCCTAAGACCCTGCTGCTCCCCATCCAAGTGGTCCTTACACAGGGTGCTAGGGGAGCTGGTCCTTCTCAGTCTTCAAGTATTCAAGGCTTTGCATTTTTCCTCTTCCATTTACCCTCACTGTTAGTCTTTAACTTCTAAACACACACACACACACACACACACACACACACACACACACACACACGCACACAGCAAAATGAAATTTAACGGTGGAGAAAGAATGGCAATATGGAAAAAAGTAAACCTAAGTTTTTTCTTATTATCTGTGGATTTCAGTGCCACCTGCTATGCCTATTTCCTAGGAGCACAGCCACCTGAACAAGTTTAAAAGGCTGAAATGGCATGTAAATCACACATAAAATATATTTTCAACTGCTAATAGGTTTGAGTTGCTGAACTTCTAGTCAACATTATGTTCTACTCTTCCACACTCAAACTATTAGGTATGTTATAATTAGAGACAAATTTTATGTGAAGACTGAGAAACTTACTTTTAAGGACTCCCATAAGGGAAACTGGACCAAAGAAAAAGGAATCTGAAGAGAGAAAAAAAAAATTAAATAAATTAGGCAAAAAAGAGCCAAGTTTGCCTGTATGACTATACGAGCCTGTAAATATTATTTCAACTTTATAACAAAGCTAATATCAAACAAATTCACAGTTATAGTAGACATAATGTTTAGAAAAAGAGTTAAACTGTGGCCTGTAGATTTTCATTTTTTGTTGGGAGGAAGTCTCGCTCTGTCACTCAGGCTGACAGATCACCACCCTCGACCTCCCAGGCTCACGAGATTTTCCCACCTCAGCCATCAGAGTAGCTGGGACTACAGGCACACGCCACCACACCCAGCTAATTTTTGTATATTTTCTTTAGAGATGGGGTTTCACCATGTTGCCCAGGTTGGTCTCAAACTTGAGGGCTCAAGCAATCCACCTGACTTGGCCTCCAAAAGTGCTGGGATTACAGGCGTGAGCCACTGAGCCTGGTGATCTTCTGAGTTTTTGAGCCCAAGGGACATAAAATGATGTTGTGAATCCCCTTTGAAATGGAAACAGAAGCACAATAGTCTGGCTACTGAAATGACAAAATAAATATTTCCCAGCATAATAAAAACACTTTAGGACGTGACATTTCTGTGCTTAAGAGCCAAGGCTGTCTACTCCTTAGCAGGCAGTGTTAGGATTTAAAGGAGAAACACAGAGGAGAGAGAAGGAAGGTAAGGGGTGGTGGGAGAGAAGTGTTAGGGGAATGGGGAGACAACAGAGCAGAGAGAGGGAGCAGGAAGAGAAGGGGAGAGAGAAAGGAGTGGAAGAAAAGGAAAGAAAGTGGAGAGAGGAAAAGAGATGGGTAAAAAAGGAAGCAGGAAGGAGGGGAAAGAAAGCAGGGAGGTAGAGGGTAGGGGGGCAGAGAGGAGGAGGACAGAAGACAGAAGACGGGGCAGAGAAGGAAAGGAGAGGGAGAAAAGAGGAGGGAGGAGACTGGAGAGAGGGCAAGGGCAGGTGGAGGGAAAAAAGAGGCAAGGAAGAAAGAGGAAGCAGACAGAGCTACTTGCAAGAGTCAAACTTGAGAAACAGGTCTCCAGGAACAGAGCAGCCAGTGGGAAGCTCGCACCCTTCAAGGAAGAATCACCAAATCAGTCAATGCTAGGGGAGTGGAGAGGGTCTAACAAAACACAGGGGGACGTGGGTCTGAGCACTGATCACGTCCCAGGCACAGCTAGGGAGGAGAGTCATGCGTAGTAATGAAGTATGAGTGGTCAAGAGAATCACCACACTTAGAGTTAGGTATTTACGATGAGCTGTCTAACAGTAAGGGCTAGAACTATCAACACTTCTCATGTGCCAGGTACTCTGCAAATATGCACTTTGTAAGCTTTATTTCACTGAATCCTCACAACACATGCTGAGACAGTTAGGGAGTATTACTTCCTTCATTTTATAGTTGATGAGACTGAGGTTCAAAGACGCTGTGTAACGCCTAAAGGCAGTTAGGAGGTAAGAAGCCCAGACAATCTGACTCTAGAGTCTTGTCTAACTACTACTATCCCCAGGAGACATCTAAATTATCTGCATATAAATTCACCCACAGTACAATCTGTTATTAATTTTCTGAAATTCAAACTTAAGACACCCATGTCATATTTCCTAAGATAAAAATGTCTTAACACCAGTGGACCCCACCCAGCAGCTGAAGTAATGTCCAGTCACAGCCCAGGGGACCAGTGCTGGTGGTGGCGATGCCCACGAACACGCACACGCCACGGGCCCAGTACTGGCACTGCACAGGCAGCCCAGCTGCAAGGGAAAAGTAAATGTGGACTTTGAACATTATCATTATCACTACATGTGGGTGGGTGTAAATGTCCCAGTTTCAGAGGAATTAATGGGTATTTACCTTCACGTGAATTGAGGGCATTGTTATGTCTTTTTTTTTTTTGAGACAGAGTCTTGCTTTGTCGGTCAGGCGGGAGTGCAGTGGCACGATCTCAGCTCACTGCAACCTCCATCTCCTGGGCTCAAGCAATTCTCCTGTCTCAGCCTCCCGAGTAGTTGGGATTACAGGTATGTGCCACCACGCCTGGCTAATTTTTGTATTTTTAGTAGAGACGGGGTTTCACCATGTTAGCCAGGCTGGTCTCGAACTCCTGACCTCAGGTGATCCGCCCACCTTGGCCTGGTATTGTTATTTCCTAAATATTTATATTTAATCAGAAATTTAAAGATTAGCATCATCTGTCTTACTCAGCTACAGCAAATGATGGCCCCAAGTTTGACAGACAGTGACCACAGAAAGAAAATCTGTCTACCATTCAGGAAGGAAATGTCAATGAGAAGAAAAGATCAATGTCAATAGCCTGGACTAATTTGACAAGCTAGAATCTCAGAGAAGTTTGTTATCATCATAAACAGGCAGCCAGCCCCCCCGAATGTCGAAGTTCCATAACAGTAGTTAAATAGAGTTTTTTATTGTCACAAAAACATAAAAGCATCTGACATTATCCATTCTGAAACTCAAGCATTATATTTCCAATTAATTATCAAAACAATAACTTGACTGTGTAATAGGTTTCTAAAAGCTTTTCTAAATGTTTTAAACTTTATAATATGTAATAAAATATGCCCCAAAAGACTGACAGTATGATTATGGATTAGTAAGAAGGTAAATATTTCATAAGATGAAAAAAGATTTAAAATTTACTCTAACAATCCCATTGGCATCATTCATTTCTCAATTAAAATCACCTACAAATTGCACTGAATGTTATCTGCTCTTACTTGGTACTTAATACTTTAGATTTTGAATTCTATCATTAAACATTTTGCCCATTTCCTCTAATGAAAGTTATTCATTGAGCTGCTCCTTCAGTTTAAAGAAATAATTTTAAAATCACACATTTGGAATGGCCATACTATTCCACTGGGTATTTAGTTTAAAAAGGGAGCGACAGTAAACCCCAGCTTTACTCTCTAAAACAAGACTGACAGTCTAAAGTAATTAAATATGCTATAAATGCCTAAATAATTAAATTTGCTTCTGACTTCTAGTAGTGAAATAGCCCTCATAAATTCCTGTGTGAAAATTTTTCAAATATTCTTCAAGTCAAAATTGTATCACACACATGTTGTCATTTACAATATGAACAAACAATAATGAAAATGTGTTCCACACATGTGAAAGATGGGCTGCCAGCAAATACAGCTCCATAGCTAAAACAAACACTTTTCCCAACGTCTACAGAACGTGGGCCCGTCAGAAAGCTAGCTCCCTCCCCGCGTCTGGCTTGAAGTTACATAACAGTGATTGTTTCTTCAAAACGTGGAATTTTATACCCCCAAACAGATGTAGGCTGTTATTCTAAAATGTTTTATAGATGAAGAAAATGAATAGCTGCACTCAGAGCTCTTATATTCCAAAACACAACATACCCATTTTATTGCACCTAAAGTTACAAAATGGCTCACTGTTGTGACCTGTTTAATGCCTCCATTTAAGATGTTTTGTTTGAATAAGGTTGTTAAGACCCAGGGCACTAATAAGTGAGCGGCAGTAAACCCAGCTACCATCAAAGACACAGATGGAGGGGGAAAAAGCCTGCCAAAATTCAACATGGATTCCACTTAGTAATAAACAGAGCAATAATTCTATACAAGAGTGCATGTGAGGATTCGAGGTGAAATAGGGATAAAATGAAATCTGGGTGTGGTAAACAGGAAGGGCATGTTAGGCATCACTAATGAAATAAAGAACAAAATTACATTATGAGCACACTTCACCTATCACAAAGTGTAGGACTAGAATTATCTTTGAAGCCAATCAATGCTTCTATCCCTGTAATCTTAAAATAAATGTAACCTAATGGTCCTTCAATAAACAGCAAAGTGATTTAGAATACAACTGAAGAGATATGAAGATATTATTTCTAAGGTATCATTTAGCCCTAACATTCTATTTTCAATTAAAAAATTACATTACAATACCAATATATTTTTTAAAAATAAGTAAGACTTGACTGTAAGCTGCAATGAACATAATGCCACCACGGGTGATCTAGGAAGCCTAAGGACCAAGAAAGGCCATCTAAAAAGCTGTAAAAGCTTTCGTCATTGGCAGAAATAACCCAGAACTCTCTAGCAATACGTTTAAAAAACACAGAAACCGTGTGCAAGACCTCTAGTTGAAGAACAGCATGGAATTGGTAGGCCTGCCATGTATAGCAGAGTGGATCCAAGGACTGGCCCATTGCAATTTTCAAGAGATCTACAGGTGATTCACAGAAGGGTCTCCTTTTTCTTGCATGATGATTTCCAAATTCTAGTGGTTTAGAGTTTTCCATTCTACTGTCCCACCGACAACAAAACCATTCTTTTAAATACTCTGAACCTTTTCCAATTCAACCCCAGGGGTAACCAAGGACAAATGAAGTTGAAGACCTAAAAATTCCTTGTCCCATAGTGATAATTATTCTTAAAAAAACAACAACAAAAGTAAGAACCATTCAAAGCTAGTCTGCTAGTATTAAACATAGCAGGAAAGAATTCCAATAGTAAATACATTCTGATTTTTTTAATTTAACAACTACAGTTCATTTATTTACACCGTACATAAAGAAAAGAGCATATACCCAATAAAAGAAATTAACCTAAAAGGAGGAAAATTGAAAGTGAATTACTCCTTAGGTTAATAAAAACATATTAACATTCCTAAAGCATCTTTCCAAAGAAAACATAAAATAAACACATGAGTAAAAGAATCTAACAGAGAAAAGCAGATGAGTGTGAACAGTTTGACTGTTAAGTAAATCTTTCAGATTTCAAGGCCAGGGGCATTAGGAGTATCTCCAAACACAACTCAGTACATTAGTCATAAATGCTATCACTGAAGGTAATGATTAGATTTTCTTTTTCCACATTCTACAGAATCATCACAGTAATTTTGTGTAGATGGAAGTGGCTCCTAATGTATCACTTTACATGTTAGAGTGCCAATTAAATAACACTATTTTGTAATGAAGATAATGGCAATGTCAAATTAGTCTGTAATTCACTATACTTCTAAAGCCCTGGAAACAAGTTTCACTGTTTTTAAGAAGTATTTAAATATTTGACACTGACTTATGATAAAAATGCTCATCAAAATAAGAATGGGAAGGAACTTCCTCAATCTGATAAAATATACCTCCAACAATGTATGGCTAATATCATTCTTAATGGTGACAGACTGAATGCTTTCCCCTTAAGATCATGAATAAGGTAAGGATGTTTATTTTCACCACTTCTATTCAACATTGTGTTGAAGGTCCTAGTCAATGCAATCAGGCAAGAAAAACAAATAAAAATATAAAAGAAATAAAAAGCAAAGACTGAAAAGAAGTAAAACTGTCCCCATTTACAAATGACATGATTGTTTTTGCTGAGAATCTTAAGGAATCAACACACACACACACATTCTCTCTCTCTCCAACAGAATTTCTAAATAGTAGCAGCAAATAAATGAAAAACGACTTTTTTTTTACAAAAAATTATATTTACAATATTATCAAAACCTGAGTCAAAAAGTTACATAAAAATGACAAGGACGTGGAATAACCAAAACAATCTTGAAAGATGTAATAAAGGTGGAGTATTGACAATATTTGATTTCAAGATTTACTCTAAAACTACTATAATCAAAACAGTGATCAGAGTAACAAGGCGTAAGGATAAACAATGAAACAGAGGAGAGTGTTCATAAACAATATTTTCAATAAATGGCACTGAAACAACTGAATATCCACAGCATAAAAATAAGCCTTGACCCCAACCTCAAAACCCTACACAAAAATTAATGAGAGCTGGATCACAGACCTAAAGATAAAAGCTCAATCCATAAAGCTTTTAAAAGAAAACGTGTGAGAACGGGTGGTCCGTGGATAGGAGGAAATTTCTGGGACCACAAGACGCAATAACCACAAAAGAAAAAAAACTTTAGAAAAATTAATTTACATCAAATTTTAAAACTTCTGCTCATCGAAAGGTACTGTTAAGAAAAATCCCAGTGGAATATTCTGCACAAATAGAAAAATCCAAAATCCACCACCAAAATTCATATGGACCTCAAGGTACCCCAATGAAAGCTGGAGGTCTCATACTTTCTGATTTCAAAAGTAGCTACAATGAACAAAACTGTGTTGTAGTGGCATCAAGACAGACATATAGACCAGTGAAATAAAACAGCCCAGAAATAAGACTTCACATATATGGTTAAACAATCTTCGAAAAGGGTGCCAGACCATTCAACAGCGAAAGGACAATCTTTTCAACAAACGATATTGGGAAAAATGGATGTCCAGATGGAAAAGAATGAGCCTGGACCCTTACCTCATAACCCTATATAAAAATTAAAGTGGATGAAAGAACTAAACATAAGACCTAAAACCACAAAACCCCTAGAAGAAAACACAGGGAAAATCTTCATAACATTAGATTTGGCAATGATTTCTTGGATATGACACAAAAAGCAAGGCAACAAAAGCAAAAAGAAATAAATGGGACTACATCAAAATTAAAAACATATGTGCATCAATGAATGCAATTAACAGCATAAAAAGACAACCTATGGAATAAGAGAAAATATTTGCAAATCATGTATCTGATAAGGGGTTAATATCCAGAATATATAAAGCATTCAACAAAACAACCAGATTTTAAAAAAGCAAAGAATTTAAATAGACATCATTCTAGAGAAGATGCACAAATAGACAACAAGCATATAAAAAGATGTTTATCATCACTATCATTAGGGAAATGCAAATAAAAACCATGATGAGATACAAACTCCCACCCTTTAGGAGGGCTACTAGCAACAAAAACAGAAAATAACAAGTGCTGGCAAGGATATGAAAAAAATGAAACCCTTGTTCACTGTTGGTGAACAAGGGATATGCAAGGCTGCAGTCACTTGAAAACAGTATGGCTCTTCTTCAAAAAAATTAAGTGGTAGAATTACCATAAAATCCAGCAATTCCATTTCTAGGTATAAACCTAATAAAAAGGCAAGCCACAGAGTGGAATATTTGCAAAATGTGTATTTAACAAAGGACTTGCGTTTAAAATATAAAAAGAACTTTCAAACCTCAACAATAAAAAGAAAGCTTGATTTTTAAAATGTGCACAAGACTTGAAGAAGCACTTCACAAAGGAAGATCAGTAACATAAGCACCTGATTCAACATCATTAGTCATCAGGGAAATGCTGAATAAAATCCACTGATAAAACAATTTGATGGTTCCTTAAAAAGTTAAACACAGAATGACCTTA
Source organism: Homo sapiens (assembly GCF_000001405.40). Taxonomy (NCBI): domain Eukaryota; kingdom Metazoa; phylum Chordata; class Mammalia; order Primates; family Hominidae; genus Homo; species Homo sapiens. The sequence goes on along the minus strand of NW_012132916.1, from coordinate 315,998 downwards.
TGATCCAGCAATTTTGCTCCCGGGTATACAGCCAAAATAACTGAAAACAGACTCAAACAGACACTTGCATCCCAGCCTGCAGCATAAGTCACAACAGCTGAACATTCTAAGTACATTAACACATAAATGAATAAATAAAATATGGTATATACATACAACGGGATGGAGTATTATTCAGCCATAAAAAGGAATAAAGTTCCGATACATGCCACACTATGGATAAACTCTGAAAACACCATGCCAGGTAAAATAAGCCAGACATAAAAGAACAACTAATGTATGATTATAATCATATGAAATATCTAGAACAGGCAAATTCATAGAGATAGAAGCTACATTAGAAGTTGTAGTTTGTGTGGGAACTGCGTTAGAAGCTGTAGTTTGGCTAGGGGAAGGGGAAAGCAGGAAGCTCTGTACTTAATGATACAACCTTTCTGTCTGAAGTGATAAAAAGGTTTTAGGAATAGATAGTAATGACTGTTACACAACACTGTGAATGTAATTAATGATACTGAATCTTACACTTTAAATGTTTAAAATGGCAAATATTATGATTATGGTAGTGGCAATTTTACCACGATATAAAAATTTTTTTTTAGAAGCCGCAATGAGGTGCTGTTATCCACTAAAATGGCAGAAATCAAAAGACTGAGAAAACCAAACAACTGAAAGGATATGGAGCAACCACAACTTTCATACTTTGCTAGTGGGAACGTACAACTTTGAAAGGTGGTTTTTTGAAAGAGAAATTTTACTCCTAGGTATTTATCCAAGAGCAATGACAATATATGTCCACAAAAAGATTTATACATTAATGTCACAACAGCTTTAATCACAACAGCTAACGTCCATCAATAAGAGAAGGGCTAAACAAATTGTGGTGTATTCATATAAAGGAATATTAGTAATACAATGAAAAAAATTATTGATACATTGCTGTAACATGGACAACCCTTACACAGGTTATACTGAGCAAAAGAAGAAACAAAAAGAGTGCAGACTATATGATTCTATTCATATAAAATTCCAGAAAAGGCAAAAATAACCTGGGCAGGCAGAATGGGACTGAAGATGAGAGAACTTTCTGGGAATAGGGAAATATTCAATATCATAAGGATATGGGGATTACACGACTATACATTTGTCAAAAGTGTACATATATAATTTGTGCATTTCAATATATATGAATTTTACCTAAAAATGTACTGTAAAAAATATAATAGTAGTCAAGGTGAAGAATGAGCATAGACATAAATGAAATAAAAATGGCAGAATATTGATAGCTTTTGCAGGTTGGTGATGGGTACTGCATGGTTCATTATATTATAAACTCTGTTTACTTTCTGTACATCTGAAATTTTCCATAATAAAAAATAAGTGTATGTGTAAAGCATGACTACATTTGCATTATTAAAATTAATATACAGAAGTTCAACCAAAGTTAACTGTCATTAACAATTTGGAATAAATCTTCTGATTTATCTCAACACATTTAGTTTTAGGTTTTAATTTCTGGGGGTTTGTTTTAAACATTAGCATGTGTTCCAAAATTTGATTTTTTCCCCCTAAACAATATCTTAGATATTTCCATGTTGATTAATATATTAATAGATCTATCATTCTTTCTAATGCAGAGAATTTCATAATATTTAACTGTCCCTCATTGATGGCTTATTTCTATTTTTCTTCCTCATAAAACACAACTTTTGTTTAATCAATCATTTCTAATGTGTAGGACATTCTAGCTGTATCATACAGTCTGTAAATATTCCTCAACATACCTCACACTAACATGGTAGGCTAAGACCAAGCGTTAACATTTTCACAGTACAGTCATCCTTAGAAAATGCCCAGTGTGAACATCTGGGTATATCAGAACACAAAGAAATCTGCTGCTGTTGGGTATCAAGTTTAACAAATCAATCAAAATGAAAAATCACAAAATTACACTGGCTTTCACAGTTGAAGTGAGTGACTGTAATGCAAAATTCAATTTAAACTGATCCCCTAGCTAATGTTCAATATTTGCTTTTAGATTTCATCCTATTTCCAGGAGTCTGTAAGCATTACTGATACAGTGCAATTATGGTATCAAGATTTTCCAACACATGTCTGATTTAGCAAAATATAAAATACGATGTCACAGTAGATACAAGTTGTACCTCACCTAAAAATAAAGTTTTAAAAAGGAACAATTTTTGCTAGTTGAGGTTCTTAATAAAAGCAGGAACACTTGAAAAGTTCTTAAAAATCTATTACTAATTCTACACACACACACATATACATATGTTCCACTTATTTTCATTGGCTTCCTGGAATGAACTCTGTATCACACCACAATTTTTAAAGTTGTCACTCGGCAATCAGGATGATTCTTGTTCATGAAACCTGAAAACTTCTTGTATGTAAGAAGCAATCCAGGAAGTTCATTTTTGGTTATTCACAGTCATTTCCAGTATGTTAAGCAGTACTGACTTCAGTCCTTTAAGAAAATAGCCAGGCAGTAGTTGAGGAAGGTAAACTTAAGACTCAGAAATTCCAAAACCAGAATTCCTATCAAAACGTTAGAACTCGCACAGGGTCAGGAAACAGATGTTTTTAGTTAGAATTTGCATGCAACTTTAATCTTTTATCAAATATAATCCGGTTGCCTTAAGATTTTTTTCTTGCAGCTGAGAATGACATCACTGTGTACAGTTCCATTGTCTTTCCCACCCCCAACTTTCCTTCCCTTTCAGCAGCACATTTTAGCATCTCTTTACTGAGATAACAAAGAGGGGAGAGGAAAAATGAATGACCAATGCGTCAAGAAACACAACAATAAAAGGTAGATTTTATTTTACTTATTATTCTATCAAATGTCCTTGTTAACAAAGGCATATGCTTATTTATCCAGGCTTTCCCTATTTCTGAGCAATTTTTCTGGTACCAAAGATGTTTTAATTGATGGTTTCCCAAATTCTAAAAAATAACATTTTAAAACCTAGCCAGGAACAAGAAAGGTTCTCATCTAATATTCAAATCATTTGTATAGATACATCCTCTGTGCATTTACGCAAAATTACAATTAGAAAAGAATCATGAAAAACATTAATAAAAAGCAGCTTGTTGGGTGGTTAAGGCCCTGTGAACAGCTCCATAGCTTCCTCCTTTCTCACCTGCCTACTCATCTACTCTCCTTCCTTCCTCCCTCCTTCCCTCCCCACCACCACCAACTTTCCCATAACAATCCAGTATTAAAAGCACCTTTGAAAGCAGCCCTGTTAACAAAAGATGGCAACCAGGAGGCTTAGTAGTAATGCAGCATGGACCAATTTATACTGCTGTATGGTCGGAAGACAGAAGGGGCTGAGGAATAGAAGAGAAGACAGTAAGCTTGATAAGGCAGGCAGGGGAGGTGTCTGGCTTACTTCTCATCACATCCAGCATCTCACCTAACAGGACACTCGATACGTATTTCTTACATCAGTGAATGGAGGAAAGGCAAAGAAAGGGATGAAGAAAAGGGAGGGGATAAGGCTAAAAGAGTTAGGGGAGAACCCGGGTCTTGTGGCTCATGGTCCAAGGAATAATATTACTGTTTCTACTCATCTACTGCTGATTTACAATATTTGTTAGAACAGTGTGTTGAGAGCAGAATACTAAGACCAAAGAAAAGTGAATATCAATTATATACAAAAAGGATAAAACACAAAAATAAATCCCATTCTTTACATTTATTCGTCAGTTAATCCAACAGGCCAGATAAATATGCACAGATACACATCCCAGGAATTCCCAACTCTGTAAAGTCACTCCATAAATGCTTTCCCAATTAATTCTTATTTATGATAATAGAAAACAGCACCACCATCCAGATGTTGAGATCTACAAATAATCTGCTTTATACATTTAAAGAAAAGCCATGCTTCACAACCATAATTTGGAGCAGAATTTAGGGCATTTAATAAATGGGCAATTAACAGCCACAAGACACTGCCCCCAATTTACTGTTTTTTTCCCCAGTTGTTACACAGGTTGGAACCTATTATATAACTTGTAAACACTCTACCACAAGTAATCAGTGTTTGACCCCAATTACAACAGTTCATTTATATCAGCCAATTAAGAGATAAATCAGGAGAGATAGAAAATAGAATGTAGGATCTGATACAGATTTTTAAAGTTGGTAGGAAAAATAAGTATCAGCTAATAAAAGGAGAAACAAGAAATTAAACCAGATTTTATCAGTTAGCTTTGCTGCAGTAACAACACAACCCTCAAATCTCGGTGGCATACATCACACGTGTATTTCCCAGTCACATTACATGTTAGCTCTGGGTTAGCTATGGCTGCCCTCAAAGCTGTGGCTTTTGCCCTGAGGGTCTTCTTACCCAGAATCCAATCCAGAAGAACAGATCATATTTGGGACATGCTATTCTCAAGTCAAAAGGCAGAAGCAAGAGGGATGACAGAAACCTGCTACACCTCCTAAAGCTTCCACTCAGGGCCCGGCGCAGTAATTCACACCTATAATCCTAGCACTTTGGGAGGCTGAGGCCGGTGGATCAGTTAAGGCCAAAAGTTCGAGACCAGCCTGGCCAACATAGCAAAATCTTGTCTCTACTAAGAATACAAAAAATTAGCCAGGCATGGTGGCACACATCTGTAATCCCAGCTACTCGGGAGGCTGAGGCACAAGAGTCACTGGAACCCAGGAGATGGAGGCTGCACTGAGCCGAGATCATGCCACTGCACTCCAGCCTGGGCGACAGAGCAAGACTCTGTCTCAAAACAAAACAAAACAAAGAAACAAACAAAGCTTCTGTTCAGAACTGATATACATCCACTCATACTCCATTGGCTAAGTCTCAAAATTAAGTCTGACTATGGGACAGGGAGACACAACAAATCAAATCACACTGCAACAGACAGGGAAGTATCATCAATCTTCTCAGAGAGAAAGAAGCAAAAGGTTGAGAATAATATATCACTCCTATAGGTCTTCTAGTTTCCATGCCAAATGCTGTTTTACCTACTATTGTTAAGTCTAGACAAAAGATCCACAACTGTTAAGGGAATGAAAACATAAAAAATCTAGGCCCAAAAAGATTCCAGAAAGAGTCACACACAAACTCACCTCCCTTTACCTCCATTACCATTTTCAATCTGTCTGCTGCAACAGAACACAGCCCCGGGACCTGCAGACAGCTAAATGGAAGCGAAGACTTGCACTCTCTGTAATACAGAGGAGGGAACTGGAGTGTGTGTTTTTTGTTTGTTTTTTGTTTTTCTAGGTTCTGGACAAGTATCTGGAGACAAGCCTCTTTGAACCCTAGAACAAGGACCATAAACTAACGGTTCTAAGAAAAGCCTGGCCCACAGAGATCTGATGACCCTTGGGTGGGGAACAGGGAAGGCAGAACATCTACATCTCCTTGAATCATTAGAGGCCAAAATCAGACCTGGGTCCTAATAAGCTGACCAAGAAAACACAACAACACATAAAGAGGCTGAGCATCCAGAAAGACAGGGGTCAAGATGAAGGGAATAAACCCCAAATCAAACAGAGGTGCTTGGAGAGAGAAAGGCCAGTATGAGTCGGAAAAATTAAGGGACACTGGGGAGATTTAACTACAGCAGAGAGAAGCTTTCCCACATCTAAAAACATGATTTTCCAAATAAACCATATAGTAGATTAAATGAAGGAAAGAATGGCTCATGACGAAGATCCAAATTTGTGGTCTGGAAGGTCAAATGGAAAAAACAGCTCAAAGCAACAAAATAGAAATGACGACAGAAAAGATAAGAGACTTGGAGGACAGATCTAATAAGATGAACAGCAGTACCAGCTGAAGAAAGATGAAAAGACGGAGGAGAGGCAGTAATAAAGCAGAAGAATATTTGCTTGGGCCAAAGAAAGACCTTGGTCTGCCGATTAAAAGAGCTCATGTTATTCTACACACAGATCTTGACACATCCTACTAAATTCCTGACTCTGTAAGAAAATATTTTTACAAGCTTACAGGTAGGTAGAACATAGTACTTCAGGAAAAAAAAATCAGAGGCATCAGACTTCTCACCCGCGACAATGGAAGCCATAGCAATGGCTCTAGCAAAATACTAAGAGAAAAGTAGCAAACCCCAAACACAACATCTGTCACTTGTCCTGAAAAAAAAGTGTATGTATGGATACTCAGAAAATACACCACCCACATATGTCATATAGAAAAACACCTGAAAAAGATCTCTGATTGAGGGACAAATGAATTAGAGACCTCTGGGGAAGGACAGGAGAGACAAGAGCAGCAAGAAGTAAACCCTGTCTGTGCCTGAACCTGCTTTCTCTATAGATACACAGTTTCATGTATCTGTATCTATTCCACTAGATAGATACTAAAGTTCAAGCACTGGCTGGGCACAGTGGCTCATGCCTGTAATCCTAGCACTTTAGGAGGCCAAGGCAGGCGGATGGCTTGAGTTCAGGAGTTCAAGACCAGCCTGGGAAACACAGTGAGACCTCATCTCAACAAAAATAAAAAAAGAAAATCCAAGTGCTGCCAAATTACACTTCTAAGTCTAATTCTAGAAAATCATCAATTGTAAGGCACATCTCAATTCCAGAGGTGCTAAAATGCAAAAAAAAAGTGCTTTAGTTTTATGAAATATGGTAGTTATATACAATCAATCTAAATGAGTACTATTAATTGTTATAGCAACATGTAATAAATTCTAAATAAGAATACTTGAAACAAAACAGATGTACGGCAAAGTATTATCTGCTAAGGACTGAATTGAAAGTATGAAACTGTCAAAGGAATATCAAAGCATTGGAAGAAGGGCTAAACACAGTAGGAGTAGGTGCATGCTAAACCTCTTGGCTGGAGGCAGGCTGTGGTGGCTCACGCCTGTAATCTCAGCACTTTGGGAGGCAGAGGTAGGTGGATCACCTGAGGTCAGGAGTTCGAGATCAGCCTGGCCAACATGCTGAAACCCCATCTCTACCAAAAATACAAAAATTAGCCAGGCTAATTTTTGGTGTCGCGCACCTGTAATCCCAGCTACTCAAGAGCCTGAGGCAGGAGAATTGCTTGAACCTGGGAGGCGGGGGATGCAGCGAGCCAAGATCGTGCCATTGCACTCCAGCTTGGGCAACACAGCGAGACTCTGTCTCAAAAACAAACAAACAAACAAAAAAAAACAAAAAACTTTTTGGCTGGGTGTGGGGAAAGCTGAACAAGAGGAAAGTGAAAATATTCCAAAGTTATCACCTTACTGAGGAGGGATGTAAGCAGGAGACAGAAGTTATTATAGCAAAGACAAGTTGGTGGGGAAAGTCACATGTTTTATTTTTAAATAATGGCATATAAACATTTCTGAGTACAGGGAAAGAAAAGATCACCATTAATGGAATGGAAATATACAGTAGAATTTCCAAAGTAACAAGACATTTTTTAAAAAAGAAACCCAAAATAAATTGATCAAACCAGCAAAAACCAGATATAACAAACTGCAAGTTAAAATATGCAGCAAAGAAAGCAAGAAAAAACTATATGACACATGAAGAAAGTAAATTATTCCATTAAAAGACCTATCTATATTCTGTTTAAAAAACACACACACATAAAACAAAATAAAGAAGTCTTGGAAATAAAAGGATAGGCATGGAAATGAGATTTAAAAGGTTAAAATGACTAAATGGGATTTTTTTAAAGGGTATTAAGTAACAACAAAAGCCATGCTTTATGAAAACAGTATATCACAAACCAATACTCAAACTAAAATACAGCAGTTAAATGAAATACAAATTCAAACTACCTAGGGATGTCTACTGTTTGCAGTATCAATCAACATTCCTTAAGAGTACTGGTGAATACAGTAAAAGAAAAAATAACTTGGTGGAAACACGGGAAAAGGAAGGGAGGAAGGGAGAAAGAAAAAACTTTTCTTACTCTCATACAATTACTTTTGCCCTAGAAAACCCAGAAGTTTAGATATAGCATAGTACCAGAGTTATATATAGATATAAAAACTAAACAATAATTAATAAGCACTTTAAATAAGGCTCTCTTAAAAGAAGAGATAGTTTCCATATATGTAAATAATATCTAAATTATATTAATAATAAATCTAAGGTTTTAAAAAATGACTGAGATATACAAACTCTCACAAATCACTACCCAAGAAAAGGAGTAACCAAGATTTTCCCATGGATTCTGTTCTTGAAGGACAAACAGCTATAGGCTGGTAGTTTATCTTGGATCTGATTCCTTGCAAATGAGTGTGGTTCTTCCAGTATCAAAAGAATTTTCTTATAAGAAAGTTTCATATTTGAGGAAGTGTTACTTAAAAAATTTATAGACAGAATCATTCATGGCATTCATTTAACTTTTTGAATGGGCAAAAGTTTGTGTGGATGTTTCAGCAGTTTACAAACTTCGTGTATTCTGACAAAAAAAAAATGCCTACCCACTCCCCCCACCCCACCATTTGTCTATTTACTTAAGGATCACTTATATAGATATTATCATTGTTAGCTAATATCTCAAGGCACAAGTTAGGATAAAGCACACTGCCTACAACAGAGGTAGAATACACAGAAATATATAGATGCAGATATGAACAGACACACATGAAATATATTTTATATATATCCTACTCCTGTTGTACACTAACATTTAACACGCACACACATATATATAACATATACAACATTTAAATAATCCTGATAATTGTGCAAAATTCTGGCTGACCTGTTGTCACATCTGATTGGAACATCAGTGTTTTTCCCTGTCTACTCAGCGTTTCCATTAGGTTGTCTAATAGATATGTTAAACTAAACATGTCCAAACTCAACTTCTAATCTTCCTCCCAAACCTGCTCTACCTACAGTTTCTCCATCTTAAAGATGACTATATAGGCCCAGTTGTATAGGCCAAAGCAGACCCTGGAGTCACTTTTGACAGCTTGCTCTCTCACACAAACTGCATCCTATCTGCCAGGCTAACTTACTGGAAGCTCCTGATGTCAAGAGTGTACTGAAAAATGAGCAGAAAGCATAAAGGTAAGGATGGGGTGACAGTAGGGTGTCCTAATGAATCAAAGCCCCTAGAACAGCATCTGGCACATAGGAGGTTCTCTGTGATTATTTACTGACGGATTAGATCCCTACAAAAAACATGCTAAAGCAGTTATAAAGATCAATACCATAGCTTTTAAATCTAGAAGTTAATTTATAATCTCTACCTACATCAGTATTAAAATGCATTGGAGAAACTGATGCCTATAATCCCAGCACATTGGGAGTCTGAGGCAGGAGGATGGATTGAGGCCAGGAGTTCGAGGTAACAGTGATGGAGCAAGGCTCTAGCTCATAAATAAACAAATAAGTAAAATTGAATAAAGTAGGAGGAAAAAAATTGGAACAATCTGTCACAAAATACTAATGGTCTTTTCGTGTCTGTTAGTGCCTTTCTTCTTTCAATTTTCTTACATTTAAAAATGTAATAAATATCCAATTCCTTTATAATAGAAAAATTTCTTTTAAAACTCTAATGGAAACTGATCTCAACGTTGTCTAACACTTATATTCATTCTTAGGGGTAAGGAAATAGGGAAAAAAAAGGGAGAACTAGTTAAAAGCAAACTGATCACAATGTTTTTCATTATTAAGCAGGCACACACTCCAACTTGCTCCTGGGGTAAACAATCCTTTGGTTTTCCAATTCAGTACCACTTACAAGCATAAAATTTGAATGACTTTCTAAATGTGTTTGGTTAACAGAAGGATGCAGAATTTTAAGAAAATGAAGAGGTCCTTAAGTATGACACATTAAAAAGAAATTTACAGAGAGACTCCAAGAGGAGAGAAATAAAAATTATGGTATGCATGCAAATTAAATATGAAAATGGAAAATCTTTTGCAGAGAACTTTACAGTAAGCTCTTATTTTACTGAAAGGGCCACCGACTTAATATGAAATTCCAATGTAAAAACCAAAAAAGTCACATATCCATATTTCACGTCTTTAAAATCAAGGTAAGAATAATAATGGCAAACCCTTAGTGATCACAATGTGCCACGTGCTGTCTGAAGCACTTTACATACTTCACAAATACGTCATAATACATAACTAATTCTAATGAAACTTTTAAAAAGCTAGGTGGCACATATTTTGGATTTTTAAAAAGGTTGGCCAGGAGAAAATAATACTGTAAATCACCTGCTAAGAGGGTAATTTTTCCTTAAAGATATGTTCTCCTAATCCAATAAAGAAATATTAAATTTCTTAAAACACTTTAAATGGTGCCATTTAGACAACAAATAGAAACTTAAGGGCATAAGTCAAAATGCAAGTAATTTTATTAAAAGAAAAATCTTATAAAGAGAAACTAAGTGTTTTACTGCTAACTAGGAAATGTTCAAGACACACAGGCTTTATTGATTAAGAATGTATAATACTTCTAAAAAGATGCCTAAGTTATTTCTTGAATGCTGAGAGACTTTAAAGATCTTTTAATATAGATGACTTTAGCAGCTGTCGATGAATGGAGGTACTGTTAAATAGGAAACAGAAGTGGATCACCTGACAGACCTTTTAGAGTCCTATCTTCAAAGGAAAGAGGATGAAAATAAACCATTTAAAAATATGTGAGCTGATGAGGAAATCTAGAGTCCACAGCTGATCTCCTATTTATTAGTAGGTAATGTGTTAGGACCACATGTTCTGAGTTTATGACTATGAAGGTCTAACACTGATTCACGTGAGGAGTGCCTCACAGAACCAGCTTTCATATTAAATCAAGTTATCGGGGAAAGTAGTTGAAGTCTAACTATAAAGAAACACCTTCTGTATGAAATAACCTGTTCTTTGAATTTGCATCTTGATAGGACTTTTATTCTCTTTTCATATCATTACAAAAGAATGCATCATCATCACAATACTAAACAAAACACAAAATAATCTGCACAACTTTTTTAAGGGAAAAATGTGTGTATTGTTTATTACACTGAACAATTCTGACCACCAACAACCAATGGCAGGCGGGAGGTTATTAACACTGAGACCATAAAACCATCTTGCTTCTTAACAAACTTTCCTCCTTCACTTTAATATTTTTGAGGATTCTTTCCCAAACCTATTAATTCCATATCATGATGGTTACAAATTTTCCAATTCCGCCACTCCTTTCAGCGCATTATTTTTTGTATCTTCATTAAAGTGGCAAAAAAAAAAAATCCCCTACTTGTAATAATAAAGCAATGTTGGAAACAGACATTAAAACACAGGACAAGTGAAAAACAGATCTGTCCTAAGACTCACAGGACTACAAATTTAGGAAGTACATAAAAAATTACAAATTAAACTCAATTTGATACATTAAATACGTGTAGCTTTTTGTATGTCAATCATATAACAAGTGGTTTTAAAACAAATGATCCAACCCATACCACCAACTAATAAACAAAAAAATAAGCAAATGAATCATGAAAAAAAAATCATCCTTTTTGGATTAATCCTTTCAGTGAAGAACACTAACAATTATTTACATTGCAATGAATACAGTTCCCTAAATATAACAAATGAATTATTTTATATACACGTTTCATTTTTATTTTTGGAGAACTGGTTAACAAATATATTTTAAGTTCAATGTATTATATATTTATGAGTGGGAAGCGATCTTAAACATTTTTAACAGCAGAAATATATAAAACAATTATAAGTGGAAATAATACAGACAAAGTGCCTTGTGTTTTTATCCTGGAGTCAAACCACAGAAATCTTAGGTTACTAAGAAAACTTTGAAAAACATTATTTTGAATATTAAAAATCATGCATTTTGGGGAGGGAGAATATTAACGGCCTTTCTTTGACTTAAAATACTTTACAATTTATGAAATATACAAGTTGGAATGGAGCAACTCCTAAAATAACCAGTATTGTGAGGAGGGAAATTGAGCACAGACACAAACTACTGTTTCTTCACTCAACCTGTTGCCAATGCTCAGCTGAAGAAGTTCCCACCTAAAAGAGCAGAAGTCATTCTATTTTAGGGGGGTAGTGTGAATGACTTTTTCTATGTATTAACTAGAATTAAATGGTAATTTGTAAAATGCTTTTCCATTTTTAAACATGAGAGTCTCTACCTGAAACCACAAAGCAGCAGGTACTGCCAGGGTCTTAGGCTAACATCTGCAACCCACCAGTCTGCATGGCCTATAAGTAGGTGTGGAGAGGACCAGAGTTCACCTGTCAGCAGCACCACAGACTCGACTGTCCGGGCTTTCTGCCATTAATTACCAGAGATGTGTCCTTTTTCTTGGTATTCTTTTTCCGCTGGAGGCTTCTGAAGATCTTGTTCCTATGAACACATTTGGGGCTCAACATACTGTCTGCAGGGTGTGGGGGTGGAAAATTGGAGGCAGGAAGCAAGAGGCGTGCGTGCACTCACTCTCCCTTCCTGCTTCTCGGGAACCCAGGCTTGTCCAGCATGAAACTGGAGGTGAACCCAACCATCTGTGTCTGCAGGGAGACTTCTCCCGTGGAGCACATGCCACTTGACACCACTCTTGTGGAGATTCCACTCACTGCCTCTGGCATCCCTGCCCTGGCTGCAATTCTGGCCCAGGAGGCCAGCAAAGCCTCTGGGGCAGAAGCTGTCACCACAACCGTATTAACTCCTTCAAGGAGAGCAGCGGACTCTACCAGGGCAGGCAACCCCTCCTCAGGAAGAAGAGCCACTTTGGGAGGATGCATCTCCTCAGAACTTTGCAGGGACATTTCCCCCTTTTCCACCTTTGATTTTTTTCGTAATGTCTTCCAGATTCTGGCCTCTTTTTCCTGTGCTAGGAATATCCTTTCGATTTGGGTAGATACTCATTATCTCCACATAGCTATTTCACAGGCACTCTGTATGTCCGGCAATCTAGCCCATAGGCTGAAGCCCCAACCCCCAAAGCCTATCCTTCTCCTGGGTTCCTGAGCTCAGCCAATATGGCCACTATGCATCCAGGTGGTTGTGTCAGAAATCTGTGGATCCTTCTTGGCACCTCATTTCTCTTCAGAAGCTAGCAGCCAATCCTATCTTGTGAATTTGATCTCCTAAATATTTCTTCAATCTATTTCTCCCTAATGTACTCCTAGTCCAAGCTACTATTACTTTTCACCTGGACAACTGCAACACCCCGACTCATCTCTGTTCAACCTCTTTTTATTCCCCTACCACGATCCATTCTCCAGAAGAGCCAGAAGCAACATTAAGAAAACAGACCAAACTGATCACCTTCTGTTTATAAAACCTTCAGTGATTTTCTGTTGCATTTAGGATGAAGGAAAATGTCCTTCCATGGTCTTGGAGGCCCTGCATGCGCTGGCTCATTTCCCATAACCGGGCCCTCCTTGGTGCTTTACGCTACACTGGCCTTATCTCCGGGGCCTTCTTACATATGATTCCTCTGCCTGGGCTGCTGGGCCTTCCCTGCACCCCCTTATCACCTAGTTACTTACTATTCATAAATCAGAACTCAGACCCAACAGCATACCCTCAGGAAAATGCCATTAACTGGTCCAGACTAGATCAGGTGTCCTACTTAGACATTCTCATAGCGCCTATAAAGCACTCATTACATTCTAATTAAACAATGTTGGTTTCATTTACCAGACTGTGAACTAGGCAAGAGGCAAAAGCAAGGCCCACACTGATCTTCTTAACAGATGTTTCCCCTATGCATAGTACCTGGTACATATGAAAGATTGAATATGCCTTTGTAAATGAATCCATGAGCTGACCACCTATCCATCCATCAATCAATCTACAAAACCTCATTAAGCTACTATATAAACAAGATAGGTGTGCATCACCTCACCTTTCTTTAATTTGTATTTGATTTTTATTCTGGCTATCTTTTATTTTTCACTGAATATATGCCTTACGTCTCCCATAAACTGAAGCTGCATGAAGGCTTCTGAGGGAAATGCTTGTACTAGAATTGTGGAAACATTGAAGGAGACCAAGATAAGGCAAGGGTTGTCAATCCTCCAACATAAAGAAAAATCCAATCTGAATTTCTCTCAGAAGGACCCTCTCCACCCCCTAATAAGATAGTATATAAGCCCAAAATTTGAACTATTTGAGTCACATTTATTTGTGAATTCCTGGGTACATATATACACCATCAAATCTATTTTTTCTCTTGCTACTCTGTCTTTTGTCGCTATAATTTGTAGGCCCCCAACTATAAAATGTAAGAGAGTAAAGAAAAAAGATTTTTTCCTTCTCCCAAAAGACAGAGAATATAAGGCAAAAAAAGCCAAAAAAAAAAACCTGTGCTTACAAAAGAACTTTAATAATGAAATCATCTTTGCAAAAATCACGACAGTGAGAAAAATCTGACCTAACCAACTCCATCTTGCTTCTAGCCTCCCAAGCTGCCCTTGTTCATTCCTGGGTGTAGGCCAAACTAACTTTGGGAGGAATTTAGTTCAGAGTTTAACTTTGAAATAAAGATGGTAACAGCCCCTTCCTGAAACAAACTCCCTCCTTGCTTAGGGACCAGATACCCTTTGTAAAACTAACAAATTAGCCACATGATTAGAAATTATGGCTCAGGAATCATGCAGCCAGAGGCCACAAGATTCCTAACCTCCCCAATTGCTCCCATGGATAACATTACTATTGTAAGACCTAAGACTGGTGTTCAAGGTATTTTTCAGACTCTGCATTCTGACAGACCAGCTGGTATCACTCAGACCAATAAAATCTGGCTCAACTAGTTTTGCAATCCCACTCAGGAACAGAAGACAGCAAGAAAACCAGCTTCAATCCACTAGGATTACATCCCTCACTCAACCAAACAGCATTCCCCATTCCCTAGCCCCCTGCTGTCAAACTACACACACACACACACACACACACACACACACACACACACACACACACACACTTTTTAACAAACAGGGAGTCTTCTTAAAGACACACTTTTTTTTCATTGCCCAGGCTGGAGTGTAACGGCTATTCACAGGCACTATCCCACTACTGATCAGCATGGGAGTTTTGACCTACTCTGTTTCCAACCTGGGCCAGTTCACCCCTCCTTAGGCAACATGGTGGTCCTTGCTTCCAGGAGGTCATCACACTGATACTGAACTTAGTGTGGACACCCAATTGGCATACTGCTCTACAGCCCAGACCTCCTGGGCTCAACAGATCCTCCTGTCTCAGCCTCCCAAGTAGCTGGGACAACTGGCGCACACCACCACACCCAGTATGTCAAAACTATCTTTATTTTAACTGATTTACTTATTTTTTGAGACAGGGCCTCAGTTTGTCACTCAGGCTGCAGAGCAGTGGCACAAACAAGGTTCACTGCAGCCCTGACCTCCCAGGCTCAAGCCATCCCTCACCAGAGCCCCCCAAATGGCTGGGACTACAGGCACGCACCACTAGGCCCGGCTAATTTTTGTATTTTTTTCTTTTTGTAGAGACAGCATCTCACCACATTGCCCAAGCTGGTCTCAAACTCCTAAGGCTCAACCAATCCGCCTGCCTCGGCCTCTCAAAGTGCTGGGATTACAGACAAACTATCTTTAAAAAATCCCAGCCTCTGAATTTTCACTGAGGCTGAGTAATATAAAACTCCAGTCTCCCATTTACCCAGCTCTATGTGTATTAAACTCTTTCTCTATTGCAATTCCCTTGTCTTGATAAATTGGCTCTGCCTGGGCAGCAGGCAAGAACTTGTTGGGTGGTTACAATAACTGATATAATACATTATTTTAGACACAGTACATTAATTAAGACCAGAGTATTATTTTTATCACTATAAGGTTGACTGGAAAATGTGGTTTTAGTTCAGTCAAAGCCTGTTAAAGGCAAGACACTCAATACCAATGTGGCATCTACTAACCCTCTCTCTTCCATCACCCCTTCCATTGCCCCACCCAATCTGAGGGAAAGACCGCATTTACACACATTAGTAGCCTCATGCTCTTCCACCTCAGAGAGGAAAGAGGCATCTCCACAATGCCTATTTCTAATGCTCAGAGCAGCTACTATAGTACATTCCTACTTCAAAAAGACTCATTTTCAATAGAAACCTTTGTAAAGAAATGAGTTTTATAATACCTTACTTATCTTGAAATTTACATTTTGATGCAATATAAACTGTAATAATTAAAAACCAAGAAGGTAAAAAACAGATTGGGGGAAATTTGCTCCCACTTGATCACAAAACCTAACTATAAATATACTATTAAAAACTTGCAGAAAATTCTTTATATCAATGATCTGTGGTCTTCAATATCAGGCACTCAAAATAATTGAAGTCTAGAATGAAAAAGTCCATCTAGCAACTGATAATTTACCACTGACTGAGTGCTGAGCTATAAATTCAGTTAGAAGTTGAAGCCATGGCATATGTACAAAACTTCAAATTCTAAGTCTACATTCATTTGCCCATGCTTGTTTGTTATTAAAACCACATGTTGTCACTGAATCATTTTATAGTTCATTTGAGACAAACATGCAGAAAATTGTGGGAAACAAATAAAGTCCTAAAAGTCTGTTAAAGGCAAGATACTCAATGCCAATGCAACCTCAGTTATGAGGCTTTGTGAAGCCTAAGCTAAAAAGTGTATCTGTGGTTGAAAAGAGGTTTGTCTTAATAAGAAAACTCCACTGCAGCTGTAATGAGATTGAAACTGTAGCAACCACTGATCGAATTTTTATTTTTATCCCATAAACTAGAAAATATGAATCTCATTGCTTAATGAGAAAATGTGTGCCAAAACTTTAATATCTTTAACTAGTCACATATTTAAACTTCACAGGGTAAAAGTGTCCTATATTTTAAAAATCTAAAGCATGCATCAAACTAGTGAATTAATAACAAAGGATTCCTTCCTTAAAAGACACTTTGCTGTATCCTAAATGTGAAAACAAAAACATCTCAGAACCTCCCCACACTCATCTTCAAAGTTCATTTCATACCTTATAAGCATTTTAAAGCAAATTTGCTATGATTTGAATGTGTCCCCCAAAGTTCATGTGCTGGAAATTTGATCCCCAATGTGGCAGTGTTGAGAGGCAGGATGGAATGGGAGGTACTTGGGTCATGGGGGCACCACCCTCATGAATGGCTTAATGCTGTTATCTGAGGAGAGAGTTCCATATAAAAGGGCGAGTTTGGTCCCTCAGTCTTGGACTTCCTAGCCTCCAGGATAATGAACAGGTAATTTCTGTTCATTATAAATTACCCAGTCTGTGGTATTCTGTCATAGCAGTACAAAACAGACTAAGATAAAGTTCCTCCTGATAATTCTGAATTCTAACTAGCATACACCACTCTCAAAATAAGAAAAAAAAAAAAAAGTAGGCAGAAAGCTATATAACAAGAAAGCATGATACAACCCCCCAAGAAAACTTTTGAAAAATGTTAACTCAACTTTTGCCATTGTTTTCACAACCCCATGAATCAAGTATCAACCTGCTTCATCTGTACTTCCCTATAATTACTTTATGTACCCTGTCCCCCACCCACTGGACACACAATTCAACTGAACAAACTTTAAAAAGACATCTACAGTTTGCTAAGCATGATGGTTTATAAAGAAGTAAAAGAGATACAAATCCCTACACGGAAGGGTTTCTCAAACTGGAAGGAACATCAAACCAACTATCAGCACTCCATACTAGCGCACTCTGAGAGCCCAGTGCAGGAGGTGACTGGGGCAGGGGGAGCCTTTCCAGAAGGGATAACACTGCAACTGAGCCAAGATGCATAGATTCTCATCATGCTATAAAAGACAAGAAAAGAACTCTAAATACAGAGAACGGTTTAAACGTTAGCATGCATCATAATCATTTCAAGCGCTTGTTAAAACACAGATTCTAAGCCCTAGCACCAGACTTCCGATTTAGGTAGGACCTGAGAATTTGCATTAATATCAAGTTCCCAGGTTATGCTAATAATGCTCTTGGTCTTTTCACTGTAACACTATGTGATGAAAGAGGTGGGGGTCTCTGGCATGTGCTCTCTTTCTCTCTCAGGTGTTTTTTATAAAGATGCTAATCCCATCATGGGGCCTCCACCCCCATGACCTAATTCACCTTCCAAAGGCCATACACCTCCTAATACCATCATCTTGAAAGTTGGAACTTCAATGTAAGAATTTTGGGGGAACACAAATATTCAGACCATAGCAATTATATAAATGTTTTAAAATATGACAATTTTTTAAAACTGTTGAACTCAGGGCACTTTTAACCAAAGTTTAAATATTTCATAAACAAATTATCTTAAACGTACTTTTAAAAATGCAACTGGTTCATACCATTTCACACCTATTAGTATGACTATAATTTAAAGAGAAAAAACAAAATAACAAGTGGTGACAAGACACTGGAACCCTAATACATTGCTGGTGGGAGTGTAAATGGTGCAGCCACTGTGGAAAACAGTTTGAGGCTTCCTCAAACAGCTAAAAATAGAATTCCTTTATGACTGAGCAACTCCACTTATAGGTATACACCCAAAAGAATTAAAAGCAGGAACTCAGACAGAACCTTGCATACCATTGTTCACAGCAGCCTTATTCACAATAGCCAAAAGATGGAAACAACCCGGGTGACCATTAACAGAGGAAGTATATCCATGCCATGTAATATTATTCAAAGAGGGAATGGGGTTCTGACACAAACTACAACATGGATAAACATTAAAAACACTGAGCTAAGTGAAATAAGCCAAACACAAAGGACAAATATCACATGGTCCACTGATATGAAATAACTAGAACAGGCAAAATCACAGAGACATAAAGTGGATTAGAAGTTACTAGGGGCTGGGGTGAGGGGAGAGTGGGGAGTTATTGCTTAATGGTTACAGAGTTTGTATCTGGAGTGATGAAAACATTTTAGAAATAGTGATCATGGTTGCACAACACTGAATGTAATTAATGCTATTAGGCACTTAAAATTGTTAAAAAACGGCAAATTTTAGTTTATATATTTTTAAATAAATACCACCATAAAAAGCTCAAGTTTAATTAATTCAAAGTTTAGTCTCAATTATTTGTCTAAAAGCCCACTAAAGATTAAATTGCTTTCCAGCACTTTGGGAGGCTAAGGCAGCGGATCACCTGAGGTTGGGAGTTTGAGACCAGCCTGACCAACATGGAGAAACTCCGTCTCTACTAAAAAATTAGCCAGGCGTGGTGGTGTGTGCCTGTAATCCCAGCTACTCAGGAGGCTGAGGCAGGAGAATCGTTTGAACCTGGGAAGTAGAGGTTGCGGTGAGCGGAGATCACACCATTGCACTCCAGCCTGGGCAACAAGAGTGAAACTTCATCTCAAAAAAAAAAAAAAAAAAAAAAAAAAGATTTAATTGCTGTCACAGTACTTTGATTTCAGTTTAGCTGACCCCTTAAGTTATGAAGATGTATCATTTTTTTTGTTTTGTCTACAGTATTTACATGCTCACAAAGAAAAACAGCTAATGGAAGATTAGACAATAATTTTAACCAAATTTAATCAGATCAACTTTGAAAGGCAGAAATAGTCACAGTAAACAAGCTCACTAATAACAGATAAGGAAGGTATAAGAATGCTAGATAAGCAACTCTGTTTCAAAGGTAAATTATCTAATTTTGTTTCCCCCAGTCATAAGAAAAATAAACCTCCTAATAAAAGCGCGCGAAGTTTTTTAATGGGATAAAACAGACCAGCAGGATGCATTATATACTAGTATGGTATCTTTGCCTATAGTTATTTTCGTAGCCATAATATGAATTTCCCAACGAACATAATCTTACTTGTCTCTGGCACTCCCTCGACTTTCAATACTTTGGGTACGTTAAAAAGACAGAAAAAAAAACAATTATATAATGAGGCTCCTAATATACAGGAAATGTGTAATGAGCTATGCCATCATATACACTTCTCTACTTCAGTAACTTTGGTTCTACAAACTCTAACCTGATTTAAGTGATGCTAACTCCTGATTTCTCACCTCAAAACTAAGTTTCTCAAGGATGGCTGTGACTTTGCCTTTACTGTTTGTTCTATAGCCTTAAGCATTTAGAAAATATCAGTGTCAAGTGAAAGTTGGTAAGTATAGCGCAAGTCACAATACGGGCAATGTAACTCAAATTTGTCAATCTAAAAGTCCTTTGAGGCTGGGTGTGGTGGTTCGTGTCTGTAATCCCAGCACTTTGGGAGGCCAAGGTTGGAGGATCGCTTGAGTCCAGGAGTTAGACACCAGCCTGGGCAACAAAGAGAGATACCATCTCTATAATAAAACTTAAATAGCTGTATGTGGTGGTGCATATCTATGGTCCCAGCTATATGAAGCATGAGTAACTTGAGACCAGGATTTCGAGGCTGTAGTGAGCTATGATGAGACAGTGCACTCCAGCTTGGGTGACAGAGTCTCCGAGCCTGTCTCAAAAAAAACAAAAAAAAATTTTTTTTTTAATAAATAAAAGTCAGGTGCAGCCAAGATGGCTGAACAGAAACAGCTCTGCTCTGTGGCTTCCACTGAGAAGGACAAAAATGGTGAGTGAATTCTGCATCTTCAACTGAGGTACCAAGGTTCTCTCATTGGGACTGACGAGGCAGTTGGCATGACCCATGGAGAGCAAGGAAAGGCAGGCTGGAGCAAGGGCCCACCCGGGAGCTTCACAAGGCGGCAGGGGGAAAGGGGGCTCCCTCCCCTGGTCAAGGCAGGCAGTGAGGGATTGTGCTACCCCTCCCTGAAAGCCATGCTTTTCCCACAGATTCTTGCAATCCACAGATCAGCAGGTCCCCCTCATGAGCCCATGCATCCAGGGCCTTGGGTCCTAAGCACAGAACTGTGCAGAATCACGGCAGCTGCTCAGGAGGGTGGTGTCTCGAGCAGACACTGAGACATAGGAGTATTTGCATACTCCAGCTCTGGGAACCCCAGCGAGGCAGGACATCTGTCCACTCCCATGGGAAGGGGGCTAAAGCCAGGGAGCCAAGTGACCTCATTCCCACAGAACCCCAAGAGCTAAAATCCACTGGCTTGGAATCCCCACCAGCCAGCACATCAGACTTGAGACTGCCTAAGACAACTGAGTTCCTGAGGAAAAGGGGCAGCCGCCATCACTGCAGCTCCAGTTGGCTGTTTTCCCCTGCCACCAGTGCCAGCAAGACCGGGTGGTTTGGACCAGAAGCAACTCCCCACATCACAGTACAGCGGCTGGGTCAGTTCTTGGCCAGACTGATTCTTTAAGCAGGACCCCGATCCACTCCTCCTCACTGGGTAGTGCCTCCCTGTGGGAATTTCAGCATCCCCAGCCAGGGGTTTATGGACAGAACTCTGATATCCCTGACAGGAGCCCCTAGGAGGAGGGGCGGCTGTGGTATCATGGATAAGCAATCTTAGTCTTTTATGCCTGCTGGCTCTGGAGAGTCAGGGCAGCCTGGATGAGGGGGATTCCCCACAGCACAGCACACCCACTCTGCCAACGGGCAGCCAGACTGCTTATTTAAGTGGGTCCCTGATCCTGCTCCTCCTGACTGGGTGAGACCTCCTGACAAAAGCCTGCAGACACCTCATACAAGGGCATTCTATCCAGCATCAGGTCAGTGCCTCTCTGGGACAGAGCTCCCAGAGAAAGGAGCAGGCTGCCATCTTTGCTGGTCTGCAGCCTCCCCTGGTGATACCTCCAGGGATGGGAGGGGCCCCGGAGAATAGGGTCTAGAATGGACCCCCAGCACACTGCAGTAGTCCTACAGAAGAGGGGCCTGACTGCTAAAAGAAAAACAAACCGAAAGCAACAACAACAACATCATCAACAAAAAAGACCCACACAAACCCCATCCAAAGGTCAGCAGCCTCAAAATCAAAGGTAGATAAACCCATGAAGATGATAAAGAATCAATGCAAAAATGCTGCAAACTCAAAAAGTCAGAGGGCCTCTTCTCCTCCAAATAATCACAGCATGTCTCCAGCAAGGGCACAGAACTGGGCCGAGGCTTGAGATGGGTGAATTGACAGAAGAAGGCTTCAGAAGATGGGTAGTAATGAACTTTGCTGAGATAAAGGAGTGTGTTCTAACTCACTGCAAAGAAGTGAAGAACCATGATAAAACATTACAGGACCTGTTAACCAAAATAACCAGTTTAGAGATGAACATAAATGACCTGATGGAGTTGAAAAACACAACATGAGACCTTCACAATGCCAACACAAGTATCAATAGCTGAATAGACCAAGTGGAAGAGAAGATATCAGAACTTGAATACCATCTTGCTGAAATAGGCAGACAAGATTAGAAAAAAAGGAATGAACAAAACCTCCAAGAACTATGGGATTATGTTAAAAAACCAAACCTACAGCTGATGGGGTACCTGAAAGAGACAAGGAGAATGGAACCAAGTTGGAAAACACACTTCAGGGTATCATCCAGGAGAACTTCCTCAACCTAGCAAGATAAGCCAACATTCAAATTCAGGAACTCCAGAGAACCCCAGGAAGATAACTCCATGAGAATATCAACCCCAAGACATATAATCATCAGATCCTCCAAGGTTGAAATGAAGAAAAAAAAATGTTAAGGGCAGCCAGAGAGAAAGGCCGCTCATCTCTACAGGGAGGCCCATTAGACTAAGAGCAGACCTCTCAGCAGAAACCCTACAAGCCAGAAGACATTAGGGGCTGATATTCAACATGCTTAAACAAAAGAATTTCCAACCTAGAATTTCGTATCTGGCCAAAGTAAGCCTCATAAGCAAAGGAGAAATAAAATCTTTTTCAGACAAGCAAATGCTGAGGGAATTCATCAGCACCAAGCCTGCCTTGCAAGAGTTCCTGAAGGAAGCACTAAATATGGAAAGGAAAAACCATTACCAACCACTAGGAAACCACATGGAAGTACACAGGCCAGTGACATGATGAAGCAACTACATAAACAAGTCTGCAAAATAATCAGCCAGCATCATGATGAAACAATCAAATTCACACAATAACAATAGTAACCTTAAATGTAAATGGGCAAATGCCCCCAATTAAAAGGCACAGAATGGCAAACTGGAGTAAAGAGTCAAGATCCATTGCTGTGCTGTATTCAAGAGACCCATCTCACATGCAAAGACACACATAGGCTCAAAAGAAAAGGATGGAGGAAAATTTACCAAGCAAATGGAAAACAGAAAAAAGCACGTGTTACAATCCTAGTCTCTGACAAAACAGACTTTAAACCAACAAACATTAAAAAAGACAAAAAAGGGCATTACATGATGGTAAAGGGCTCAAATCAAGAAGAAGAGCTAACTATCCTAAATATATATGGACCCAATACAGGAGCACCTAGATTCATAAAACAAGTTCTTAGATACCTACAAAGAGATTTACACTCCCACACAAGTATAGTGGGAGACTTTAATACCCTACTATCAAGGATAGACCATTGAGACAGAAAATTAACAAAGATATTCAGGACCTGAACTCAGCTCTGGATCAAGTGGACCTGACAGATACCTACAGAACTCTCTCCCCAAAAACAACAGAATATGCATTCTTCTCGGTGCCACATGGCACTCTAAAACTGATCGCACAATTGGAAGAAAATCACTTGTGAGCAAATGCAAAATAACTGAAATCATAACAAACAGTCTCTTAGACCACAATGCAATCAAATCAGAACTTAAGATGAAGAAACCCACTCAACACCACAAAGGTATATGGAAATTGAACAACCTGCTTCTGAGACTACTGGCTAAATGATGAAATTAAGGCAGAAATCAAGAAGTTATTTGAAATCAGTAAGAACAAAGAAACAACGTATCAGAATCTCTGGGACACAGATTTGCAGCATTATGAGGGAAATTTATAGCAATAAATGCCTACATCAAAAAGTTAGAAAGATCTCAAACTGACAGCCTAACATCACAACTAAAAGAACTAGAGAACTGAGAGTAAACAAACCCCAAAGCTAGCAGAAGACAAGAAATAACCAAGATCAGAGCAGAACTGAAGGAGATAAACATGAAAAACCCTTCAAAAAAAAAAAAAAAAATCAAAGAATCCAGGAGCTAGTTTTTAAAAAATATTAATAAAAATAGACTACTAACTAGACTAATAAAGAAGAAAAGAATCAAATAGACACAATAAAAAGTGATAAAGGGGATATCACTGGCGACCCCACAGAAATACAAACAATGATCAGAGAATACTATAAACACCTCAATGCAAACAAACTCGAAAATCTGTAAGAAATGGATATATTCCTGGACACATAAACCCTCCCAAGAATGAACCAAAAGGAATTGGAATCTCTGACTAGACCAATAACCTGTTCTGAAATTGAGGCAGTAATAAATAACTAAAAAAAAAAACAAAAAAAAGCCCAGAACCAGACGGTTTTACAGCTGAATTCTACCAGAAATATAAACAGGAGCTGATACTCTTTCTTCTAAAAGTATTCCAAACAACTGAAAAGGAAGTGCTCCTCCCTAATTCATTCTATGACGCCAGCATCATCCTGATACCAAAACCTGGCAGACATACAACAACAAAAAACAAAACTTCAGTCCAATATCCCTGATGAACATCAATGTAAAAATTCTCAATAAAATACAGGCACGCCGAATACAGCAGCACATCAAAAACCTTATCCACCGTGATCAAGTCGGCTTCATCCCCAGGATGCACGGCTGGTTCAACATACGCAAATCAATAAACATAATTCATCACATAAACAGATCCAAAAACAAAAACCACATGATTATCTCAATAGACACAGAAAAGGCCTTCAGTAAAACTCAACATCCTTTCATGTTATGTCTCAATAAACTAGGTATTGATGGATCATACCTCAAAATAATAAGAGCTATACAGGACAAACCCACAGCCCGTATCATACTGAATGGGCAAAAGGTGGAAGCATTCCCTTTGAAAACCAGCACAAGAGAAGGATGCCCTCGCTCACCACTCCTATTCAACATAGTATTGGAAGTTCTGGCCAGGACAATCAGGCAAGAGAAAGAAATAAAGGATTCAAACAAGAAGAGAGGAAGTCAAATTGTCTCTGTTTGCAGATGACATGATACTCCTTCTAGAAAACCCCATTGTCTCAGCCCACAAGCTTCTTAAGCTTTTAAGCAATTTCAGCAACGTCTCAGGATACAAAATCAACATGCAAAAGTCACAAGCATTCCTATACACGAACTACAGGCAAGCAGAGAGCCAAATCATGAATGAACTCCCATTCACAATTGCTACAAAGAGAAAAAAATAACTAAGAATACAGCTAGCAAGGGACGTGAAGGATCTCTTCAAGATGAACTACAAACCACTGCACAAGGAAATCAGAGAGGACACAAACAAATGGATAAACATTCCACGCTCATGGATAGGAAGAATCAGTATTACAAAAATGGCCACACCACCCTAAGTAATTTATAGATTCAATGCTATTTCCATTAAACTACCATTAACATTCTTCACAGAATCAGAAGAAACTATTTTAAAATTCATATGGAATAAAAAAAGAGCTCATACAGCCAAGACAATCCTAAGCAAAAAGAACAAAGCTGGAGGCAACATGCTACTGGACTTCAAAATATACCGCAAGGCTACAATAACCCAAACAGCATGGTACTGCTACAAAAACAGACACATAGACCAATGGAATAGAATAAAGAACTCAGAAATAAGATGGCACATCTACAACCATCTGATCTTTGAGAAACCTGACAAAAACAAGCAATGGGGAAAGGATTCCCTATTTAATAAACGGTGCTGGGAGAACTGGCAAGCCATATCAAGAAAACTGAAACTAGACCCCTTCCTTATATAAAAATTAACTCAAGATGGATCAAAGACTTAACTGTAAAACCCAGAACCATAAAAACTCTAGAAGAAAATCTAGGCAATACCATTGAGGACACAGGCACAGGCAAAAGTTTCATCACAAAATCGCCAAAAGCAATAGTAACAAAAGCAAAAATTGATAAATGGGATCTAATTAAACTAAAGAGCTTCTGCACAGCAAAAGAAACTATCATCAGAGCAAACAGGCAACCTACAGAGTGGAAGAAAATTTTTGCTATCCATCCATCTGACAAAGGTCTAGTATCCAGAGTCTACAAGGACCTTATATTTACATGAAAAACAAACAAACAAACAAACAGGGGGATCTGGCAAGATGGCTGAATAGGAACAGCTCCGATATGTAGCTCCCAGCAAGGCCATAACAGAAGGTGGGTGATTTCTGCATTTCCAACTGAGGTACCCGGTTCATCTCAATGGGACTGGTTAGACAGTGGGTGCAGCCCACAGTGGGCAAGCAGATGCAGGGTGGGGTGTTGCCTCACCCGAGAAGCACTAGGGGCCAGGGAACTACCTCCCCTAAACAAGGGAAGCCTTGAGGGACTGTGTCATGAGGAATGGTGCATTCCAGCCCAAATACTATGCTTTTCCCACAGTCTTCGCAACCCACAGACGAGGAGATTCCCTCTAGTGCCTACGCCACCAGGGTCTTGGGTTTCAAGCACAAAACTGGGTGGCTGTTTGGGCAGAGCTAGGTGCAGGAGTTTTTTTTTTTCTGTTGTTTCTTTTTTTTCTTCGTACCCAGTGACACCTGGAACCCCAGTGAGACAGAACTGTTTACTCCCATGGAAAGGGGGCTGAAGCCAGGAAGCCAAGTGATCTTGCCCAGTAGGCTCCACCCCCACAGAGCCCAGCAAGCTAAGATCCACTGGCTTGAAATTCTTGCTGCCAGCAAAGCATTCTGAAGTCGACCTGGGGTGATTGGGTTTGGTTAGGGGAAGGGCATCCACCATTACTGAAGCTTGAGTAGGTGGTTTTCCCCTCACAGTGTAAACAAAGCTGCGGCGAAGTTCGGGCTGGGCAGAACCCACTGCAAAGCCACAGTAGCCAGACTGCCTCTCTAGACTGCCTCACTGGGCAGGGCATCTCTGACAGAAAGGCAGCAGCCCCAGTCAGGTGCTTATAGATAAAACTCCCATCTCCATAAGACAGGGCACCTGGGGGAACAGGCAGCTGTGGGCACAGCTTCAGCAGACTTAACTGTTCCTGTCTGCCAGCTCTGAAGAGAGGAGTGGATCTCGCAGCACAGCACTTGAGCTCTGCTAAGGGACACACTGCCTCCTCAAGTGGGTCCCTGACCCCCATGCTTCCTGATGGGGAGACACCTCCCAGGAGGGTTCAACAGACACCTCATAAAAAAGAGCTCCAGCTGGCATCTGGTATGTGCCCCTCTGGGACAAAGCTTTCAGAGGAAGGAGCAGGCAGCAAGCTTTGCTGTTCTGCAGCCTCTGGTGGTGATACCCAGGCACACAGGGTCTGAAATGAACGTCCAGCAAACTCCAGCAGACCTGCAGCAGAGGGGCCTGACTGTTAGAAGGAAAACTAACAAACATAAAGCAATAACATCAACAAAAACAAAAAGGACACCCACGCAAAAACCCTATCCAAAAGTCATCCGCGTCAAAGATCAAAGGCAGACAAATCCATGAAGATGAGGAAAAACCACCAAAAAAAGGCTGAAAACTCCAAAAACCAGAATACCTCTTCTCCAAACGATCACAACTCCTCACCAGCAAGGGAACAAAACTGGGCAGAAAATGAGTATGAAAAACTGACAGAAGTACACTTCAGAAGGTGGGTAATAACAAACTCCTCGGAGCTAAAGGAGCATGTTCTAACCCAATGAAAGCAAGCTAAGAACCTTGATAAAAGGTTACAGGAACAGCTAACTAGAATAACCAGTTTAGACACGAACATAAATGACCTGATGGAGCTGGAAAACACAGCACGAGAATTTCGTGAAGCATACACAAGTATCAATAGCCGAATCGATCAAGCAGAAGAAAGGCTATCAGAGACTGAAGATCAACTTAATGAAATAAAGTGTGACGACAAGATGAGAAAAAATAATGAAAAGGAACGAACAAAGCCTCCAAGAAATATCGGACTATGTGAAAAGACCAAACCTACGATTGATTGGTGTACCCGAAAGTGACAGGGAGAATGGAACCACGTTGGAAAACACACTTGAGGATATTACCCAGGAGAACTTCTCCAACCTAGCAAGAAAGGCCAACATTCAAATTCAGGAAATACAGAGAGCACCACTAAGATACTCCTCGAGAAGATCAACCCAAGACACATAATCATCAGATTCACCAAGGTTGAAAGGAAGGAAAAAATGTTAAGGGCAGCCGGAGAGAAAGGTCAGGCTACCTACAAGGTGAAGCCCATCAGACTAACAGCAGATCTCTCTGTAGAAACGCTACAAGCCAAAAGAGAGTAAAGGCCAATATTCAACATTCTTAAAGAAAAGAACTTTCAACCCAGAATTTCATATCCAGCCAAACTAAGCTTCATAAGCAAAGAAGAAATAAAATCCTTTACAGACAA
Organism: Homo sapiens; assembly: GCF_000001405.40. Classification (NCBI taxonomy): domain Eukaryota; kingdom Metazoa; phylum Chordata; class Mammalia; order Primates; family Hominidae; genus Homo; species Homo sapiens. Next base: position 287,609 of record NW_012132916.1, on the reverse strand, counting down.
GCAAATGCTAAGAGATTTTGTCACCACCGGGCCTGCCTTACAAGAGCTCCTGAAGGAAGTGCTAAATATGGAAAGGAAAATCCCATACCAGCTACTGCAAAAACAACAAATTGTAAAGACCACTGACACCACAAAGAAACTGCATCAACTAATGTGCAAAATAAACAGCTAGCATCATGACAGATCGAATTCACACATAACAATATTAACCTTAAATGTAAATGGGCTAGATGCCCCAGTTAAAAGAAACAGACTGGCAAATTGGATAGAGTTAAGACCCACTGGCGTGCTGTATTCAGGAGACCCATATCACATGCAAAGACACAAATAGGCTCAAAATAAAGGGATGGAGGAATATTTACCAAGCCAATGGAAAGCAAAAAAAAGCAGGGGTTGCAATCCTTGTCTCTGACAAAACAGACTTTAAACCAACAAACATCAAAAAAGACAAAGAAAGGCATTACATAACGGCAAAGGGGTCAATTCAACAAGAAAAGCTAACTATCCTAAATATATATGCACCCAATACAGGAGCACTCAGATTCATAAAGCAAGTTCTTAGAGACCTACAAAGAAACTTAGACTTCCACACAATAATAGTGGGAGACTTTAACACCTCACTGTCAATATTAGCTAGATCAGCGAGACAGAAAATTAACAAGGATATTCAGGACTTGGACTCAGCTCCGGACCGAGGGGACCTGACTGACATCTACAGAACTCTCCACCCCAAATCAACAGAATATACATTCTTCTCAGCACCACACAGCACTGATTCTAAAATCGACCACATAAATGGAAGTAAAACATTCCTCAGCAAATGCAAAATAATGGAAATCATAACAAACAGTCTCTCAGACCACAGTGCAATCAAATTAGAACTCAGGATTAAGAAATTCACTCAAAACCACGCAACTACACGGAAACAACCTGCTCCTGAATGACTATTAGATAAATAACGAAATTAAGGCAGAAACAAATAAGCTCTTCGAAACCAATGAGAACAAAGACACAACATACCAGAATCTCTGGGACACATTTAAAGCAGTGTTTAGAGGGAAATTTACAGCACTAATGCACACAGGCGAAAGTGGGAAAGATCTAAAACCGACACCCTAACATCACAATTAAAAGAACTAGAGAAGTAAGAGCAAACAAATTCGAAAGCTAGCAGAAGACAAGAAATAATTAAGATCAGAGCAGAATTGAAGGATATAGAGACATGAAAAACACTTTAAAAAAAAAATCAATGAATCCAGGAGCTGGTTTTTTGAAAAGATTAACAAAATAGACCACTAGCCAGACCAATGAAGAGAGAAGAATCAAATAGACACAATAAAAAATGATAAAGTGGATATCACCACTAATCCCATAAAAATACAAACTACCATCAGAGAATACTATAAACACCTCTATGCAAATAAACTAGAAAATCTAGAAGGAATGGATAAATTCCTGGACACATACACCCTCCCAAGACTAAACCAGGAAGAAGTCGAATCCCTGAATAGTCCAATAACAAGTTCTGAAATTGATGCAGTAATTAATAGCCTACCAACCAAAAAGAGCCCAGATGGCTCACAGCCGAATTCTACCAGAGGTACCATTCCTTCTGAAACTATTCCAAACAACAGAAAAAGAAGGACTCCTCCCTAACTCACTTTATGAGGCCAGCTTCTTCCTGAAACCAAAACCTGACAGAGACACAACAAAAAAAGAAAATTTCAGGCCAAGATCCCTGATAAACATGGACGCGAAAATCCTCAATAAAATTCTGGCAAACCGAATCCAGCAGCACATCAAAAAGCTTATCCACCATGATCAAGCAGGCTTCATCCCTGGGATGCAAGGTTGGTTCAACATATACAAATCAATAAACATAATCCATCACATAAACAGAACCAATGACAAAAATCACATGATTATCTCAACAGATGCAGAAAAGGCTTTCAATAAAATTCACCTTCATGCTAACCACCCCTTCATGCTAAAAACACCCAATAAACCAGGAACAGTTACGGAATATATGGAATAGTTATGGAATAGTTATGAATAGTTATGGAATAGTTATGACAAACTCATAGCCAGTGTCATACTCAATGGGGAAAAGCTAGAAGCATTAACTTTGAAAACCGGCACAGCAGAAGGCTGCCCTCTCTCACCACTCCTATTCAACATAGTACTGGAAGTTATGGCCAGGGCAATCAGGCAAGAGAAAGAAATAAAGGGTATTCAAATAGGAAGAGAGGAAGTCAAATTCTCTCCGTTTGCAGTTAACAAGATTGTATATTTTGAAAACTCCATCATCGCAGCCCCAAATCTCCTTAAGCCGATAAGCAACTTCAGCAAAGTCTCAGGATACAAAATCAATGCGCAAAAATCACAAGCATTCCTACATACCATTAACAGACAATCAGAGAGCCAAATCATGAGTGAACGCCCATTCACAACTGCTACAAAGAGAATAAAATACCTAGGAATACAACTTACAAGAGATGTGAAGGACCTCTTAAAGGAGAACTACAAATTACTGCTCAAGAAAATAAGAGAGGACCCAAACAAATGGAAAAACACTCCATGCTCATGGATAGGAAGAATCAATATCATGAAAATGCCCATACTGCCCAAAGTAATTTATAGATTCAATGCTACCCCCATCAAGCTACCATTGACTTTCTTCACAGAATTAGAAAAAAACTACTTTAAATTTCATATGGAACCAAAGAAGACCCGTATAGCCAAGACAATCCTAAGCAAAAAGAACAAAGCTGGAGGCATCATGCTACCTGACTTCAAACTATACTACAAGGCTACAGCAACCCTAAACAGCAGGGTACTGGTACCAGAACAGATACATAAACCAATGGAACAGAACAGAGGCCTCAGAAATAACACCACACATCTACAACCATCTGCTCTTTGACAAACCTGACAAAAACAAGCAGTGGGGAAAGGATTCCCTATTTAATAAATGGTGTTGGGAAAACTGGCTAGCCATATGCAGAAAACTCAAACTGGACCCCTTCCTTATACCTAATACAAAAATTAACTCAAGATGTAAGACTTAAACGTAAGACCTAAAACCATAAAAACCATAGAAGAAAACCTAGGTAATACCATTCAGGACGTAGGCATGGGCAAAGACTTCATGATTAAAACACCAAAAGCAACGGCAACAACAGCCAAAATTGACAAATGGGATCTAATTAAACTAAAGAGCTTCTGCACAGCAAAAGAAACTATCATCAGAGTGAACAGGCAACCTACAGAATGGGAGAAAATTTTGCAATCTATCCATCTGACAAAGGGTTAATATCCAGAATCTACAAGGAACTTAAATAAATTTACAAGAAAAAACAAACGACCCCATCAGAAAGTGGGCAAAGGATATTAACAGACACTTCTCAAAAGAAGACATTTATGCGGCCAACAAACAAATGAAAAAAAGCTCATCATCACTGCTCATTAGAGAAACGCAAATCAAAACCACAATGAGATACCATCTCACTCCAGTTACAATGACGATCATTAAAGAGTCAGGAAACAACAGATGCTGGAGAGGATGTGGAGAAACAGACACCTTCACACTGTTGGTGGGAGTGTAAATTAGTTTAACCATTATGGAAGACAGTGCAGCAATTCCTCAAGGAACTAGAACCAGAAATAGCATTTGACCCACCAATCCCATTACTGGGTATATACCCAAAGGATTACAAATCATTCTACTATAAAGGCACACACACACATATGTTTACTGCAGCACTATTTACAATACCAAAGACTTGGAACCAACCCAAATGCCCATCAATGATAGACTGGATAAAGAAAATGTGGCACATACACACCATGGAATACTATGCAACCATAAAAAAGTATGAGTTCATGTCCTTTGCAGGGACATGGATGAAGCTAAAAACCATCATTCCCAGCAAACTAACACAGGAACAGAAAACCAAACACCATATGTTCTTGCTCATAAGTGGGAGGTGAACAATGAGAACACATGGACCCAGGGAGGGGAACATCTCACACTGGGGCCTGTTGGGGGCTGGGGGCAAGGGGATGGATAGCATTAGGAGAAATACCTAACGCATGTGGGGCTTAAAATCTAGATGACAGGTTGATGGGTGCAGCAAACCACCATGGCACATGTATACCTATGTAACAAACCTGCACGTTGTGCACATGTATCCCCAGAACTTAAAGTATTAAAAAAGAAAAGAAAAAAGAGAGAGACAAGAAAAAGAAAAACAACCCTATTAAAAAGTGGGCAAAGGACATGAAAAGACACTTCTCAAAAGAAGACATTCATGCAGCCAACAAACATAAGAAAAAAAAGCTCAACATCACTGATTAGAGAAATGAAAATCAAAACCACAATGAGATACCGTCTCACGCCATTCACAATGGCAATTATTACAAAGTTAAGAAACAGACCAGGCGCAGTGGCTTACGCCTGTAATCCTAGCACTTTGGGAGGCCAAGGTGGGTGAATCACGAGGTCAGGAGTTTGAAACCAGCCTGGCCAGCATGGTGAAACCTTGTTTCTACTAAACAAAAAATTAGCTGGGCATGGTGGTGCACACCTGTAGTCCCAGCTACTCGGGAGGCTGACGCAGGAGAACTGCTTGAAATTGGCAGGCAGAGGTTAAAGTGAGTCATGTTAGTGCCACTGCACTCCAGCCTAGGCAACAGAGCGAGACTCCATCTCAAAAAAAAGAAAAGAAAAAGAAAAAAAGAAAGAAACAATAGATGCTGGCGAGGTTGAGGAAAGACAGGAATGCTTTTACGCTATTGGTGAAAATGTAAATTAGTTCAACCATTGTGGAAGATGGGGTGGCAATTCCTCAAAGAGCAAGAACCAGAAATACCATTTGACCCAGCAATCCCATTACAGGGTATATGCTCAAAGGAATATAAATCATTATATTACAAAGACACACGCACATGTATGTTCACTGCAGCACTATTCACAATAGCAAAGACAAGGAATCAACCCAAACCAAATACCACATGCTCTCACTTGTAAGTGAACAATGAGAACACATGGACACAGGGAGGGAAACAACACACTCTGGGGCCTTTCACAGGGTGGGGTGGGGGGAAGGGGAGCATTAGGAAAGATGGCTAATGCATGCTGGGCTTAATACCAAGGTGATGGGTTGACAGGTGCAGCAAACCACCATAGCACATATTTACCTATGTAACAAAGCTGCATATCCTACATATGTATCCTGGAGCTTAAAAATTAAAATGAAATAAATAAATAAAAGTCCTTCAATCCCTAATATAAAAAATTTGATATCTGTTAACATCACCTTTTAAAATCCTAACCAGGAATTCCATTTTTTATAACACTGATTAAATTACATAATGTTACTCTTAGAGAAACACCTTAGAAGAAAAATAGCAGACCCATTTGAGATAAAAGACATGTTCTCCTGTTGTCTTTAAATTATAGCAATGTACTTAGTAACAGAAAAGAAATCCATTTCCTAAATTTAGACGCTGCTTCTCCCAACTTCTCACAACCATGAGAACACCAAAGAAAGGCATGAGAAACTAACAAACTATAATGAGCGTGTACATTATTATTTGAGGGGAATGGGATGGAGATCATTTAGAAATGCTTTTGGCTTTTCGCAGCTCTAAGTGTAAAAATTCAGTTCCTAGAAAACTGTCAGTTGCTAATAAAGAATCTCAGAACTCTAACAAGTGATACTACCGTGTCATAAAAAATAAATCACAAGATACACTTTTTGGTGACAAAATCTTTTGAGTTTCTTAACATTATGGGGTAAAATGGTTGTGAGTTTATCAGGTCTTTTTGGCCCTATAAATCATAGTACATGTTATAAGTCATCCTCTTAATACTAATGTATCAATTTTTATCACAATTCATTTGGTAAACAGGATAATTCTGCAAAGTATTGAAAATTGCAAAGTTCTGAGCCAGCAACAAATTAGATTTCCACCCACATGGTGGTTAATCAGTCCCATGTACAGAGAGAAAGGAAACTGGATATAATGATTCTAAAAGCATTTTAAAGAATGTATTAGTGAACAACGAATCCTCAATGCCTGACACCTCGATGGTTTCCTGAAAGCACCAGTGAACCATGTAGCGTATATCCCAGTTAGCATGTTCAGCAATCAGGGGTTGTTACAGAGCTTACCAGTATAACAGCATGTATACAAGCCACACACAACAACTCACAGAAGCTCACAAGCCTCCCCACACCTTTGACTCTAATCCTCCTCCTGCAAAAATAGAAGAAAAAATATGACAACAGACATGTGAACACAAAACTGAAACTGAACAGAAAAGGGAAGATATTAGCTTAGATATGAGACATAAGAAAAAGTATGCTCCAGAATCTTTTTAAATCAAGAGGCATTGTGGGAGGCCCCCAAGATTCCCACTCCCTGATGTACCCGCCCTGTATAATCCTCCCCCATCCAGTGTGGATGGGACCGTGAACAGGACAAAGACAAGTCCTGTGACGAAGTTACATTTAATCAGAAATATGAATGGATTCTGCAGATTTAATTAAGTTCCCCCATCAGTTGGTTCTGAGTTTATCAAGAGGGAAATTATCGTGGATGGGCTTGACTTCAAAGGTGAGTTCTTAGAAAAACCAGCCCCTTCCTAACAAGATCTGAAGTGTGAGAGATTCTCCTGCTGGCTCTGAAGAAATAAAATTTCATGTTGTAAAAGGGCCTATGGAGGGGGCCACATGGCAAGGACCTCAGAGCAGCCTCTGGAAGTAAAGTGTGGTCACCATCCAATCGCTAACAAGAAACAGGATCCTCAGTCATACTGCCACAAGGAAATGCCATCTGCCAACCGCCCTGTGCATTTGGAAGAGGACCCTAGCCTCAGATGAGATCACAGTCCCTGCAACACCTTGACTGTCACTGTGTGAAACAGTGAATGGAGAACTCAGCCACGCGGTCCTCAGACTGCTGCTGTAGAGACCCATGAGATCATCAATATATGTCACCTTAAACCACTAAAGTTGTGGTAATTCATTACACAGCAACAGAAAGCTAACAATCATCTACTGCACCTCTAGACATTCCCCTAAGTGATCCTGATGTTACATGACACTTGAAGTTACTCATTTCAATGGAGTGAAAAATGTGGGACATTCTAGTTAAGTGATCTTGACTGGCAGTTAAAGTTTCAGAAGTCCTACAATATTTTCTGACTTACAGCCTAATCTTACCTGGAAGGCATCTTGCTGATTATCTGATCCAGCCACCTCACTTTTAGCCAAGACTAAGAGAGGGAGCTAGCCTCCCCAGGTTCACAGGGCTAACGAGCAGCAGAGGACGAGCCACAGCCCAGTTCCTCCAACACAGTTAGCTGTTCCCAGAAGTCTTTCCTTAAAGGTGGCTGCGCCTTAAAGATACTTGCAGTTGTGCTTGACTAGAGAGGGGGAGAGAAGTATATCTCCTCTCTGATACTGTAGTAAAATGGCCATAAAATAAATACTGAATGCTTTAGAAAAGTGGAGTACAAAGCCAATATTTCAAAGGATTCAAAGACTAAAAGCAGTATTAAAGATGTCAACAGTGACTAGACCATGATAACTACTATATTATAATGTCTTCTGCATCTTTCAACCTCCCAGGGGACATTTAAATTGTCACTACTCACGGGAGGTGCTCCTGGTATCTAGTGGGTAGAGGCCAGGGATGCTGCTACACAGCCTGGAATGCAAAGGGGGGTCCCCATGGACACAATCCACAGCCCCTTAAACTCTGCTCTAAGGCATCAGTTATCTTTCTTTATCCCTGCTGACTCCCTAGCACTGAGACACTGAACACATGGCGTGCACCACCTGTGCTCCCTTACACACTCAGAAGGCAAAGCTCTCCCATATCTCAATTTTCTTTGGCTTGGGCTTTAATCACTGTTCTTTGGTTTGAACTTAAATATGGGCTAACCTTTTCACCAAGTTGTATCTAGCTCTAATACACAAGCACACCTGCCCAGCTCAATGTTGCTTCTGACAGACAAAGCCAAAACACTATTATGCATACTTGATTTTAACTAATGTATGTTTTACACATGAATCAAAATCTGGTGACCTATCAGCAAAGGCCTAGTGGAGTATGAGTGTGCAGAACACATGGTGGAGAACCGCTGCTTACTCTAAACTGCTGGCAGCAAATAAGTATTACATGACCCAAAAAAATGATATCGATGACTAGAATGAGAAAAGTGTCAAAACAACAGGAAGTGGCAGGGACTCTGATGACATGGAGAGCAGTTTCTGTCAAAACAAGCAGCCGCTACTCTGTTCTAGACAATTACTGCCATGCAGAAATGTAGGCCCACTATGACCAGATACCCAGATTGTCCAAGAAAACTTGGATAACTGGAGTTGTATATGAAACCACTCAATTTTAACATGTTAGCTTGTAGTTTGCAAAAACCTTGAGTCCAACATTTTGGGCCACGTCTTTGAAATTTATGGTCTAGAGATTGTAAGAGCAAATGAAGAGGTGCCAAGTGGGCAAATTCAGAGGGAGGAAGGTTCAGGATATACTTCTGCACAACAGATGGAGTATTAGAGACACTGGGGATAAAGCTAAGTGATAGGCCTTGGATGAGGCCAACAAGTTTCAGAGGAGCTGCTAGTGATATTATCATCATTATCATCACAACAATAATCATAAATTATAACATTTATATAGGACTGTATTTCAGGCACTGTCCTAAGCACTTCATATGCAGGAACACATGTAATTTTCCCAACAACCTTATGAGGTTGGTATTATTGTTACTCTCATCTTACAGAGGAACAAAATAAGTCAGTTTAAATAACTTGCCTAAGGCCACATGGCTAAGTACTGGAGCTGGGATTTGAATCCAGATAGGCTACCTTCAGACTCCATGTTTCTAATTACCCCCGTCACAATTCTAATGCTTGTATCTGTAGGCTTTTAATTCTGTATCTCTCTGTAACTACATATAAAATGTGTTTCATCCACCTAAGTTCTGAATGGTAACATGTAGATAGGAAAAGACTAAAACAATGCTTAAGGTACTCCGTCTAAACACGTATAGAAATGGAAGCATTTTTCCCAAATGAAAATGTTAGCCCCTGCTCTCTATAAATTATGTTGGCCTAGTAGGATTCAGTCCCTCTTGTTAAAGTTTTACTTTCTAATGACATTCTTGGCTTCTGCTTACATAAAAATACTAACAAACAGATGCAGAAGTCACACTCTCCGGCATGGAAGTCAAAAGGCATAGACGAATTGGTTGTGCCCTCCAACCAGAGTGGGAACTGTGGCAAACAATTCTAACGCCCATCAAAGATGCAAGGCATGAACTTGTCCTACACACTGTGGCAGCATTATTACTAAATTCCTTAAAAAGTCTGTATAAAAATCTGTAACAACTTGGCAAGCAAAATTACACTTCAAAGCAGCTAGTATGTAAATTAACTTCACATTTCACTTCATTTTAAAACAAGAGAAATTGCTATAATAAATTCAGGGAAACTGGCAATTTTGAGTTGAATACTAAAAAGAAAAGTAAATTTTCACCTTTACATGAGATCTACTATTTTTTATTCTTCATGAACCCTATCTTCCATTTCAGAATCCAATTATTTGAGGACACAATGAGTTCTATCATCATTTTATTCTGGCAGGTCAAACACTGGTCCAATATTATAAAAATGCATAGACTTTATTGAGACATAAAAAGCAACAAAGTATTTTCAATGCCGTAATTCCCAAATCTGCTTAGAAATCCAAACAAGTAATTTTTAAGTAGAATTTTAAATTGTGTTGGAAAAAACAAAAAACTCTGCATATACAGAAGCATAAATACAGATTAACAAGTGAATGCAACAAGATACTAAAATATAATACACGTGTTAGCAATCATTTTGAAGAAAGCACTAAAAATATCAGTACTAGTCCACCTCCCTTTAGTATATGCTACAGTCTAAAATATTTATATTTCCTTCTTTCTAGAAAATTATACTGCTCAAACTTTTTTTCATGAAGCAAAAAGGAAAAAGTCTCTCTCAAAATGCTATGCAAATATGCAGAAACCATGACATTATCCCTAGGAGGATGTATATAAATCCTTATTCTGTTATGGATCTTAAAAACAAAAAACGAGCATCAGCGACACCACCACCAAAGGACTCTTTAAGAAAGTACTTTTAAGATTTTAATTGTTCAAAATTGTTTAAGACAAATAGGAAAAGGTAATTTGAAATATATGCAAAGAACAAGAAATTTTACTTGTGGCTAATTCAATTATTTCCTTTGGAAAAGAATAAAGTTCAAATCATATTGCCAATGTCACTATAACTAAAATCTGACCATTACAAAAGGTCTCCCAAACTGCAGTCAATGGCCTGCTCACTTCAAGTAATATTGGTAATGGCTAAATTCCAGTATAACACCAAAAAAAAAAAAAAAAACAAAACAAAAAAACCCTAGCCTAGAAGTCCACTGGAGTTCACTGTAACGGGATTTAAGCTATAATTAAATTTGATTAGCTTGGTTCAAACCTCAAGTTCAAAAGACTTATCAGCATGAATGGATGAAAAACCCTTTTACACGGGCATTTTGAAAATATGAAAAGGGCTGACACAGCAAGCTTCAAAGACTTTAAAAGCAATTGACCCTTCCCAGAGCAAAGGAGAAACGCTAACAGCTGAAACTCAGATGCTGCGTGCAAAGAAAATAAAGTTCCAGATGGCTCAAAAGCCTGGTAGTTTATTAAATATTAAATACTATTATTTTTAACTGGATTTTTGCCCAGAGATAGCCAAATATGTCACCCATAAAATGTGAAAAAGCAGTATGATACCATCCCCTGAAAAACTGAAGCAAATAAATATTTTCTTTTTCAAAAACTACCCGCATGTGGAAGTTTCTCAAGGAGTTATACAAACAACCATGACAGTCAAACAATCAAGACGTTTAATAAAAAACAAAAACATCTATAACCTAAAAATCCAAATCAGTTTATTTCGAGACATTTAACTGTTACTCTATAAACACACACCTCATGCACACATACCCCCTTGGATCACATTATATTTTCATGCATGAAGAAAGGAGAAAAGTGAAAGAAGCAATAATAAATATGGACTACGGAACTGTGTTAGTGACTGGGGGTTAACATAGTTTTTACAAGTAGTTAAATATTAGTATGAAAGGATTATATATACAAAAGTTTGTTTGCCAAGCACATCGGCTCACACTTATAATCCCAGCATTTTCGGAGGCTGAGGTGAGCAGATCACTTGAGGCCAGGACTTCAAGACCAGCCTGGCCAACACAGCAAAACCCAGTCTCTACTAACACAAAAATTAGCCAGGCATGGTGGCACACATCTGTAGTCCCAGCTACTCGGGAGGCTGAGACATGAGAATCGCTTGGAACCCAGGAGGCGGAGGTTGCAGTGAGTCGAGACTGTGCCACTGCACTCCAGCCTGGGTGACAGAGGGAAACTTTGCCTCAAAAAAAAAGTTTGTTGTATGTATTCTTTTAAATACATACATGGAAATGGGTGCATATACACGCACATCAAATGAACTGTATACATACATATATAAACACACACACAGTAACAAATGTATACATAGGTACGTATTCATGTGTACACACACATACACACACACAAACCAAGGGTCCCTTTTCAACAAAATAAAGTTAGTTAACTAAGTTTACACACTGAGTTTTTAGATGGCACCTTCAAGTGAGTTTTTATGTTAAAATTTTTCCCTTGTTAGCATACTGTTTCTATGTAACTTGGGATCTGGGGGAGGGAAAAGACTGTTTTTCATGAAATAGAAACAACCTATGCCAAATGAAGCAGGTGTGAGATATCTCAAAGATGAAAGCAATTCTCCAAATAGCAACGTCATCCTGTAATGCTTTCTTGACATGTACAATTTTGCTATTCCTCTGACATTTATTACAAAGTACTGTGTTTGTGATCTTTCCTAACACAGATCAGTAGTGTGACTGGTGCTCATTTCTAGCAGCTTTTAGCACTGAGGAAAAAGTCAATTCAACACTGATGTCACTTAAAATGGGTAAGAAATCCAGCTACAGCAGAGGCTGCTGTGCCCCTTAAATGCTCTTTTCTTAAGACACTTTCTTCACAAGCAAATTAATTCTTAATGTAATTCTTTTATTCTGAAAACTGTTTATTACAAATCATCAGTTTTGAAATAATTCAAAGTGATCTCCCACCAAAAAAAGAAAACCCCACAAAGAAATAAATCATATTTACTTTTCTGTCCATTAAAAATATGCTGAAAGTGACACAGATGTACCTCTCAGAAATTTCTCATTATATTAAAACTTATCCACAATTTATGACAAGGAGTTTTACTAGAGAAAATATTAATTTCACCAGCTTAGTAATAATATCCAACATTTCATTTTCCTCCTGATATACCTATCAAATGGTTTTGGTATTTAAGCTCTTCTTTTTTTCAAAACAGAAGAAAATCTGTTAACTGAACTTTGTATCACCTAGTCCAGTGGTTCTCACACTTCAGAATGCATCAGAATCATGCAGAGGGTGTATAACACAAATTCTGGGCCTCACCCCAAGTTTCTGATTCAGAAGATCTCAAGTGGGGACTTAGATTCTGCATTTCTAGCAAGTTCCTAGGGAATGCAGCTGCTATTCGTGGAGGGACTGTACTTTGGGAACCAATGATCTACTCAGTATTTTCCTTCTTTTCATAATTTGCAAATTTGATAACGAGGAAATGATATGCTATATCCTTTAAAGACAGACATCTTTTGAGAACTTAGAATTAAAGAGAAATTGACAAAAAGGAAATCTAATCTAAGGCACAGCACAGCCCTCAAAGATGATCTAGTCTAGGATTCAGAAAACTTTTTCTGTAAAGAGTCAGATAATAAATAGCTTAGGCTTTATGGTCCATACAGTCTCTGTTACAACTACTCAACTCTGCCACTGTTGTGTGAAAGCAGACAGACAATACATAAATGAAAGAAAGTGGCTGCATGCCAATAAAGCTTTATTACAAAAACAGGCTGTGATCTGGATTAGGCCCACAGGTCATAGTTTACCAACTATTTTTTAAAAAAGGAAATCAATACCCAGAGAGATTAAACAACTTCAAAAGGCACAAGATAGCGAGTGGCAAAACTGCAACTAGACCTTCAGTGTCCTGATGTCTGATGTACTAAGGAAGCTACTGTTATAGTAATATTTTGATAAAGAACAGCCACAAATGGAATGCATTACAAAACCTCATGTAGCTTAATGATCAAAAAGAAAAAATGACTTTACTAAGCAAAAGAGCATCTCAGTTCTAGAATTAATGCCAGACATTCTTTTTTTTTTTTTTTTTTTTGAGATGGAGTTTCACTGTTGTTGACCAGGCTGGAGGGCAATGGCACGATCTTGGCTCACTGCAACCTCCACCTCCCGGATTCAAGCAATTCTCCTGCCTCAGCCTCCCGAATAGCTGGGATTACAGGCACCCACAACCATGCCCAGCTATTTTTTTTGTATTTTTAATAGAGATAGGGGTTTCATCATGTTGGCCTGGCTGGTTTTGAACTTCTGACCTCAGGTGATCCACCCGCCTCAGCCTCCCAAAGTGCTGGGATTACAGGCGTGAGCCACCGCACCTCGCTCAATGCCAAACATTCTTATTCTTATTATTACTTATAAATGGGAGGCTTCCACCATTGGACAACAATCTGGACTCTTGTCACATGGCTTCCTGCAGCCTACACTAGGTTGGAGCAGGGCCTACGCCAGTCAAGCCTTCTGTTCAGGGAGTGTGGAAAACAGAATCGAGGACTTCTCAGTTCTTACCCTCTTGGTCCTGCACCTTTCTCATCCCATCTGCAATCCATTTTATGCCATTCGTTAAAAAAATTCTTCCCAGTACTAAAATTATGGTTAAGAGCCAAAAGAGGTAGTAAACTATGAAACTTAAGTTAAAAACAATGCTTCTGTTCAAAGTTTTATTTTCATTCTAGTGATTAAATAATTATTAAGTTAAATATAATATTTAGCTAATAAAAGTAAAGCAGACATTTATCTTCACTACTTAGATACCTAAAAGTATACTATGCATACACACACAATACATTCACATATGAACACATACTCCCTATGCTTTCATAGTTGCCAAAGCTTTTACTCTTAAAACTGATTATTTAAATAAGCAATATATTTTAGCAATTAATAAAGTAAATTTTATGTATGGCCTTACAACTATTTTATGACAGTTTATTTTTAAAAATAAAGCAAATGCATGTATATCAGGAAAATAAAATAACTTGATTTTAAGTATCTGAGATAAAGTTTTGAACATGTTTGATGTACTCTAAACCATGCATGGAAAAGCATCTGTTATTTACAGATCAAAGCAAACCTGAGTATCCTAAAACAACTAGAGTGAAAAATTCCCAAATTTAATTTCATCCCTGTCCACATGCTTCTTTGAACTAATAATTCAGAGAATTGGTCAGTATGTTGAACTAATTAGCATGCTTAATGCTTGCCAACTTTGATGGCTCCAATTCTTTAAGAAATTTTTTTTTTATTTTCCAAGACGGAGTCTTGCTCTGCCACCCAGGCTGCAGTGCAATGGTGCGATCACGGCTCATTGCAACCTCCGCCTCCCGGGTTCAAGCTATTCTCCTGCCTCAGCCTCCTGAGTAGCTGGGATTACAGGTGCCTGCCACCATGCCCAGCTAATTTTTGTATTTTTATTAAAGATGAGGTTTCACCATGTTGGTCAGGCTGGTCTCGAACTCCTGACCTCGTGATCCACCCATCTCGGCTTCCCAAAGCTGGGATTACAGGCGTGAGCCACCGTGCCCAGACAAGAAATGGAATTTAAAAAATAGTTTTAAAAACACACACATGGCCGGGCACGGTGGCTTGCACCTGTAATCCCAGCACTTTGGGAGGCCAAGGCAGGCGGATCACGAGGTCAGGAGTTCAAGATCAGCCTGGCCAGCATGGTGAAACCTCGTCTCTATTAAAAATACAAAAAATCTTCGGGAGGCCGAGGTGGGCGGATCACGAAGTCAGGAGATCAAGAGCATTCTAGCTAACATGGTGAAACCCCGTCTCTACTAAACACACAAAAAATTAGCTGGGCTTGGTGGTGGGCACCTGTAGTCCCAGCTACTCAGGAGGCTGAGGCAGAAGAATGGCGTGAACCCGGGAGGCGGAGCTTGCAGTAAGCCGATCGTACCACTGCTCTCCAGCCTGGGCAACAGAGCGAGACTCCATCTCAAAAAAAAAAAAAAAACAAAAATACAAAAAATTAGACAGGTATGGTGGCATGCGCCTGTAATCCCAGCTACTCAGGAGGCTGAGGCAGGAGAATTGCTTGAACCCGGGAGGCAGAGCTTGCAGTGAGCTGAGATCGCGCCACTGCACTCCAGCCCAGCCAAAAGTGCGGGACTCCGTCTCAAAAAAAACACACAAGCAAATTTGAGAAAATGCAAAGGCCATCCAAGTTGGCAAAATCATATATACTGAATAATGCCTCAAGATGCCTCAAAACATGAGTGATGCCTGTTTAACATCCTCTGAGTTACAAAATAGGTTGTAAACTGTTTTGGGGTTTTTGATTTGCATGAGATAAATCAACTTTTTTTATTCTGTATCCAACCAGTTTTTATGAGATTCAGCATACGTCTAACTTTATTTTAATATAAAGAACAGCAGTAAAGTGTTTTTGATAAGAAGTTAACAGTTTATATTTTTTAATTGCAATGAGAGTAAATTCATTTGAGATCTTTTAAATGTAATCCTACAACTAAGAGCCAAAAGCAAAGTGGATTCTTTACTGTCCACAAACTGGAGCATCATGGTCATTTTTGCTACAAAGACTTTCCTAACAATTACGTGTGGTAATCAGTAAATGACCCATAGTAAATAGGTTACTACATAGTAGACAGAGTGTTAACTAGCTAATTACACCTTTTTCTTTTGTCCTACTGCTACATGAATTTTTTTAAAAGTTCTATTTAATGCTGATATTCTAAGACTACTCATTTCTATAATTTATATGAGAACATCACACAGAGCCTTCCAAACAAATTCCACCTTGACTCGCAATTTTATTTTCTCCCTCTAACTTGAGGAGTTATGCATGAAATAAATAAATAAACAAATACTACATGATTATCTCAATAGACACAGAAAAGGCTTTCAATAAAATTCAACACCACTTCATGTTAAAAACTCAGTAAATGACATGATCATATATCTAGAAAACCCCATAGTCCCGGCCCAAAAGCTCCTTATGCTGATAAACAACTTCAGCAGAGTCTCAGGATACAAAATCAACGTACAAAAATCACTAGCATTCCTATACACCGGCAAGCCAAGAGACCTATCAGGAATGAACTCCCATTCACAACTGCCACAAAAAGAACAAAATACCTAGAAATCCAGCTAACCAAGGAGGTGAAAGATACTACAAGGAGAACTAGAAAACACTGCTCAGAGGTATCAGAGATGACACAAGCAAATGAAAAAACACTCCATGCTTATGAGTAGGAAGAATCAATATTGTGAAAACGGCCATACTGCCCAAAGCAATTTATATAATAGATTCAACCCTATGCCTATTAAACTACCACTGACATTCTTCACGGAACTAGAAAAAAACTATTTTAAAATTCATATGGAACAAAAAAAAAGAGCCCAGGTAGCCAAGGTAATCCTAAGCAAAAAGAACAAACTTAAAGGCCTCACACTACCAGACTTCAAGCTCTATTACAGGGCTACAACTCCATTACTGAGTATATACCCAAAGGAATATTAATCCTTCTATCATAAAGACACATGCACACGTATGTTCACTGCAGCACTATTCACAACAGCAAAGACATGGAATCAACCTAAATGCCCGTAATAAAACACTGGATAAAGGAAATGTGGTACATATATACCATGAATACTATACAGCCGTAAGAAAAAACGACATCACTTCCTTTGCAGGAATATGGATGATGCTAGAGGCCATTATCCTTTGCAAACTAATGCAGAAAGAGAAAACCAAATACCACATGTTCTCATTTATAATTGCGAGCTAAATGATGAGAACACATAGATCCACGGAGGGGAATAAGAGACACTGCAGCCTATCGGACGGTGGAGGCTGGGAGGAGGGAGAGGATCAGGAAAAAAAAAAAAAACTAATGGGCACAAGACTTAGTACCTGGGTGGCAAAATAATCTGTACAACAAACCTCCATGACACAAGTCTCCCTACATAACAAACCAGTACATGTACCCCTGAACCTAAAGTAAATTTAAATTTTAAAAAAAAAGAATTAACAAAAATCCCAACCCCAAAGGGGTGTTTGGTGTATATGATTTCATGAAGAAAGCCCAGGCTCAATGTTTTAGTACCATTCAAAGTACAAGTAAAAAATACTCCTTAAAGGCAGTTAAGCACACTTTTTAAAAATAACGCTTTCCGCGTTGGCTCCAGCAGCACATACACTAAAATTGGAACAATACAGAGAAGATTAGCATGGGCCCTGTGCAAGGATGACATGCAAATTCGTGAAGCTTTCCACATTTTTAGAACTTCATAAAGTATACACAAGTATTAATAGCCAAATAGATCAAGCAGAAGAAAGGATATCAGAGACTGAAGATCAACTTAATGAAATAAAATGTGAAGACAAGATTAGAGAAAAAAAGAATGAAAAGGAACAAACAAAGCCTCCAAGAAATATAGGACTATGTGAAAAGACCAAACCTACGTTTGATTGGCACACCTCAAAGTGACGGGGAGAATGGAACAAAGTTGGAAAATACTCTGCAGGATATTATCCAGGAGAACTTCCCCAACCTAGCAAGAGAGGCTAACATTCAAATTCAGGAAATTCAGAGAACACCACTAAGATACTCCTCGAGAAAGAGCAACATAATCGTCAAGATTCACAAAGGTTGAAATGAAGGAAAAAATGTTAAGGGCAGCCAGAGAGAAAGGTCGGGTTACCCACAAAGGGAAGCCATCAGACTAACAGCAGGTCTCTCTGCAGAAACCCTACAAGCCAGAGGAGAGTGGAGGCCAATATTCAACATTCTTAAAAGAATTTTCAACCCAGAATTTCAAATCCAGCCGAACTAAGCTTCATAAGCAAAGGAGAAATAAAATCCTTTATGGACAAGCAAATGCTGAGAGACTTTGTCACCACCAGGCCTGGCTTATGGGAGCTCCTGAAGGAAGCACTAAATATGGAAAGGAACAACTGGTACCAGCCACTGCAAAAACATACCAAATTGTAAAGACCGTCAACACTACGAAGAAACTGCATCAATTAATAGGTTATTTTGCCTAGCATCGTAACAACAGGATCACATTCACACATAACAATATTAATCTTAAATGTAAACAGGCTAAATGACCCCAACTAAAAGACACAGAATGGCACACTGGATAAAGAGTGAAGACCCATCAGTGTGCTGTATTCAGGAGGCCCATCTCATGTGCAAAGACACAAATAGGCTCAAAATAAAAGGATGGAGGAATATTTACCAAGCAAATGGAAACCAAAAAAAATCAGCGGTTGCAATCCTAGTCTCTGACGAAACAGACTTTAAACCAACAAACATAAAAAAAGACAAAGAAGGGCATTATGTAGCGGTAAAGGGATCAACGCAACAAGAAGAGCTAACTATCCTAAATACATATGCACCCAATACAGGAGCACCCAGATTCATAAAGCAAGTTCTTAGAGACCTACAAACAGACTTAGATGCCCACACAACAACAGTGGGAGACTTTAACACCAACTGTCAATATTAGACAGATCAACAAGACAGAAAATTAACAAGGATATTCAGGACTTGAACTCAGCTCTGGACCAAGGGGACCTAATAGACATCTACAGAACTCTCCACCCCAAATCAAAAGAATATACATTCTTCTGAGCAACACATCGCACTTATTCTAAAATTGACCACATAATTGGAAGTAAAACACTCCTCAGCAAATGTAAAAAAATGGAAATCATCATAGTCTCTCAGATCACAGTGCAATCAAATTAGAACTCAGGATTAAGAAACTCATTCAAAACCGCACAACTACATGGAAACTGAACAACCTGCTCCTGAATGACTACTGGTTACAAAACGAAATTAAGGGAGAAATAAATAAGTTCTTTGAAACTGATGAAAGCAAATACACAACGTACCGGAATCTCTGGGACACAGCTAAAGCAGTGTTTTAGACGCATATTTATAGCACTAAATGCCAACAGGAGAAAGCAGGAAAGATCTAAAATAGACATGCTAACATCACAATTAAAAGAACTAGAGAAGAGCAAACAAATTCAAACGCTAGCAGAAGACAAGAAATAACTACGAGCAGAAATGAAGGAGAAAGAGACACAAAAAAACCCCCCAAAAACACAATTAATTTAGGAGCTGATGTTTTGAAAAGGTTAACAAAATAGACCACTAGCCAGACAAATAAAGAAGAAAAGAGAGAAGAATCAAACAGACACAATAAAAAGTGATAAAGGGGATATCACCACTGAACCCACAGAAATACAAACTACTATCAGAGAATACTATAAACACCTCTATGCAAATAAACAAGAAAATGTAGAGGAAATGGATAAATTCCTGGACCCATACACCCTCCCAAGACTAAACCAGGAAGAAGGTGAATCTCTGAATAGACCAATAACAGGCTCTGAAATTGAGGAAGTAATTAATAGCCTACAAACCAAAAAAGGCCCAGTACCAGACGGATTCACAGCCGAATTCTACCAGAGGTACAAAGAGGAGCTGGTACCATTCCTTCTGAAACTATTCCAAACAATAGAAAAAGAGGGGCTCCTCCGTAATTCATTTTATGAGGCCAACATCATCCTGATACCAAAACCTGGCAGAGACACAACAAAAAAAGAAAATTTCAGGCCAATAACCCCGATGAACATGAATGTGAAAATCCTCAATAATATACTGGCAAACCGAATCCAGCAGCACACCGACAAGCTTATCCACCATGATCAAGTCAGCTTCATCCCTGGGATACAAGGCTGGTTCAACATATGCAAATCAACAAATGTAATCCATTACATAAACAGAACCATGACAAAAACCACATGATTATCTCAAATGATGCAGAAAAGGCCTTCAATAAAATTCAACATCTCTTCATGCTAAAAACTCTCAATAAACCAGGCATTGATGGGACGTATCTCAAAATATTATGAGCTGTTTATGACAAAACCACAGCCTGTATCATATTGAATGACCAAAAGCTGGAAGCATTCCCTTTGAAAACTGACATAAGACAAAGATGCCCTCTCTCACCACTCCTATTCAACAGAGTATTGGAAGTTCTGGCCAGGGCAATCAGGCAAGAGAAACAAATAAACGGTATTCAAATAGGAAGAGAGGAAGTCAAATTGTCTCTGTTTGCAGATGACATAATTGTACATTTGGAAAACCCCATCGACTCTGCCCAAAATCTCCTTAAGCTGATAAGCAACTTCAGCAAAATCTCAGGATACAAAACCAATGTGCAAAAATCACAAGCATTTCCATACACCAATAATAGATAAACAGCCAAATAATGAGTGAATTCCCATTCACAATTGCTATAAAGGAAATAAAATACCTAGGACTACAACTTACAACAGATGTGAAGGACCTCTTCAAGGAGAACTACAAACCACTGCTCAAGGAAATAAGAGACCACACAAATAAATGGAAAAACATTCCATGCTCATGGATAAGAAGAATCATTAACGTGAAAATGGCCATACTGCTCAAAGTAATTTATAGATTCAATGTTATTCCCATCAAGCTACCATTGACTTTCTTCACAGAATTAGAAAAAACTACTTTAAATTTCATACGTAATCAAAAAAGAGCCTGCATAGCCTAGTCAATCCTAAGCAAAAGAACAAAGCTGGAGGCATCACGCTACCTGACTTCAAACTATACTACAAGGCACAGTAAACCAAAACAGCATGGTACTGGTACCAAAACACATATACAAACCCAAGGGACAGAACAGAGGCCTCAGAAATAACGCCACACATCTACAACCATCTGATCTTTGACAAACCTGAAAAAAGCAATGGGGGAAGGATTCCCTACTTAGTAAATGGTGTTGGGAAAACTGGCTAGCCATAAGCAGAAAACTCAAAATGGACCCCTTCTTTACTCTTTATACAAAAATTAACTCAAGATGGGTTAAAGACTTAAACGTTAGACCTAAAACCATAAAAACCATAGAAGAAAACCTAGGCAATACCATTCAGGACACAGGCATGGGCAAAGACTTCATGACTAAAACACCAAAAGCAATGGCAACAAAGCCAAAATTGACAAAGGGGATCTAATTAAACTAAAGAGCTTCTGCACAGCAAAAGAAACTATCATCAGAGTGAATAGGCAACCTACAGAATAGGAGAAAATTTTTGTAATCTATCCCTCTGACAAAGGGCTAATATCCAGAATCTACAAGGAACTTAAATTTACAAGAAAAAAACAAACAACCCCATCAAAAACTGGGCAAAGGATATGAACAGACACTTCTCAAAAAAAGACATTTATGTGGCCAACAAACATATGAAAAAATGCTCATCATCAATGGGCATTAGAGAAATGCAAATTAAAACCACAATGAGATACCATCTCATGCCAGATAGAATGACAATCATTAAAAAGTCAGGAAACAACAGATGCTGGAGAGGATGTGGAGAAATAGGAATGCTTTTACACTGTTGGTGGGAGTGTAAATTAGTTCAACCATTGTGGAAGACAGTGTGGCAATTCCTCAAGGATCTAGAACCAGAAATACCATTTGACCCAGCAATCTCATTACTGGGTATATACCCAACAGATTATATATCATTCTACTATAAAGACACATGCACAAGTATGTTTATTGCGGCACTATTCACAACAGCAAAGACTTGGAACCAACCTAAATGCCCATCAATGATAGACTGGATAAAGAAAATGTGGCACATATACATCATTGAATACTATGCAGCCATAAAAATGGATGAGTTCATGTCCTTTGCAGGGACATGGATGAAGTTGGAACCCATCATTCTCAGCAAAGTAACACAGGAACAGAAAACCAAACACTGCATGTTCCCACTCATAAGTGGGAGTTGAACAATGAGAACACATTGACACAGGGAGGGGAACATCACACACTGGGGCCTGTCGAGGGGTAGGGGATGGCTACAGGAGGGATAGCATCAGGATAAATACTTAATGTATAAGACGGGTTGATGGTTGCAGCAAACCACCATGGCACATGTATACCTATGTAACAAACCTGCACATTCTGCACATGTATCCCAGAACTTAAAGTTTAATTTTTTTAAAAAAAATGCTTTCCAATGTCAACATATCAATTCCTTTACTCTACCCTTCCTTTTTCTAAGTTGTCTAAAAGGACTGCCCAGAATTCAACTCATTCAGAGACAGGGATTCACTCCTTCACTGTCTATTTGTTCTTATCTTGTCAGTACTCCAACACTTTAAAATATCCAATTACTGAGTGTTCAACTACTAATGAACTGCTTTACAAATATCCATGAATTTCCACACACAAATAGGAGAAGCTGTCTAGGGGCAGAATCTCTCTCCTCTGTCCCATCCACACATGGCTAATTCTACACCTCTGTACCCTACACTTACTCTATAAATGTTTTCTGGTGAACTAAAAATTACTGGGTCACCACTTCAGTAACAATATTATTCTCAAAACTACAGCAAACGTTTGAGTGATAGTGTACAAAGAAAATTTCTATAATCTGTCCTCTGCATTAAAAACTTCACATTAATTCCATGATTTTTAGAGTTTCAATTCTAAGAAGGCAGTGCTACAATAAGAAGCAAATAATTTAGGTTCTAGGTTTATTTCAGCACAAAGTAAACAGTAATCTTAGCAACTCACTTCAGATTATGTATTTTATAGGATATTGTAAGGAAGACAACTCAAAGCAAAGATCCTTCGTGCTTGGATAAAACAAAATACACAGCACCTTTTCCTCATTCCCGTAGGTGAATGTTGAAATTATTTTTACTACATGATAATGCAACAGCAAGAATTTTAAAAACTAATGGCACAATCTATATAAGGAAGTAATAGTAACTATATTATGAATCAAAAAAGAGGAAGAACTGAGCTTCTAATCCACTGTCTACATATTAACAGTATAGTAATGCAAGAGAAAATAGGCATGTTCAGAAAAATAGAGACAGAAAAAAAGTGAAAGATACCGAATTATTGAACTGTAAAAACAGTGACTAAAAAGTCAGTCCTTTCTATCACTTAAAAAAGAAAAAGGAACAAAGAGATGTTTTAGGAGAGAAAAGACAGAAAACAGTTTGAGATTTTTTTTTTTTTTTTTTGAGACGGAGTCTCGCTCTGTCGCCCAGGCTAGAGTGCAATGGCGTGATCTGGGCTAACTGCAAGCTCCGCCTCCCAGGTTCACGCTATTCTCCTGCCTCAGCCTCCTGAGTAGCTGGGACTACAGGCGCCTGCCACCACGCCTGGCTAATTTTTTGTATTTTTAGTAGAGATGGGGTTTCTCCGTGTTAGCCAGGATGGTCTCAATCTCCTGACCTCGTGATCTGCCCACCTCAGCCTCTCAAAGCACTGGGATTGCAGGCGTGAGCCACCGCACCCAGCCTGCTTTGAGACTTTTTTAAGATAGCCATCATATCAATTAAAAAAAACAAACAGGCCAGGCACGGTGGCTCATGCCTGTAATCCCAGCACTTCAGGAGGCTGTGTTGGGCAGATCACATGAGGCCAGGGGTTCAACACCAGACTGGCCAACATGGTGAGACCCCGCCTCTATTAAAAATACAAAAATTAGCAGGGCATGGTGGTGCACACCTGTAATCCCAGCTACTCAGGTGGCATTTGAATCCAGAAGGGAGGCTGCAGTGAGCTGAGATCACGCCACTGCACCCCAGCCTTGGTGGCAGAGCAACACCCTTGTCTCGAGAAAAAGAAAATTAAATTAAAAAACGAAGGGAAAGGTCTCAGAAAATCAAAACATCATCTTTCAAGACTGGGATATTCAAAAATATGAAAACAAACACCTAAATAAAGAAAAATAAAGACATTGCTTGGAACCTATATATACAGATTCCTTAATATATATATTTCTTCCAGCTACAGACCCATACAAATCTGGCCAACTGATTTTTTTAAAAGATGCAAAAGCATTTCAGTGAGGAAAAAAAAAATCTTTTCAACAAATGCTGTTAGAATAACTAGACATCTATATATGCAAAAAACAAACTTTGAGCTAAACCTCACCCCTTAAATAAAAATCAACTCAAAATGGATTATAGATGTAAATGTAAAACATAGAGCTATAAAACTTTTAGAAGAAAACATGGGAGAAAACCTTAATGACTTAGAGTTAGGCAGAGTTCCTAGAGATGACATCCAAAGTACAATTCATAAAAGAAAAAATGAACTGAACTTTACCAAAATTTAAAACTTTAACTTTGCAAATAATACTGTTTAGAGAAATTACAAGTTACAGATTATTAGAAAATACTGCAAATCACCTAAGGGCAAAGGATGAGCATTCCAAATATATAAAGAACTTTCGAAACTCCCAAAGAAACCGTACAATTAAAAATGAGAAAAAGACTGAACAGATACTTCACGATAAAAAGATGCAAGGATGCCAAATAAGCATATGAAAAGATGTTCAACATCATTAGCCATTAGGGAACTGAAAATTAAAACCACTATGAGAAACAGCATCAACTCCTGGGAGTAGTTTGTTGGTCTTCCCTGCATTATTTCCCCTCTAGTAAGGGCAGGGTGCTTGTTTCTGTGGTTAGCTCCCAGAAGGGCAATGTGGTTCGTTCCAGGCCTCAGAAACACCAGAATACATCTGGCTTCAAATATAACAAGTTTTGGGCCAGGCGTGGTGGCTCATGCCTGTAATCCCAGCACTTTGGGAGGCCAAGGCAGGTAGATCACTTGAGGTCAGGAGTTGGAGATCAGCCTTGCTAACAGGGTAAAACCCCATCTCATTTAAAAATACAAAAATTAGCCAGGAGTGCTGGTGGGTGCCTGTAGTCCCAGCTACTCAGGAGGCTGACGCTGGAGAACCACTTGAACCCGGGAGGCAGAGGTTGCAGTGAGCCATGACTACACCACTGCACTCCAGCCTGGGATTATTTAAAAGAATTTATTACCTAGTATTACCAAACTAAACAAGATTCAGAATTGATAGCTGTATAAGAACTACCTTATGTAAAAGTAAGATGACATTATATTGGTAGCCTCAAAAATTGGTCCTCAGTAAGTGCCTTTGATAAATTTATCTCAGGTAAACAACTCACATAGCAAAAATCCCCTTACTTCGCTTGTTACAAAGCAAATGCAGGGTTTTTTAAAAAAAATAATAATAATGTTTAACAAGTGGATAGCAATCTTTCTTTGAAAGTATTTTTATATACCTCATTACACTGTTTTTACCTTTCTTCTCCTGTGAAATATGTATATGAAAAATGCATATAATTCATATGGATTGTTTAATAGATAATTATAAAGGAAAGCTCACACATTTACTCAGGTAAAGAAATGACCAGCACCAGAAGACCCCTACTAGGCTCTTCCTCAGCAAAAGTTCATCCTTCTTCCCAGAGTTGGTACTATCCTTAATTGTGGTATTTTCTTATCATTTTACTACCCATGTTTGTACTCCAAAACCATATAAATTAGCTTTAATCTGATTTTTAACTCTTTCCTATCCTTTTATGTTGAAAAATCTCAAACCTACAAAATGGTAACAAAATAGCTCAATGAATTTTTGCATATTCTTCACCCAGATTCCCAAATATTATTAACCTTTCGCCGTGTTTTCTTGATATCTCAATAGATGGATATAAATATATATTTGCTGCACCATTTGAAAATGTGGCAAGCACTGCTTCTGAACTGTGTATGAGCACTTACCCTATATGACTTTGCATCTCTTGTTATGAAATTTGTTGAGATTGATCCATGTTGTTGCAAGAGCTGCAGTTTGTTCTTTTTACACTACTGTGTATTATTCCATGCACTTACATATCATAGTTTATTTTTTCTCATATTGAGAAACATTTATCTCAAATTGTTCCTGTTATAAACAATATTGATATGCATATTGTTGCATGTGTCTCTTGGTGCACATGTGCATTTCTGTTAGGTATACACCTGCCAGTGGTGGAGAAAATCAGCTTATATGGATCTTCAGTTTTACTGTATCATATGAAACTATTTTTTCAGAAGGACTTTATTCCCTCTCTGATAGCAATGGATTAGAGTTCCAGCACTCAGCATTCTTTCTAACATTGCTCTATTGCCCAGACTGGAGTACAGTGGCATAATCTAAGCTCATTGCAGCCTCCACTTCCTGGGCTCAAGTGATTCTCCCACCTCAGCCTCCCAAGTAAATGGGACTATGGGTGTGCACCACCACAGGCAGCAATTTTTTAAAAATTTTTTGTAGGAACATGGTCTCACTATGTTGCCCAGGCTAGTCTCAAACTCCTGGGCTCAAGTGACCCTCTTGCCTCAGCCTCCCAAAGTGCTGGGATAACAGGCATGAGCCACCATGCCCAGTCTATCCCGAAATATTTAAGTGTGTAATATTAATTGACTTTAAAATATTTTAGCATAAAAAAGTGAAGACACAGATAACATTTCAGTGGCATCAGAAAATATTACCTAGGAATAAATTAAGAAAATTCAAAACGGTCAACAAATTTATAAAGTATTATCGAAACATTAAAGAAAATGGAGATTAAAGTAAATGGAGATACCATGTTCAAGAGATAGAAGTCTCAATATTCTAAACTTAGAGTCTTATAGAAAGTTTCTCTCTCATAAATATGTGTGGTTCTTTTTTGCAAATAAATTTATTTTCTGGACTATTTAACTTTTGTGATTCAAGAGTCAACTAAGATTAAAACAATAATAAATAAAACCATTATGGGGTATTATTACACACCTACTAAAATGGCTAAAATAAAAATCCTGACAGTAATCAAGTGCTAACCATATACTGCTGGTGGGGATGTAAAATTGTACAGCCACTACAGAAAAGAGTTTGGGCCAGGCACAGTGGCCTAATAACCCCAGCACTTTGGGATGCCAAGGTAGGCAGACTGCTTGAGCCCAGGAGTTTGAGACCAGCCTGGGCAACGTGGTGAAACCCCATCTCTACAAAAAAATACAAAAATTAGCCAGGTATGGTGGTACATGTCTATAGTCCCAGCTTCTCAGGAAGCTGAGGTAGGAGGATCACTTGAGCCCGGGAAACAGGTTGCAGTGAGCCAAGACTGCGCCACTGCACTCAGCCTGGGTTAACACAGTGAGACCTTGTCTCAAGAAAAAAGAAAGAAAAGAAAAGAGTTCACAGTTTCTAATAAAGCTAAATATACACTCACCACATGGCCCAGCAAACCCATTCCTGCATTTCTACCCTAGAAAAATGAAAATGATGTTCACACAAAAACTTATACATGACTATTAACAGGAATTCTCTTAATAATGATACCAAAAGAAGTCAAATGTCCTTCAATAGATCAAAGGATAAACCATAATTTTTGTATTCCACTATACGTCCTAACAATGGAATACCACCCTGCAATAAAAAGGAAGAAACTATTGATACATGCAATAACTGGGATGAATCTCAAAGGCATTACGCTGAGTGACAGAAGGCAATCTGTAAAGGCTGTATATTCTGTAATGCCATTTAAATGACATTCTCAAACAGAAAAAACTATAGTGATGGAGAACAGATCGCTAAAGTTGCCAGCAGTAGGAAGCAGGGAAATGGGTATGCATCGGCTAGCAGAAGGGACTTTGGGGTGATGGAAATGTTCTGTATCTTGATTGTGATGATGGCTATACAAATCTATACGTACGCTGAATTCACAGCACTGAACACCGGAAAGAAGTTTACAGTATAATTCTTAAAATAAATCATAATTCTGTGTTCTTCTTGCCTGATGTAAATATATGAAATGGGAAAGATGAAATAATTTAATTTTTTTTTCTGCCCAATAAAAGAGCCTAGATGCAATGATACACCTATAGTTTCTAAATACCACTCCCCACCAGAAGGAATCAAGGCCCCCTTGGGGAGGGGCTGATTACAGGACTGGGGCAGGGAGAGTACAAGGTAAGACTAAGATACCTTGCTACACCAGCAAGGAGGTTCTCAAAGACTAATGGGGGCCTGGCACAGTGGCTCATGCCTGTAATCTCAGCACTTTGGGAGGCCAAGGTGGGCGACTCCCTTGAGGTCGGGAGTTCGAGACTAGCCTAGCCAACATGGTGAAACTCCAACTCTACTAAAAATGCAAAATCAGGCCGGGCGCGGTGGCTCACGCCTGTAATCCCAGCACTTTGGGAGGCCGAGGCGGGTGGATCATGAGGTCAGGAGATCGAGACCATCCTGGCTAACAAGGTGAAACCCCGTCTCTACTGAAAATACAAAAAATTAGCCGGGCGCGGTGGCAGGCGCCTGTAGTCCCAGCTACTCGGGAGGCTGAGGCAGGAGAATGGCGTGAACCTGGGAAGCGGAGCTTGCAGTGAGCCGAGATTGCGCCACTGCAGTCCGCAGTCCGGCCTGGGCGACAGAGCGAGACTCCGTCTCAAAAAAAAAAAAAAAAAAAAAAAAAATGCAAAATCAGTTGGGTGTGGTGGTGCGTGCCTGTAATCCCAGTTACTCGGGAGGCTGAGGCAGGAAAATCGCTTGAACCTGGGAGGCGGAGGTTGCAGTGAGCTGAGATCATGCCACTGTACTCCAGCCTGGGCAACAGAATGACACTCCATCTCAAAAAAAAAAAAAAAAAAGGACTAACGGGGAAATGTCACATGAACACAGAAGTAGGCTGAAGAGGCTCCCCACTGGACAAATATGGGACAGTTTAAGTATCAAAAGAATAATACTAATGGTAATAGACTATAATTACCGAACAAAAAAAGAATCCATGACTATGGTGGTGATTGCACACACTTATGAATATAGTAAAATCCCTTGAACTGTCACTTTAAACGAGTAAACTGTCTGGTACATGAATTCTAACTCAATTAGGCTATTTTTTTAAAATCCATGAGTCCATGGGGATTTTTTAAAAAGGATCTGGAGGGCAAGGGAGGAAACTCTTCCCTACAGAAGAATGCCAGCTAACAAATTCATAGAAAAATGACAGTATTAGGAAAATCATTATTTTGCAATCACCAATGTAACAAATGCTTCAGACAAGAAGTATCCACAGATGTTAAAACTATTTATTGGGGAATGGGATAATCACTTGTTCTCAAAATATTACCGCATAGATTGCCTCTTAACATCAAAGGATAATTGAACCTTTAGTGTATAACAAACGAAAACAACTTAATCAAACCATTAAACTCACCAAGTGTAAGACTTTTTGTGCCTCCTGGTATAACTCAATGAGAAACACCCCAAAATACTTAGGTATTCATATAAAAAAACCAATTAACCTGAGTCTAATCATAAGGAACTCAGATAATCCAGATTATGGGACCGTTTACAGGATAAATATCTCGGACTCTACAAAAGTCTATGTCATGGAGGAAATAAAAAAGGTTGGGGACCCTGACAACCAAATGCAATGTATTTGTTCACTTGTATCCTGAGTAGAGAAAGAAGCTGTAAGGCTTTTATCACTGGGACATCAGGGAAATTGACCACATATTAGATAATATTAGTTAGTGAATATTAAATTTCTTGGGTGTGATAATGGCATTGTAGTTATGAGAAGTAGGACTCCATTCTTAGGAGACATGCTGAAATACTAAATGATAAGTGTCAAATTGTCTGCTACTTACTTAAAATATTTCAGGAAAAAAAAGAGGAAGAAAGAGGAGCAGAGCAGATTAAGCAAAATGTTAACTGGTGAATCCTGGGGAAAAAAAATACACGTTTTACCTTTTCTATAAATTGTAATTTTTCAAAAAAGCTGGAAAGGCAGAAAAAAAAGAAAAAGGTGGTGTTACTATGCATTTCAAACTTCCTCACTCATACCTCAAAGAGTAGAAAGGAAATAAATATGCTGTTACTAGACGAGCGTTAAGAGTTCAAAGAATTCAGAGACCAACTCTGCCTTCCACTAACAGTGTTTCGTGCTTTATGTAGATCAAGTTACACCACCAAAGGTCAGCTTTCTCACTGGTATTAAACAGAGAAATGTCTGTTAGCATATAAAATGGTTTACAAGGTAGATGAACATTACAGATTGACTGGGAATCATGACAAGGTATTCAAGAGGTACTTACTTTCCAATTACTCAGTTGGCAATAATGATTGAGAATTACTGTGAAGATTAAATGAAAAAAATATATATGAAAAGTACCTCATCTGGCATATGGCAGATGCTGGATAAATTCAACCTACTTTCTCCTTCAAATACAGAAAAATAATGTGGTAAGAACTTATCACTTACCAAGAGGCAACTATATACCAGACCTTTGGTGTCTTCACTTCATCAAAACTTAATGATTGAGATGTGTTGTTCTCACTACTTTTTCAAACTAATATTAAATGTCTAAAAGGATGAGAAAACCTTGGAAAACCATTGTGTGAACAAAAAGATAAATCAGCAGAGTCTAATTATCACAAGATCTTTGTTAGTCAACATGAAACATAGCATAGCTGACTGTGAACACAGATACTATTGGTATCCTCTACCAGGTAAATGACATGTTTGTCATTTACCCTGTGAAGGATAATAAATTTTGTCCCGAAGTGATTTTTAACTTAGTCATCATTCCATTCTCTGAAACAGAAGTATGGAAAAATTCACTGATAATAGGAAAGACTTACAATACGTGGATCAAGACACAGGCAAGCTGTATCAGAAACTTGGTAATCAGTTTGTAAGACTCCCACAGATCAATTTAACCACTTATTTCCAAAACATAATCAGGATACACACTAAACTAATAAGATCAAAATACTTTTCTAAGAATCATAACATTAACATAATTCCTTCCTACTATAAAAAACAAACCAGTGAAACACATTTGAGGCCAAAGAATCATGAGAATGGTTATCATCGGCTGTCTTTAATGAGATATTTGTAAAATAATAGGCACTAGAGAAAGATAATTACCTGACCCCACCTCCCCAAAAAAATCAGAATCAAATAAAAGCCTTCAAACAAATGGACTAAATTCTTATATTTTTCATATCTGAAAGCATTTTCATTCAATGAGGACACTGTAGCACCAGGTGTAAGTTTAACAGAGGCAGAGCTGTTGGCAAAACCTGGGCTGCCTGACCACAAAGCCCTGGTCTGAACCACTATGCTATGCGGCCTTCAGGAAACAGCAAATCTGACCCAAGAATAGAAGCCCAAACACAGTGAATATTAACACAGGATTAGAACAGGAGAATGAAAGATTCCAAGATTCCCAGGGTAAAAGGGGACTCAGGACAAAAGACAGTATGTTTTCAAAGTTGTCATACCTAAAAATAATGCAAATAATGCCTTTTTCATACAGAAAAGGCAATTAGAAACTCCAAGAAAAAAAGACAAGCTCATGCCCCAAATGTTGGAAATTAAATTTTAGCAACTGATAGAGTGCAAGAAGGTCTATTTGATTCTGATGCTGAAACCATCTCTCAGGGTGTAAGTCCCACACACAAAAAAAAATACAGCCTTAGCACACTACATGGTCTGATCATTCATGAAGTCTTCTCAATAATACAAACACTAGTTCACCGGTACTCCACTTTTAGAATCAATACAGAAGAGCTATGAAAGAAGTGACTGAGGGTAAAAGACAGGATGAAATTGTCAACCCTCTTGACAATGTACAATGAAAGTATAGTTGAGAGAAGTCTTTCCAGAAAGTGAAATTTGCAGGTTAAGGAGGACAAGGTGGCAAAAAGAAAGCAACAGCCTCATCATGTCAAGAGAAAGTTGTAAGATGCAGAAAGTTCGTAGGATAAGAAATAAAGAAACGAATATATAACTTAAAGTTTCTAAAATGAACAGAGGAATGAAATTTATATAACTGGAATGCTAGGATGAGACAGGGTTGGGGAAGAACATAATGTGAGCTTAATCACATCTTCCATCCCAAAGACTCAACAAACTTTATCTACTGACAAATTTTAAAACAGACATTTAAATAATATATTATCTGAAAGCACCGATGAAATAAGAACTAAAAATAAAACAGTTAAAATTTTAAAAAATAAAAAATAAAGGCTACCTCTAGAGAGTGGAACCAGAATGGAGAGGGATGGGCAGGAGACTGTTGTTTTTCATCTTAAGTCCTTCTACATTATTTGGGTTGTTACTAATTGCATATATTATTTTAATACAAGTTAACAATAAAAGAAATTAAATTTTAAATTTAACTTGTCATTATTTTAGAAGATGACTCTAAAAACAAGTACTTCATACAATGTCCAAATGTGGCATTTTAGTTTGTTTTTTAAAAACAAACTCTCATAAAAGTTGCATAAATAGCAGAGTTCACATATATGCTGGCTTCTCTAATGTTAATAAATTAACTACAGTACACTTATCAAAACCAGCTACCAGTTTTGCTGCAATGCTAATAGCTAAATTACAGATTTTGAATGTTACCAGTTTTTCCCAAAATCTTTTCTGTTCCAGGATCAAATCCAGGATCCTACACTGCATTTACTTGTTGTGTCTCCTTAGTCTTCTCTTATTTGTGGCAGTTCTTTCATCTTTCTTTATCATAACTTTGACAATTCTGTACAATGTCTCTCAATCTCGGTTTGTGTGATGTTTTCTCATGATCACACTGAGATTATGCATCTTTGGCAAGAAGACCAAAGAAGTGACATTGTGTCCTTCTTGGTGCATTATATTAGAGATGTATGATGTTAATATAATCTTATTACTGGTGATGCTAATCTTGATCACTTGGATAAAATAGTGACTGCCAGTCTTTCCAACTGTAAAATTACTATTTTCCCCTTTGTAAGTGATAAATAGCTTTGGGGAAATACTTCTAGACTATGATATTCGTTTTTTAAAATAAATGACAAATAAAGATTATATATATTAAAGTGAGCAATGTGATGATTTGATACACAATGTGTAATGATTACCACAATCAAATTAATTAACACATCCATCACTTTTCATGCTGTACCTTAAATACCCAGAACCTGCTGATCCTATAACTGACAATTTGTACCCTTTGAACAACATCTCCCCATTTACCCACCCCCTAACACCCGAGAACCATGGTTCTACTCTCTGCTTCTATGAATTTTACTTTCTTAGTTTACACATATAATACAATATTTGTCTTTCTGTTATGACACTCATTTTTGATACATTATACATATTTACAGTTATCTTTTAGAGATGCATAGTGACGTATTTCTGGATGAAATCAGAATGTCTGGTATTTGCTTCAATATCATACAGACATGTGGGAAGCAGGGTTTGGTATAGATGGAACAATACTGCTCAAGAGCTGGTAATTGATGAGACTACAGGGATTCATTTTAGTAATCTTTTTTGTGTGTCTTTAAATTTTTCCATGGTAAAAGTTTTAAAAAATTAGAACCCAAATAAATACAACTCCATGTACATATGTATCAAAAGATAACACAAATTTATCCATTCAGGTATCTTGATCGGAAAACACTATTATGCTTAAATTTACATTTTCTAATTTGAACCTTTTTTTTTTTTTTTCAAACAGTGCCAGGAAGCAGCTTCCAAGTTCATGCTGAGGTTTTTGCCACCAACATTTAAAATACAGGCATTGTGCGCCCTCTAGTGCGTTCTTCTATAATGTCAGTTTTGCACTGACAAGTTGAATAACAAAAAGCAGAGTATATTCAAAAAGGGAAAAAAAAAAATCCTCACAAAAATTTCTGCTTCTCCACTAGTCAATAAATTATCTGCTAGTTACTTGGCTATGTATACCAAAACCACTTCAAGGCCAAAGATTATCAACCTTTTCCCACCTACTCTACTGTTTCTCAGAACATATGATGCAGCACAGGGAACAAAAAAGGACAGACTACAATCAGTCAAAACATTTTTAAGCACCCCTCACAAAGGCCAGACGAAAAAGGATGCTGAAATCAATATTAATGGCTGTTTTAGAAGCATCTCATTGTGTTCTGCCCATACAAACAGTTCCATTTCTATCCTTTAGAATCCTCTAACACTCAGAAATTGTGCTCCACTCTCACTCAGGTCAAGATTTGGTTCAAGTCTTGTAGATCCCCCATCACATTATTTTCTTAGGATTTACTGAAAAATTCTATCAGTGAATTTATCTGCAAGACACAAACAGGAAGCAAAGTGTAATAAGAATCACAGGATTTGGAATTATACAAACTTGACCTCCAATTCCAGTCCTGCCACCTCCTAGTTGTATTACTTAATTTTTCTAAGCCTCTGCTTATGATCTGTACAAACAGGCTGATGTCTTACAGTTTAAGGATTAGGAAAATATATGTAAAGTTAACAATCATAATTAGTATTCAAATTTTAACTATTTTCATTATGTGATCCCAAAGTAATCTGTAGCCAGGTAGTCGAACCCACAGATAAACATTTTAATTTCCTTTGAATGATTCCAATTGCTATTTTTTAATTACACATCTAAAAAACTACATTTGACCTTCAAATTTAGTTTTCTTACATATATAGTCTCTTAATACTCCATATAAGATGGTGTTTATTCAGACAATAAGACAGTATACAGTAATGAGAACATCAAGGGTAATTCTTGACCCACACGGTATTCACTGGAGATAATTCGCACACACCTAATGAAGGATCTTCTTCATAAGTTTTATTATTTTCATGTGTCACTTCAAAAACTGTTTTGAATATATGAAATAGTTACAGGAGTAACTGTAACTAGAAAAGACAAAATTAAAATAAGAGCTATATGTAGACAGCAGTAAATATGATAAGAAAATTAATCTCAATGGAAGTACAGACAGTTTATCTGGCAGAAAACCATTAGCTTGCCTAGGAATTTAGTGAGAACTCCATAATTCTTGCTAAATGTATCTGGAGATCTTAATACCTAAGTACTTAAAACTGGTCTGCTTTTGAGAAGCAAGTATGATTAAGTCATTGGTTTGTTAAATATTTTCTGAGTGTGCTATGTGCCACACTCTTCTAGGTGTTAGATTAATAGTAGGGAACAAAACGGGAGGCATCTGCCCTCCTGATGCATACATTCTAGTGAAGGGAAGACAGCAGTAATTAATTTTTTTTTTTACTATTATTATACTTTAAGTTTTAGGGTACATGTGCACAATGTGCAGGTTAGTTACATATGTATACATGTGCCATGCTGGTGTGCTGCAACCATTAACTCATCATTTAGCATTAGATGTATCTCCTAATGCTATCCCTCCTCCCGCCCCCCACCCCACAACATCCCCAGAGTGTGATGTTCCCCTTCCTGTGTCCATGTGTTCTCATTGTTCAATTCCCATCTATGAGTGAGAACATGCCGTGTTTGGTTTTTTGTCCTTGCGATAGTTTACTGAGAATGATGATTTCCAATTTCATCCATGTCCCTACAAAGGACATTAACTCATCATTTTTTATGGCTGCGTAGTATTCCATGGTGTATATGTGCCACATTTTCTTAATCCAGTCTATCATTGTTGGACATTTGGCTTGGTTCCAAGTCTTTGCTATTGTGAATAGTGCCGCAATAAACATACGTTTGCATGTGTCTTTATAGCAGCATGATTTATAGTCCTTTGGGTATATACCTAGTAATGGGATGGCTGGGTCAAATGGTATTTCTAGTTCTAGATCCCTGAGGAATCGCCACACTGACTTCCACAATGGTTGAACTAGTTTACAGCCCCACCAACAGTGTAAAAGTGTTCCTATTTCTCCACATCCTCTCCAGCACCTGTTGTTTCCTGACTTTTTAATGATCGCCATTCTAACTGGTGTGAGATGGTATCTCATTGTGGTTTTGATTTGCATTTATCTGATGGCCAGTGATGATGAGCATTTTTTCATGTGTCTTTTGGCTGCATAAATGTCTTCTCTGGAGAAGTGTCTGTTCATATCCTTTGCCTACTTTTTGATGGGGTTGTTTGTTTTTTTCTTGTAAATTTGTTTGAGTTCATTGTAGATTCCGGATATTAGCCCTTTGTCAGATAAGTAGGTTGCAACAATTTTCTCCCATTTTGTAGGTTGCCTGTTCACTCTGATGGTAGTTTCTTTTGCTGTGCAGAAGCTCTTTAGTTTAATTAGATCCCATTTGTCAATTTTGGCTTTTGTTGCCATTGCTTTTGGTGTTTTAGACATGAAGTCCTTGCCCATGCCTATGTCCTGAATGGTATTGCCTAGGTTTTCTTCTAGGGTTTTTATGGTTTTAGGTCTAACGTTTAAGTCTTTAACCCATCTTGAATTAATTTTTGTATAAGGTGTAAGGAAGGGATCCAGTTTCAGCTTTCTACATATGGCTAGCCAGTTTTCCCAGCACCATTTATTAAATAGGGAATCCTTTCCCCATTGCTTGTTTTTCTCAGGTTTGTCAAAGATCAGATAGTTGTAGATATGCGGCCTTATTTCTGAGGGCTCTGTTCTGTTCCACTGATCTATATCTCTGTTTTGGTACCAGTACCATGCTGTTTTGGTTACTGAAGCCTTGTAGTATAGTTTGAAGTCAGGTAGTGTGATGCCTCCAGCTTTGTTCTTTTGGCTTAGGACTGACTTGGCGATGCGGGCTCTTTTTTGGTTCCATATGAACTTTAAAGTAGTTTTTTCCAATTCTGTGAAGAAAGTCATTGGTAGCTTGATGGGGATGGCATTGAATCTAAAAATTACCTTGGGCAGTATGGCCATTTTCACGATATTGATTCTTCCTATCCATGAGCATGGAATGTTCTTCCATTCGTTTGTATCCTCTTTTATTTCATTGAGCAGTGCTTTGTAGTTCTCCTTGAAGAGGTCCTTCACGTCCCTTGTAAGCTAGATTCCTAAGTATTTTATTCTCTTTGAAGCAATTGTGAATGGGAGTTCACTCATGATTTGGCTCTCTGTCTATTATTGGTGTATAAGAATGCTTGTGATTTTTGTACATTGATTTTGTATCCTGAGACTTTGCTGAAGTTGCTTATCAGCTTAAGGAGACTTTGGGCTGAGACAATGGGGTTTTCTAGATATACAATCATGTCGACCAATAACAGGATCTGAAATTGTGGCAATAATAGCTTACCAACCAAAAAGAGTCCAGGACCAGATGGATTCACAGCCGAATTCTACCAGAGGTACAAGGAGGAACTGGTACCATTCCTTCTGAAACTATTCCAATCAATAGAAAAAGGGAATCCTCCCTAACTCATTTTATGAGGCCAGCATCATCCTGATACCAAAGCCAGGCAGAGATACAACCAGAAAAGAGAATTTTAGACCAATATCCTTGATGCACATTGACGCAAAAATCCTCAATAAAATACTGGCAAACCGAATCCAGCAGCACACCAAAAAGCTTATCCACCATGATCAAGTGGGCTTCATCCCTGGGATGCAAGGCTGCTCCAATATACACAAATCAATAAATGTAATCCAGCATATAAACAGAACCAAAGACAAAAACCACATGGTTATCTCAACAGATGCAGAAAAGGCCTTTGACAAGATTCAAAAACCCTTCATGCTAAAAACTCTCAATAAATTAGGTATTGATGGGACTTATCTCAAAATAATAAGAGCTATCTATGACAAACCCACAGCCAATATCATACTGAATGGGCAAAAACTGGAAGCACTCCCTTTGAAAACTGGCACAAGACAGCGATGCCCTCTCTCACCACTCCTATTCAACACAGTGTTGGAAGTTCTGGCCAGGGCAATTAGGCAAGAGAAACAAATAAAGGGTATTCAAATAGGAAGAGAGGAAGTCAAATTGTCCCTGTTTGCAGCAGTAATTAATTTTTGAACAAGAAATGAAGGTAATTTCAAACATCAGTGCATGCAAAGGTAACAGGTGAGTGATCAGGGATGGGGTAGGTCTATTTTAGCTGGAGTGATCACAGGAGGTCCCTCAGAGAAGGGGCATGTAAACTAACACCTAGATAAAGGAAAATCACGCAAACGTGATAATATGCACTTACAAGCCACAGTTCTTCATGAACACTTCCATCAACACAGATTCCTTACACTTGCTTATTTCCTCTAATTAATTTATTTTTAATATCATGTAGACTTCCAGTTTCCCCAAACTCCTGGCACTAACGCCTATCTAAAGGCTTAAAGACTACAGATATAAATATGGATTACTCATTTTAAATACATATTTTCCTCCCCAGAAAAAATTTATCTGTTTATAAAATGTAAAATACACAGCTCACCATAAAGGTTAAGTTCATGGATTCTGGAGTCCTCTGATCTCTCCCTTACTGGTATGAGACCCTGGGCCAACCACAAACTTACCAAGCTTTAGTTTCTGTCAAGTAGGGATCGCATTTTGGGCTGCTGTGAGGATTATGTGAAATAATGTATGTAAACAACTTAGCACAGTGACTGGAACATTTTAAGTACTTGGTAAATGTAAACAGTTTATTTCCATCTAAAATGACACACATTTTTTAGGTGTTTACATATGAATATATCAATATAAGAAGTATTCTCAGATTTTAACTTTAAAATCAAAACTACATATAAAAGTAAATAAATCAGAAGTAAATTCATGTCTTCAATTTCAGTGAGACCACCAAATAATTTTTAAAGATGAGTTTCTACACTAGTGCCCAAAAGAACAAAGGTGGCAGAAAAAGAAAACGAACAGACATTTCCATTTACAGAGGAGAATGACCAAAAAAAAAAATAGTGGTACAGACAATTACTCATGGATCTTAACAACGATGGATGCCCACATGTGGGCTGAAGCTAGAGATGTATGAAATGGTCTTCTTTCTGAAGAGATGAAACTTTAGCTGGAAGGGTTTGAAGGGACAGAATACGGCAGATCCTATGGGGTGACTCAGTAACGGTAGTACCACTGCCCCCAGTCCACCCTTTGCCTGACTTCATCTACTACAGTGAAAAGCTACATACTCAACTTCCCAATCCCCACGCAACTCATAAAGGCCCTGAGATACCATCTGTCCCAGGAAAGTTTTTGTTTTCGAGATAAACAAAAGGACAGATAAAGTTAGTACTGCCTCATGCCCTTCCCCTTCTTCATAGTTCTGGAATAGAACTATGATGCCTGAAAGCAGAACAGCCATTTTGTGACCATGAGTCAATTAGCCAGAGCATTAAAGTTAGCCAGGCAAAATGAAAGAGACTGGATTCTCCTTGCCCTCAT
The DNA here is from genome assembly GCF_000001405.40 of Homo sapiens. NCBI lineage: Eukaryota > Metazoa > Chordata > Mammalia > Primates > Hominidae > Homo > Homo sapiens. The sequence continues at coordinate 248,239 of NW_012132916.1, read as the reverse complement.
CTAACCAGTACACCAGCCTTAGAATGATCATCTTCAGATTTCTTGTTACAAAAGGGAAAAACAGAAAACTTTTTTGGTGAAACCATTGTAGTCAAATTTTCTGTTATTTGAAGCCTAAATGCAATCCAAATGGACTCACGAAGACGAAGAAAGATGACATTTCACATGGGATGAAAACCACAAAGGAACAACAACAAAGAGCTACTTCAACACTATGGTTTATGGTCACAACGTTTAAATAAAGAATTAACAGATAATTTCCACCTGTATCCAATAGCTTCCAATGTGTTTACAGTGAAGCATCATATTATTGCATTTACATCCCATAAACCATACACACAGGAACTGGTGCCCCTTCAGGACAACATGGCCAACATGCAACAATGGAAATATGTAGCATTTTCAAGTCACTTCACAGCGTAAATGAAATTTGTCCAAGGAATGAAAAAAGTAAATAGCAGCTGGTTTCATGTAAACGAAACATGAGAAACTATGCACTGAAGGGCTAGAGTAATACTTCCACATTAAGATAATTTTACTCAATTGTTCTTCCTAAAAATATTTGCTTATTTAAGAGATGATGAAAAACTAAAGGCTAAAGTCCAGGTTTGAGGAGTAATAATTTTAGGTTCTTGAATTAAAGAATGAATCAAATGAACCAGCATTCATTCTTCATAGAACATCTCTACGGTAAAGTTATAATAATGTAAATGCAATTAAGTGACTCATTTTATAAACCTCTATGATAAAAGAGGAAATTTCATTTTCATTTGTTTAATATTTCCATCAAAAAGAATGTCTCATTACACATTTACTGAAAGCCTGAATAATAAAACAATGGACAACTTCCAAGAGCAAACAGGGATTTTTTTCTTTTCCCATGAAGCTAGCATTATGGAATTTTAACAGATGTTCTATTTGGTCATAGTTAATAAAATGAATTATGTAGGATTAAAATAGGGTTCAATATGTTTGCATTGGATTTTAACTGAAAAACAATTTCACATTAGAAGTTTGGAAAGATTTTGAATCATTTTTTTTCCTTTTCAGTAGAAGTGCTAAGATGAAGAAAGTAAATGAATAATTATAGCACTTACTGCTTTTCCAATAAAACCAGACTTATAAAAACTACTTTTTCAAGGTTTAAGAAGACTGAAATCTTAGAAAAGTATATACGCTTTGGTATTTCATCACCTGTCTCATGCAAAGATCATAGTAATGTAGTATATCAAAAGCCTGATTCACTACCCTACATAACTCCAAGCCCCCTTAGAGCTCCCTCACCTTTCTGAAATGATCATGACGTCAGGCAGCATCTGAACAAAAATAAGTCAAACTTAAAGCAGTGAAAAACGACAAGTATTCACTGAGTGCTCACTGTGTAGAAGATATTATGCTAGAGCCTGGGCATCCTACAAGGAGGTAAAAACCCAGTGGCTGTTTTCAAGAGGATTTACACGCTATCTGGAAAGATAAGGAACAACCCAACTATAAGGACAAACTGAAAGAGAACAAGGTAAATCAAAGAAAACAATTTCACACAAACATACACAGAGACAGATACACAGCACTGATACAAGAAGGGGGAAAATTCTCCCTTATGAGCTAGGACTATTTTTTTTCTCTTTTACAATCATGATAAGCAGGAAATAGTATATAGAGCCTTAAGGACAGTAAAGATGCAACAGAAGTTCTGGCGATAGTTGCTTGGTAACATTTTTCAGTGGAAAACATCCAACTGGTGCAATCTCCATAAGAATAAGCCAAAAATGAACAATCATGGAATTTTCCCAACACACTTCCATTAGGAATCTTGATCAGCTCAATCATCAATTAGGGTAACTTTACTTTTTATACCAATATGCTGTTTTTCCTACATAAGTAGCCAGTGAATACAAAATCAACTGCAGGTTGCAATTTTTTTACTATTATAAAGATGTCTCTCAATAAGACATCTGGATATAACACTCTCATTATAGCTGAAGAGCTTTACAAGCAGTAACAGTTGTCTGGCCTCTCATTCAAACACAGCAATTGTTAGTCATCAACATGTCTGAATGCAGACATATCAAGGTTGCAGCCCTGTTAAAGAACCCAACAACCTAAAAGCAGGTTTAATTTCCGAATCTCCTAGCAGGCTATACTGCTATCACAGCCGCCTTTTAGAACTGCTGTAAAGGTATAAAGGTATCAACGAGAAGAGTCTATGCAAAGTTCCTAGCACAAATGGGCAAACCTGGACTCAGATTAAGTAAACTTGTCAGGAGCAGATGGCTGGTAAGGGACAGAGCTGCATTCCACACTTGGGTGTTTTATCAGTCCATTCTCACACTGCTATAAAGATACTACCTGAGACTGAGTAATTTATAAAGGAAAGAGGTTTGGCTCACAGTTTGCATGGCTGGGGAGCCTCAGGCAACTTACAATCATGGCAGAAGGCAAAGGGAAAGCAAGGCACGTCTTACATGGCAGAAGGAGAGAGAGAGCACAAAGGGGGAACTGCAAACACTTTTAAAACCATCAGCTCTTGTGAGAACTCTCTCAGTCTCAAGAGCATGAGGGAAACCACCCATGCAATCACCTCCCATCAGGTCCCTCCCCTGCCACGTGGGGATTACAATTCAAGATGAGATTTAGGTGGGGACACAGAGCCAAACCATATCAGGTGTCCTTCACTGTTAAAGCTCTTTCAGTTACCAGAGTACCAATCATCCTAGTTAACATTTCCTGAGCACGTACTGTGTGACAGGCATTACAGAAGGCACTTCGCCTGGATCCCCTCATTTAATCCTCACAAGAATTTGGGGGAAGTTTCAAATCATCAGTTCACAGGAAAGTAAATAAAACTGTTCTCAGATATATGTTATTATGTCCAGTCTTACTTGTAATTAAAATTAGAACTACAATGACATCATGTTTTGTCTTTAAGACTGCTAGTCCATAGGTGAGGCAGGGGAAAACAGAAGGCTCCTACATTGTTGGCAAGTGTCAATTGGTACTTCCCTAAAGAGCAATTTGGCATTATCTACCAAAATTACAAATGCCGATACTTTTCACGAAGTAATTCTACTTGTGGTATGTAACCTGCAAACATTCAACCATGTATAAAATAACACAGGAACAGCATCACTCACTGCAGCATGTCTGTAATGTCCACCAACTGGGAAATGTTAAATAAACAATGGTTTGTTTATACAATGGACTACTATGCAATCATTATAAAAGATAGTGCTCTTAATGAAGTGATATAAATGATCTCCAAAACAAAGTAGGTTAGAAAGCAGCAACAAAAAATACAGAAGATCTAGGATAGAGTGTCTCTGGAAAAACACTAAGGAGACTTATATAACATGAGTGTTCGGGGGAAAGGCACTGAGTAGGCAGACAGCAGAACTGGGAAGGAGACTTTGGAGGGCAGTCCTTGACGCTTGATCGCTGAAGGTTCCCGTTTCCAGCCACTGGATTTAGGGGAATCCCCACTGCCTAACATGGATATTAAGGGAAAACAAGTCTGAAAAGCTGCCATATCCACTTTTGAATAAACTACTAAGAGTGATGATTTTTGCACCTAAAGACTGGGGGCTTCAATGAACTTACTGAACAGATTGAATTACTTGTTTGGCATGTTGACTGCTTACAGCAAAACTAGGGTGGGGAGAATAACCCTCACCTATCTCAAATCTCTTTACTAGCATCTACCGAAAAGAAACCAGGAGTTATTTGTTATTAAAATGGCTACATCTTGCCATTGGGACAGCTCCAACCAGCTTCTCACCTTCAGGTTTCTGCAGACAGGAGTCAGATACCAGCAAGTTATCCTCCAGACTCCAGGGGACACATGTCAGGCTCTTTCAAGGGCTTTTCCCAAATTCTCCACTCCAGTCCCTGGCAAACAGCTGAGGGCAAGAAGTTCAACTTCTCCTCCAGGCAAACACCCCACTTCGTGCTCTCTTGAAGGCCCTCCCTTGGCTTGCACTCTCTTCTATGGTCATGAAAACCCCAATTCTGCTTCAATAAGCAAGCTACACACATGTACTTTCACACCCTTATGGCTTTGCTCTTGCTGTTCCATCTGCCTATAACCTTAACTACTTCTAACTGCCACTCCTTCAACAATTAAGAATCGTTTTATGCTAACTGAGCACCACTCAAGCATTGCTTCGTCTGTAACCCCACCTGCATCTTGTATATACTTATCATTACAGTGCTTATGACACTGCACTGTAAAGTGTCTACTTCCCTGTTTGTTTCCCCGCCAGAAAGTGAATGCTTCAGGGCAGAAATGTTCCTTGTAGTGCCCCAAGACCCAGTAGGCACTCCAGAAAGGACAGCTGAGTGAAATTTGTGGACAAAAGACATCTGCTAAGTTTAACTAATTCCCACTTCTTTTGAAACAATCTGCTTTACTCTGCTTTCTTCCTCTATAAAAAGTCCTTCTAATTCACATCCAAGAGTATGAGGCTGCTCTCCATAAAATTTTCAGGCCAATAGCATCTCAAATCATCCTGGATATGAAAGCATCTATGATTTTGCTCCCCACTTTCATCTTACTGCAGTAATATCACTGCACCAGCATGCTTGACCACATCTCATTTGGCAAAGATCATGAGAAAAATGAACACTAAAAGGATGAGGTAGTGTAATCTGCTGACCTTGTTTAGACTCCATCTAAAATTCACAGTAACTAAAATAATTTCAGAGAATGTAAGGGATAAGCATGCAATCTCCACAAACATCAAATGCAGTAAAAAAAAAAAAAAAAAAAAAGTGTGACAACATTCACACAATCTAAAGAACACCGAATCTATCTTATAATGCATGGACTCAAACTTCAATCTCATTCTAATGGGCAACTGCTAGGGAGATAAAACCAGTTTAAAGAAAAAATTGCATACAGAATAAATGTATACGTTTCCAGGTGATTCTCACTAAGATTTTGATGTATTTTCTTATTGAAACAACAGACACGCTCTTGGCAAAAAGATTTTATATTGGTGCCAGAATAAAGTAAGAATCTAAACTATTTATAATGCATAAAATTCTGCTTAAAGCAGATGTATCACTTCTTATTTTTCTCATTTTGAGAAGAAGCTATGTTTCATTCGGCAATAATTCTTCTCTCATTCTATCACAGAATCTGTACAAAAGCAATACCTCAACTAAAATCAACTCTGAATAAATATGCATAATGCAGAAGACCTCAATTAAATCTCCAACAAAACGCTGCCATTTTGAGTAAACAAAGTCATCTCAGTGAGGTCACACTACTTTCAAGGATTGCAGGCTACAAATTAATTACTAGCAGGACATATGTCAAAACAAATTTTTTAAAGAACAGAAAGCAGTTGCGACCATGTGTTTTATCTGTTTGTATGTAAAACCAGTATTCTCCGGCATGTAAATATTCATTTATTCAGCATCTCTCAGAAAAATAAAAAAGGCTTATTGCCTCTCTTTGTCCTGCACCCAGGTGAAATCTGAGTAAGGAACACATGTTTAGTGAGTCAGAAACTAAGTACAGAGTGAATATACAGTATGGGTGCTATTTCTGAAAGGCACAAGTCATCTCCACACAATTAACTAATTTTGAAACATTAAGTTTGCCTTAAAAAGAAGTTCTTCAAAGATCTACACCAACTAGGTTGCTATGAAAACCAAAGCTTTAAGTCACAAGTAACAGTGTTGGTATGTCATAAAGAAGATTGTTATCTCTAGTTAAAAACAAAAAACTACCTGAGAATAAAATTTGGGATTTCAATGAATTTCAGTATTCGGTCAAATACGGCAATATTTAACTATTATGTTTCAGTATACCAGAACCTCCAAATAGAAAACGCAGATGCAGAGCAGATGTATGCAGGTTCTCACTTGTATTTTCTTTAACAGAGAATTGTGTCCCAAACCAGACTTCTCTTATATCTCACCTATCTGAAAACGAACTTTTGAACTTAGAAAAAACTAACTTTTTCAAGATAGTCTCTTCTATGTGAAGCAAAGATTATAACATGCTTCTTTTTATTTTTATTTTTTTTCTTTTTTGAGACAGGGTCTCTCTGTCACCCAGGCTGGAGTGCAGTGGCACAATCACAGCTCACTGCAGCCTCGACATCCCAGGCTCAAGCAGTCCTCCCACCTCGGCCTCCCAAGTAGCTGGGATTACAGGCACCACCATGCCCAGCTAGTTTTCGTATGTTATAGAGACAGGGTCTCACAATGTTGCCCAGGCTGGTCTTGAACTCCTAGGCTCAAACAAACCACCCACCTCCACCTACCAAAATGCTGGGATTACAGGCTTGAGTCACCATGCCTGGCCCATACCATGTTCTTGCAGTAATATACTGAAACTACTTAGTGATGGTAAACTTTTGCTCTTTCAACCAAACAGAACAAAAGAAAATTTCCCATGTGTTGAATCACAGAAATTTAGAGTTAGAAGGCAAAGAGAGGTGAAGTGGCTTCCCCTGGGATACACTGCTCTGTGAATCACCTGCAGTGCCAGGACTCCAGTCCAGACTGAACTTCCCAGCTCATATTTTGTTATCAAGAAGCCAAGGGCTCACTGCCTGATACAGACTTCTGAGACATCCACCTCTTAAACCAGCGGTCCCCAACCTTTTTGGCACCAGGGACAGGTTTTGTGGAAGAAAATTTTCCATGGACCAGTGGTGGGGTGGGTGGTTTCAGGATGAAACTGTTCCACCTAAGATGTTCCACCTCCGATCATCATGCATTAGATTCTCATAAGGAACACACAACCTAAATCCCTCACATGCGCAGTTCATAATAGGGTTCGTGTTCCTATGAGAATCTGATGCTGCTGCTGATCTGACAGGAGGCAGAGCTCAGGTGGTAATGCTCACTCACCTGCTGCTCACCTCCTGCTGTGTGGCTCAGTTCCTAACAGGCCACAGACTAGTACCAGGCCACGGACCAGTACACGTCCACGGCCCTGGGGTTGGGGTCCCTGTCTTAGAAGGCTTATTTCATTACCAATTTTTCATTAGTTCCTCAAAATTCAGTAATAAACTTGATATCTTACCCTTAGTAGTTATTTCTTTTTTTTTGGAGACAGAGTCGCTCTTGTTGCCCTGTTGCCCAGGCTGGAATCCAGTGGCACGATCTTGGCTCACTGCAACCTCCACCTCCCAAGTTCAAGCAATTCTCCTGCCTCAGCCTCCCGAGTAACTGGGATTACAGGTGCCCACCACTTGGCTAATTTTTATATTTTTAGTAGAGACGAGGTTTCGTCATGTTGGCCAGGTTGGTTTCGAACTTGCCTCAGGTGATCTTTCTGCCTCGGCCTCCCAAACTGTTGGGATTACAGGCGTGAGCTACCACGCCTGACCCGAAGTTACTTCTTAATACTTCAACTATAAGAGGCCGGGAGGCCGGGCGCGGCGACTCACGCCTGTAATCCCAGCACTTTGGGAGGCCGAGGCGGGAGGATCATGAGGTCAGGAGATTGAGACCATCCTGGCTAACATGGTGAAACCCCATCTCTACTAAAAATACAAAAAATCAACTGGGCGTGCTGGTGGGCACCCGTGGTCCCAGCTACTCGGGAGGCTGACGCAGGAGAATGGCGTGAACCTGGGAGGCGGAGGTTGCAGTGAGCCGAGATCGCGCCACTGCACGCCAGCCTGGGTGACAGAGCGAGACTGCATTTCAAAAAAACAAACAAAAAATACTTCAACTATAAGAGACATTTAGCCACCCTAGAATAACAAGTCAGTAACAACATGGGTCATTCTGACCACTGAAATTGCTCTTCCGGCAAACCCATTCTACTCATTCTTTTAAATATAAAAACTCAGAAAATTTAACAGAAGAGTGACGATAATTTCCCTTTTTGATTTTTTAAACCAAGTTTCTCCAAATATATTTCTAATTGTTAAGTAGTATAAATTTACTGAACAAAGGACATCATTCTTTCGTACTTCAATATTGGAAAGTAAGTGACTTACCTCTCTTAAAACTGTGCTTTTATAGCCTCGATACAACCCTTGGATACCCTGAAACAAACACACAGCCGAGAGTTCAGAAAGAATGGCAGAGATTTCTGAAGGACATTCTGTATACAGCAGATCTACCTGCTCTTGTTTGAGTTCTAGAACATTCACAATTGCCACACTTCTCTAAGAGGTTAATGATTCTAAACTGTCCTAAGGTACATAACTATACCTTATATAACTTATATACCTCTATAACTAGCTCCTAAGGGAGCTCAGATTAGCTCTCTTTGAAACAGGAACATCTCTAACAATAAAACTGACTACATATTTACTTAGTTTTAGTTGCTGTTATTCTACTAAATATTAATTATATAGTACTTAATTGCTCTAACATGTGTTCTCTTGAAAAGAACATTTGAGATGCTTTAAATACATTTCCAAAAGCAAATGCCTACAAATGCCAATTATCCTTTTGTATAAAAACAATTATATTTATAGCCTCAAACATCAGAAATTCATTCATAATCTCTCAAACTAGTGGTCAGTATTTCCAGACAACCCTGGATTAACCATCCACATAGTTCAACGGGGAAGTTATACTAGCTTCATCTCATTTGTACAATTAGATATTCAATGTCTCCTCACCTATGTAACACACCATTACAAATAACTTTTCTAAAATCAAGACTCTTTGAAAATTCCCATGTGATTGATTCTCATGTCTTTTTAAAAAAAGGCTTCCATAAAAACTATAAAGGAAAGCAGCTAAATGCTCTCTAGTCACATGGTCAGGAAGAATAATTTCTGACTGACAGCTTCAAATACATCTGTAAAAGAAGCTACATTTTGGTATAAACGTTATGACATTGGTCACTGTTATCAGTCCAGTACTAAATCTCTTCCATGGACCTAAAATACTATACTGATGTTTTAATATAATATCTTTCTTCATTTTACATATTTAAAATTTGTTTCACATCTGATTCCAGAAGAACTGCAGGAAGATTACAATTCAGGACACTCAATGTTATGCTCAGAAATTTGAAAAACATGTAAATGAAAATATTCAAAAACCAATAAAAGGCAAAGATAATCTTAGCAAAAATTTACTATAACTGGACATTAAATTTAGCTCTAAAGTTTTCTCTAAGGCTCTTAGGATGAAATCCACAGTGTTCGTATTAGCTACTATAAAATCTTAATAAAGAAAAGAAGAGCTTAAAAAACCCATCTCACCTCTTCATATAAGATGTTAGAGAAAATCTGAAATGTTCTTGTAGAAGCAGATACCTGTGCCCTCTGCTTAACCACTTCAGATGGAACTCGAATCAGGCAGGCAACCTAAAAGACAAATTTGATTATATCCTAAAAAGTAAATAACTGCTATAAAAATTGAAATTTTTTGGTAAGCAAAAATTGTAGTAAAAAGGTATAATATGTAGGCTTACTGCAAGATGTCAAAAAGTTTCTTTTTTTTTTTTTAACCTAAAACTCTTGGACCCTTAAAGCATGTACATTGTTTTGTCAGCCCAGAACCTTTCCTGGCTTGTCCTATATAGATCCTGCCACCTCCCGCCAGATGTTCCAAGAACATCTGTCTACAAGCCTCCCAACGGCAAGAAGCACATTTACTCATTTCGAATCCCCAACGCCCAGAACTGCAACTGGCACATGACATTTCAAACATGTGTGATGAAAAATGAACCAGAGGAACCTCTGCTTTACTGGAAGTAATGCATACATCCGTAGAGGCAAGCTGACCATCAGCTGGTACCCAGCCTTCCACCCTTCACCAACTCCAGCCCCTAGACCTCTTGATCATGCAGCAACTGAAAAGGGACTCCCAGCACTCTCATACACTCTCCTCCAGCATTCCAGCAGACTTGAGTCATCCTCACAGCTACCAGCCAATATATGATTCTAATATCACCCTTGGTGACATGCTGAGGCCGGGTATATGTCATCTCAAATCCACACTGCCAGGATTTTACCTTACCCTATATTAAGGTAATTTACTTATTTTCAGAAATAGAAACAATAAAGAATTAGTCAAACCCAAAGGAACTCTGCCCACAAAAGCAAAGAAGGCAAGGTTGGAGAAGGGGTGGCAAGGTACAGGGAGGGAGATGTGTAAAAATATTTTAAACATTTTAATGAAAGTCCTGTATTTAAGCCGCTATGCACCTAGCAGTCTGCAAATATACAAACTTTTTCTGCAACTTAGATTTCACATATGTAACCTTGAACATGAAAGTTATGGCACTCGGGAAGCCGAGACAGGAAGGTCGCTTGAGCCCTGGAGTTCAAGACCAGCCTGCAAGAAATGTAAGAAAACCATTCCACCAAATAGAGTACACAACTCAAAGAGGTTTGCCCTTTATGATCCGTATTCTCCTGATTCCTAATCAGAGATCAGTACTCAATTTGGATATCACATAAGGCTTTGCCTGTCCAAAATTAAATGGTTCTAAGGCAAGGCTCTACAGCAAATTTATAATGTAAAAGACCAAATAGGAAATATTTTACAGTTTGCAAGCCACATGGTCTCTGTCACAATTGTTCAACTATGCTGTTTTAGCACAAAAGCATCTATACATAATAATATATAAATTAAAAGTTTGCCTATGTTCCAATAAAACTATATTTACAAAAACAGGTGACAGCTTGCCAACTCCTACTCCAAGGGAATTAGCCTTGGCAAGAGCAGACTGGGCACAGAACAGATATAAGCCCGAGCACCCCATGACAAGTGGGACAAAGACACCATGTGATGTGATTTTAGATGTCATGAAGTCAGCTAACACGGGCATATTGCCTCTAAAGCTAAGAAGTAACAATGCTTCATACCGATGCATTACAACAAAGGGTATGGTTATGTTAACAAAGGATTCATAACCTGAAGTTATTTTTCTACCAAAACTGACAAGATTTACAAAACGATATCATCTGATTTCCATTTCTTCATTCACTGAACATTTGAATGCTTCTTATGTATAAAGCTGTCTGTAACTTGGGCCAACATATTTTTCCACCCAGTCTCCCTTCAAACTTATCTAATTCAGTTCAAGAAATACATATGGAGCCAGATACCACACAAGCCACTCCATGATAAAGAAGACTAAGATGATGCCCTGGCTTCAAAGAACCCGCAAATACATATAAATAATTTCAATAAAACATGGCCAAAAGGGGGGTGGGGCGCATGGACAAAGATTATGGGAAATGTGGAGGAGGGGTATTTAGTCCAACCCCCAGATTCAGAGAAACTGCCCAAGATTACACCATTATAGAACCTTCTGGATGAGCCGGAATGAGCTGGCAAGAAAGGTGGAAAGGGCACAGTGGGAAGAATGAACAATAAAAGGAAGTACATAAATACAAAAGCAGGGTGTTCAGGGGAATCAGCGGCAGTCCCACCAACACAGTATTCCAAAGCTGGCAGCTGCCCACACCATTCCGTATTACCAAAGCAGCAAGTGCAAGGTCAGGAGTAATGACAAGTAAGACTGGACAGACAAGGCCCTGTATACCATGCTAAGGGGCTGAAACTTCATTCCATAGTCAGTGGGAACACTTGAAAAAGCTGAAGCAGAGGAATGACGTGTGCTTAGGGAGATCACTCTGGCTGCAATGCACAGGACAGCTGGAGGGTGGGGAGGAAGGCAAGAAGCAAAGGGGGACCACGAGCCAGAAGGCAAAAGATGGGTTACGAGACTGCTATAGCAGTTCTATAAAAGACATCTGGAAATGAATATGGCTCAGAGAAGGTCAAATCTGAGGAAAAAGGAGTAAAATGCACCGGACCTGGTCACTGACAGGAGGTTAAGGAGTGAAGAAGTAGGGAGACAGTAAGATGCTTCTGTTTCTGGTTTGGATAATAGGCATATGGTGGTCCCAAAACATGAGATTAGCAGTCCAGGGAAGAAGGGAGGTAAGTTCAGACTAGGCAAGGCTGAGTTGAAGTCTGGGGGACAGGTAAGGGGCTATGTCCAGTCAAGAAATGAATATATGGCTATAAAACTAGAAAGTAACTTTTTCTTGGATGTGAATACAGATATGGAAGTCATCAGCATACAGGTGATCGCTAAAACCAGATAGTAACACCCAAAGAGAGAACCAAAAAGGAAGATCAAAGCCAATAATGGAACCCTGGGAACATAAATTTCTAAAGAGCAAGCAACACTGGAAGGCGGTACATAATGTTGCAGGGCACACCTGCCTTCTCTGGCAGCCCAGCTTCCGACTCTCACGTGTGGGGGGCTTCCCAGTTAGGAAAAACAAAGGGAGTCAGTCTCTCCCCTCCTACCCTGGCAGGAGGACCACAATCAGGTGAGTTAGGTCTGGCTAATCAAACACTCCCGTCCAGGGGTCTGATTCTAGAGCTATGCTGGCAAATATGCAGGCCACTAGCCCATGCAGCTATGGAGCACTTGAAAAGTGGCTAGTACAACTGAGATGTTCTGTAAGTGTTAAAATGACAGATTTTGAAAACTTGGTATAAAAAATTAATGTAAAATATCCTGTTAATAATTAAAAAAAAAAAAAAAGAAAAGGAAAGAGAAGAAAAAAGAGAGAGATGAGGGCTCACTATGTTGCCCAGGCTAGCCCTGAACTCCTGGGCTCAGGCAATTCTCCCACCTTGGCCTCCTGAGTAGGTGGTGCCACCATGCCCAATTAATAATTATTTTACATTAATTATACAGTGAAATCTAAATACCATGGATGTGTGTGGTTTAATAAAATATGTTATTAAAATTCATCCCAGCAGATGTTTTCACCTTTTTTAATGTGGCTATTAGAAAATATAAAATTTCACCTGCATCTTACATTATATCTCCATTGAACAGTGCTGTTTGGAGCAAGCGGGAGAGCTGAACATTCATTTACAGAAATAATTGCTTTTTTAGATGCAAGTGCCAGGACCATGACTACAAATGACATTAAGTCACTTAAGTTATTTGGTGACAGGCAGTTCAAATTTTAGTCCAGAACTTCAAAGTGAACAAGATGCCAGGCTCTTCCTATCCTTCTACCCAGCCACCCAGCTTCCTGGCCTCTCATCCTGGGCATCCTGACTCTCAGATAAAAGACAGCTCTTACGTCCTCCAGCACCACCCTATCACACAACAGAGTTGAAGGCAAGGAGAACAGGCCTCCTCCCTTTTCTCAGATTTCCCCCGCAGACATCTCCTTGCATGTGTTGGCCAGAGTTGTGTGACATGGCCACCCCTTGTTAGGGAGGTGGAGGATATCTAGATCTAGCAAAGCGTTAGGAACATGAGACACAAACCAAATCAGTATTCTGTGGGCAAAGGAGAAGTGGAAGGCAACAGTGTCTGCCAATCTTCCAAAAAATATTCTTCATTCCATAAGTTAGCCAGGATCAATGTTGATGGCAAGCAACCAAGCACCCTACTTGATGTGCAAGGGGGCCAGAAGCCTCAAATGGAGACTGGCAGAGCAACGCATCAAGAGTCTCGAGCAGCGCACATATGAAGGTTTACAGAGTTCACCGGTATTGCTTCCATAGAGTGGCTGGGGTGGGAGATCCATTACGGTCAATTCATAAGGGATTGAGGGAGATGAGCAAGTGTACACTACCGTCGTGTGAAGATGGCTAGGTGTTAGGAGATGGATTCAGAGTTAAGAGGGCCACAGGGTCAAGGAATAGTGTGGTTTTAACACAGTCAATATTTGCACATACGATGGGGGAAAGTGCTATCAGCAAGAGAAAGGCTGATAATCTAGCAAAGAAGTGAAATAATACATGAAGACCCCACAGGAAATGAAAAAAGGTAGAGTCAGAGGCCCGAGCCCATGACTCTCCGTCTATGACTACCTCCCTTTACCAGGCCCATCCCTCAGCCTCGGGGTCACTCCTGCATCAAACCTGGATCTTTGGTTCAGGGCTCAACTCCAGGGAGGAATGAGCAGTGGTCTGGCTGAGGGTCTGCGGCCCTAGACTGTGGCCCCAGTTCTGCAAGTGAATTCCCAGGTGTTTCCCTGGCCTTCCAGAGTCTTTTCTTTTTTTTTAATTCATTTTAAAATGAAGAAAATTGACAAATAATAATGTATATATTTATGCAATTAGATGCATATATGTATAATTTTTCTTACTTGACTTGGACCAGAAATCTTTATGGTATCTTTTTAGGTCCTTATTTCTATAATTCTTAATTTTCCAAAATTATACCTTATCTAACCTCAAAAGATTCCCTCCCTCTGTATTCTTAATTCCCAAATAAGCTTTCTTATCTGACGTTTTTTACTTACTAGCTTACACCATATAGTTTGTGAAATATATTTCCTCTTCTACTAAATTGTAAGCACCCTGACAGCAAGAAGATGGTATGCACCAAACTTACTAATCAGCTGGTGTATTATTTTATGTTGAAAACAAATGAAACTAGCCAGGAGGAAATGAATCAGCAAAAAAATAATCATCAATTCCACAGAAATGACTTCTCCATACTTTAGAATTTACATATAAATATACATAGAAACAGGGTATCGTTCTGTCACTCAGACTACAGTAAGGTGGCATGGTCAAAGCTCACTGCAGCCTCAGTCCTGGGCCCAAGTGATCCTCCCATCTCAGCCTCTTGCGGAGCTGGGACTACGGGTGTGCCACCACACCCTGCTAATTTTTTCATCTTTTAGTAGAGAAAGGATCTTGCTATGTTGCCCAGGCTGGTCCCAAACTCCTGGCCTCAAATGATCCACCTGCCTCAACCTCCCAAAGCACTGGAATTACAAGCGAGAGCCACCATGTCCAGCCTAATTTTTTTTGTTTTGCCTCTACATATATTTATTGCCTATACATATACTTATGTAAAGAGTAGGGAAAAAACAGAGTAGAATTACAGGTGTTTCTTTTCTACCTACCTATATTTTCTAAATTCTCTACAATTCACATTTATTATTATTTCACAAGTTTTTAACATAATTTCAAAGGAAAAAAGTATTTATTATGGACCAAAGATTTTAAGTGAGGAAGAAAAATAAAATAAAAGGGCTAATTTAAAATATGCTTTTAGATGGCAACCTATCAGCCTTGATAAAAAGGACATATTATAAATTTAGTAGCAATAAATCCACAAAAACAGATTAAACAGCTTACCAGTAAGGCCTAAAATTGGGTATAAGTCCAACGAAACCTACATGAACCTAACAGGACAGCTCCCAGCATCTAAAACTCATTAAAGAACTGAAAATAAATAAATAAGAAAAAATAAGAGAAAGAAAAGGGTATACTAACTCCTTGTATTTTTCAATTCAAGAGGTCAAGAGTGAAATCCGACCCCAATATGTGAAGAAAATAGGAACTGTCTACTTCTGTGGTTTGGTATAAATATTTATGGAACTTCATGCTTCATAACCCTCCAAGTTCTTACTATTGTGTTTTTAGTTCTTAAAAATACAGATGCAGAAGAAAAACTTTGAAAAGCCTCTCCGATAAAAAATCAATCTAACTAGCTGAGGGGTACAAAGCACCCAGCATGGCTTCCTGACTTCTGCTGGGTGACAACTGTGGCATGAGAGATGCTACAAAGTAATGCTTCTGCTTCCTCCAGTACCTCCGGAGCCTTCCATTTGGTTTTCTATTAACTCTGATCCTTCTTAGATTTGAATTTGAGCTACAACAAAGTATTTCACTGCACAAGAACAAAAACATGTTACAGTATTATGGTTCTATGAAAGGAAACAGAATGTCATCTGTGGGTCTCTTGGTAAATCCATTCTGTAAAGCATTCTTTCCTTATAAATCTGAGGTTCAGTATGAATCCATGACACAGGAATGGTGGCATTTTCACTAAATCCAAGAATGTTTTAAATGTTAAAGTTCTATCTAAAAACAAGAACTACTAAGGTTTTCCATAAAGGAAAAAAAAAAAAAACATGCTCCCTCCATACTTTATCAAAATCAAAATGCAATGCTGGCCTCCTTAAATATGCCAAAATATGAAACCTTAGATTAAAATGTTGATTAAATCATGATGCTGCTACCAAGATTTTTCTTCCTTTGGCATAAATAAAATATTTTCTGTTGTTTTTAATTGACTGCTGCAGCTAAGGACTGAATGTTTCCTTTTGATATTTATTAAATGAAACACCAAGAACCAGGTGCACATGCATGCTGCCCCTGCTACTCAGGGAGGTGAAGACAGGAGGATAACTTGAGGTCACAAGTTTGGAGCCAGCCTAGGCCACCTATGAGATCCTGTCTCTTTAAACAAAAACAAAAACCCAAGATGCAAGACTACAAATCATAAAACTAAACATTTGAAAGGGAAAAAATTCCAGTGAACTTCGGCCTCACTTTAGGTACTGAGTGGAGGAAAAGAGAGATGGATGCTGCTAAAACCCCTGGTTCTTTCATTGCCACAGCCAAGTTCCCTTCCTTCAACACATCACCACCAGGGTTTTACAACTGCACCCTGTCCTCTAGTTCTGGAAATGCTCTTCAAAGTCCCTAAGTATCCCCAATAATACCTTTTATTAACATTACATCTTCTTCGCAACTATTTCAACATAGTTCACAAAAAAAATTCTGATTTAAGATTTTTCTCCAAGAAACTCCATCAACTACCTGCAAATATTCCTCTGATATTAGAAGCTAATTATGTCACCATTTTATATATAAATCAATCTGAGATCATAGAAGTTGCTGAAGGTCAGAGAGCTACTTAGCTCAGGAAGCATGGGTGAAACCCAAGTGTTCTGACTATCATCTCCAGAATTATTTTTCAATAAAGATGTCATACTTACACACATCTAATGCACTTAGAGGTTCAAGGTTTAATTTCAGCTAATGCTTCATGTTTCAACAGGCAACTCTATAACCAATTCAACAGAAATTTAACAATACACTGAACAGAGCCACTCAAAGCTTCATCGTATTCAAAGCAAAAGCTGCTTTGGACTTTCCAGAGCAAACTCAAAGTGGCAAATTAGTAAGACAGGGGGTCAGGGAGAGACCCCTGGAAACTATGAAGATTTTTGAAATGCAATTTGCTTACGTGTATTTCATTTCCACATTCTCTTTGTAATTCCCAAAATTCTCTTTAGAAAGCAGGTTTCCAATTAAGAATATTTTACATCTCTTTCTATACCATCATTTAAAAAATCAAAAACCTCTACAACAGTTCATTTGTGTGTCAAGTCTGCCATCTTCTGTTGATAAATGGAATTACAGCTGTTGACAAAACCAATTTACAAATCCTAACTTACACTCCTTAGATTTTAATTTTTACCTACTTGCATTGGGACCTATGTTCATCAAACCTTTCCCCCTTATAAGACTCTTTCCAATCACGCAAATAAGTTCAATCGTTGTAGGTATTAGTCTTCCCTCGCCTGACAAGACTGCTGTCACGGGTAATACAGACTACACAAGGAAGTCTTCTCAAAGAAAATAACTCTATCAACACTTAGTCCCTGTGTCTACAATTTGTTCACAGAATTTTATACAACCCAAAAGATAAGCCTCAAATGGCTTTTTTGCTTTTGTATTTTTCCATAACAGAAATGAGCCATGATTTCACAGGAGGTGACAAACATCCCATGGATGGATTTATAGATTCCCACCAATACAAAAATCTGAACGTTGAGGAGGTGGCAATGGTGACTGTATTTGCTTCCTACTGCTGCTCTGACAAATCACCACACATTTAGTGGCTTAAAACATAAGCTTATTATCTATAATTCTGAAGGTATGAATTCCAAAATGGGTCTTCCTGAGCTAAGACCGAGAGATGTCAGTCAGGCAGTATGCCTTCTGGAAGCTGCAAGGGAATGTTGACTTCCTGCTTTCTAGGGCTCCCCTGCACTCCTTGGTTTGTGGCCCCTCGCTCTATCTTTGGACCAGCAGTATACCATCTTCAGCTCTCTGACCCCCGCTCCCCTCTCCTAAGGACCCTACTGATTAGACTGGGCCCACGTGGATAATCCAGAAAACTCTTTCCACCTCAACATTTTTTTTTTTTTTTTGAGATGGAGTCTCACTCTGTCACCCAGGCTGGAGTGCAGTGGCGCGATCTGCAAGCTCCACCTCCCAAGTTCACCCCATTCTCCTGCCTCAGCCTCCCGAGTAGCTGGGACTACAGGCGTCCACCACCATGCCCGACTAACTTTTTTTTGCTTTTTTTTTTAGAGACAAGCTTTCACCGTGTTAGCCAGGACGGTCTTGATCTCCTGACCTCACGATCCGCCCGCCTTAGCCTCCCAAAGTGCTGGGATTACAGGCATGAGCCACTGCGCCCGGCCCCCATCTCAACATTCTTAATATTATCTGCCAAATCTCTTTCCCGTGTGAAGAAACACATTCAGAGATTTGGGGACTAGGACATATTTATGGGGGGGGGGGGGCATTATTTTGCCTATCACAGTAACCAACGGCAAATTTTGGAACCTGACCTTTTAAGAAACCAGTGATGTGAATCCTTACTGCACAAGTAGTATACTTACCGCTACTTCTGCCATTTTTTAAATACTACATGAAAAAGAAAACAGAGGTGCTCCTGGAAGTATACAGAGAAATATTTATCTAATTACTTATTCTACAGTGGTGTTTTATTATTAGCTGGGAATAATAATAGCTGGGAAACTTGGAGCACATCACTAAACTTCTTTGAATTTCAATTTTTTCACCTTCTGAATAGATACCTTTCCCAAAACTAGGAAATTCTAAAAACGTGCCGCATTCAGCAACTTGTGTGAAATGGGGCTAGACCCAATGTTTATTCAATATTTTGTGTGTCAGATGCTAGGCTGGACACTTTGTTAAGTGCTGTATAATTTCATCCTTGTAAGAACTGTGACTGGGATGGCATTAATCCTATTTTTTCAAGATGAGGAAAAGAGCATTTCAGTGAAGGCAAGTAAATGGCCTACAGACAAATAAGTGGACAAGTCACAAATCTGACCCCGATCTGTGTAACTTGACAGCCCATGGTCCATACCTTGCTACCTCCCTACAGACATCCTCAAATACTCCCTAGTTATTTAACAGATGGATCCAACTTACTTATATGCTCCTCAAAAACGGGGATCAAATTTCTTATTCGGTGTCTCTTAGCACCTATTAATAGTATTAGCTATACAACTCAAATATTGAAAAGCACACAATCACAAACCAAAGCAAATAAGTGACAGTTGCATTTAATTCAAGAACCCTAATCTTAACAAGGCAATATTTTAGGAAATAAAGGTTTGTCACTGACAGAGTTCAGGCTCGCTTGGAAGTGGCCAATCCTAACCTCCTTTGGTATTTTGGTCCTTTGAGAGTAGTATTCAGTCTTTCCATTTACAATGCAGTGGCAATAACTGACCAAGTTACACTCCTGTGGCTCAGAATCGTTTCTTCAACTTCATCAACCTATATGAAAATCATACTGTGCCTATAAAGCTCAACTTAATTGTGTTCTATAAACTCATGCAGCTCTTAAATAAAAAGTTAACAGAGCTTCCCTTCCTTTTTGTCCACTAACTAAATAAAAAAATCAATGAAATATACTCTCCCAGGTCATGAATCAATACCATCTGAACTAACACTGCATACTATATTAGAAAAAGAAAATCCATACAACAGAAAACAATCTGAAATATGTTAGAAAAGGAACTCATCGAGAAACTGGGGGTGAGGATGCAGATGGGGTACAATGTTCCTTTCTACAGGCCTCACTGATAAATCTCTTCAGCACATTCATGCCTGTACTATAGATGAATAACTACAAGCAAGGTCATAACCACACACAGATAATGCCAAGCCAGGGGAAGCCCTGACCCTCCCGTTCTGACCCTCTCTCTCTTTCGTCTTCTTTCCCTCTCTGCGTGTTAGCTCAGACTCAGATGGCTGGGCCCACTGGCAAGATGGGGCATGCTTATTCAACTTAGCTCGGTAGACTCCATTGGAGAATTCAAGTAGGTGCACAACACACATAGACACAACAAACTAAAAGGCATCCATGATGAAAAACGCACTGAAGGATGTCGCTGGAAGGGCTCCTGAAAGAATGATCATCTTTCCACCAGCTCTACCTCTTTAACATCTCTTGAACTCACTCTCTCCCTCTGCATCCCTCTGCCCCAGCTGTGGTTCTCTCCTGGGGATTCCTTTAATAGTCTCCTTATCTCCACACAGCTGCCAGGGGACTTTCTTAAAATTACAAGTCTGATCAAAAAAGTCCCAACTCCTTACTATAGCAGGCAAGGCCCTATAGCTCTCAGCCCCTGCTTCGCCTCAGGGTGACCCTATCATACTGTGCTCCAAACATATGGAACTTAAAACTACCTAACAAGGTCTTTTCAGAACTCTAACACCCCTCCTTGCACCCACCCACCTAACAAACCATCCTATTCTAAATGCAAGATAATAAAATTGTACTATAACTGAGACTCCTGCTAAATCAGATTTTAGCTGCCCTGCCACAAACACAAAACAAAAAGACTAATTATGTTAAATGATGGATATGTTGACTTACTTCACTGTGGCAACCATTTTACTATCTATACGTATCCCACATTGTGTTGATACCTTAAATAGATGCACAATTTTTTTAATGAATTAAATTAAATGCAGCTTAAAGCCTGGCTATTCTGTGAGGCTTTTTCTGAATTAACACCCATCCATCTACCCCAGTCCGGAGAAAACCAACCCCTCCTTCCCTTCAGTCTCTCACTCTACCTTGTACAGATGACCCTCAATTTATGACAGGGTTATGTCCCAATAAACCCATCATAAGTTGAAAACGCATGTGATACCCCCCAACCTACGGAACATCATTGCTTTAGCCTTGCCTCCCTAAAATTGCTCAGAATACTTACACCAGCACAGCTGACTGGGACATGCACTGCCCACCATTGCCAGAGAGCATCTTATCACCTATCACTAGCCCGGAAAAGATCAAAATGCAAAATCTGAAATACAGTTTCTACTGAATGCATCTCACTCTTGCACCATTGTAAAGTCATTTAAGTAGAACCATCGTAAGTCACGGACCGTCTATAGTTCCTTTTCTTAAAAATGCCTGTAACACTTTAGTGCACTTACAGCAAGCCTCTAAAAGGCAGTATCTTATCCTGTCATTTCATCCTCAATGCCTGGAACGTATTAGGAACTTCAGATCTAAATCCACATCACTAGGTAAGGACCATAGAAGTGGTGAAGGAATCTAAGATGAGCTGAACAAAAGCAACCTATTACAAAAAAGAATCAAAGATGTACAAGTGAGGAAATAATACAAAATAAAAGGAGTCTGGAAAACAAACTGCTTTTTATATGGTTGAGATAATTTTTTGTGTAATTCTTATGGTTTAGGGTTGCTAAGAAGGAATTTAAAAGTCTGCCTGCCTTATGTATTTAATGCCCTGAAGGAAGACTCCCAGACACACTTTGAAAAAGTCAACAGACAGGAAAATAGGGTGAAAGGTCCCATAATACATGGATGTGCTTAGACACATCACACAAAAAAAGTGTTTGTTTGAGTGCACTCAGGTATCTGACAGTTCTGTTTCAGCTTCTGTGTTTCCTGGTAATAGTCATACACTATTGATGAACCTTCATTCATCTTTATATACAAGCAATTGCCATCATCAGCTACATTTCACTGTGGCTCAGGGCAGCCATGTTATCTTCTACTTCACCTATCCCCCACGACTCACTTATACAACTGTGCAGAGATGTGGCAAAATATTCCAGCTGCAAGGGAGAGATAATCTGTATTGATCGATGAATATTTCAAAAGCATGATTAATTCAAAAGATAAAATACATTTCAAAAGTTGTCAACCTTTCTTCTATTATCTTGCTCAGTGGTTCTTCTTAGAAAAGGCCAGTGAAGATCATGAAGAATACTACGTACTCATTTTTAAAGCATGATATTAAGTAGATAAACAAAACAGCTTAAGCCACAACTAGGGAAAAACTCAGTAAAATGTGCACCATGCTCTGGAGCTGAAAAACACCACACAGCATCTATGCGTCCAATCCTTTAACCAGTGGGAAAGCTGAATAAGAACATGTTTGCCCCATATGCTGATACCAAAGGAGACCCTGGAATGGACTGTGGTACAAAGGGGGTCCAACGGCCTTGTCAGTTACTAAAGGAGCTAAACCATAAAACAAGCTGCCTTTGCCTACGAGGCTCTATGACAGCATGGGCCTTGGAGAAAACCTCATTCTAACTCCAGTTAAATCCAAATCTACATGTCTGAGTTCATTGTCACACTCAAAAATAACCAGTTTATTAAACTAGCCTTTTTAGGTCTAAAATATGTCATTTTGAGGAGAACAGAAAGAATAACACATTTGATCTACAAGTGGTACACCACACCCAGTGTTGTGCACCTACTAAAATATTATGTAGGGAATTACTGAGCCAATTCAGTAAAAATATTTACTACTGGGGTGTAAGTTCAGATGTTTTATGTGCCTAGATCAGTGGCATTAAATATTGGTGAGTTGCACAATCATCTAGAGATTGTGTTTAAAATACAGGAACC
The DNA here is from genome assembly GCF_000001405.40 of Homo sapiens. NCBI lineage: Eukaryota > Metazoa > Chordata > Mammalia > Primates > Hominidae > Homo > Homo sapiens. Next base: position 225,786 of record NW_012132916.1, on the reverse strand, counting down.
CTAGTGTCATCTCCAAAAATCCCCATTTGTAACTAGCTACCTACGCAACTGATGGTGAAGTATGGGGAGATGCTCATCGGGCCTTCTTGGGGAAGTACTGTTAGAGGCTGTCAGAAAAACATTTACAAAACATGATATCATTTATTTCCTAGCTTTTTCAATCCCAAGTCAGAACAGGACCATAAAGGACACTTGAAAAGGACACTCTACCAGCATCTAAGTGTATGAGGACATGTACATGTCACCTATGAACATACATTACATTCACAGTGTTGCTGCTTTCAAGGGTGAAGAAATTTCAATGTTTTTTTCATTTCTGACAATATGAATAAAGACAAAAGTAGGATAAGATACAACACGTCAAATCTTAAAACCTTTGAAGAAAAGAAAATCACTACCATTAGAATGTTATAGCATATGTACCGTTAAAGTAAACCTGCCCCAACCTTTGATCTAATTACAGATTCTACTTCCCAAAGGGCTTTTTCTGTGTGTGATGAAAACTGAGCTGGAAAATTATTGAGGTAGAGATTTAGAGATTTGGCACAGCAATCTTCCTAATAAAAACGGCACAAGCAGGACCCCTCTTGCTATTGTTACATGTTAAATCTTATTTGACTGATTTTACTGTATTCTAAATTGCAAACATAAGGTAGAAGGTTGTAATTATAGTTTCACTGATTCATCATTAAGTTTTAATCAAGCTGTTGCTACAGGGAATGGTTATTATTTTGGCACTGTTCTTTTGTTTCTAAGTTTCCTTAATAGTTGCTACAAGAAAGTAACTGTGGCTATATTCAACACAAACAAAATATGTTATTGTTTCTAACCAATCTGTCTAACATAATAATCTATCAAAGCAAATGTGTTACAGAATAATGATTGCACTAAAGTATTTCTTATAATCTCTAGGTTACTATACCTTTCTGACCATTGACAGCTATAAATGTTTTCTATTCCTATTTCTTTTTATTTTACAAATGAAAATTTATGTCCTCTAAATTCACCTGTTGGTTTCTCTTAATCTTGGCAACCATACTTCCATGAATCTGAAATCAAAAGTTTATCTTCTATGAGACTAAAACAGGTTACTAAAAAAAGAAAGGCGTAATATGTATATAAGCATTTATTGAGAAAATTCATACTGAATGGCTTCAGGAAGTTTAAGATCAAAGATTATTAGAGCATCAGAACCAATATTTCCACAAACTTCATAAATTTGGCAAACTTCTCAGCATACTAAACCATAACTGAATTTAAAGTCCATTTAAGGTCAATATTGGCAGGGTGCAGTGTCTCATGTCTGGATTACAGCACTTTGGAAGGCCACAGTGGAAGAACTGCTTGAAGCCAGGAGTTCAAGACTAGCCTGGGCAACATAGTAAGACCCCATCTTTACAAAATTGTTTTAAAAAATTAGCCAGGCATAGTGGCACCTGCCTACAGTCCCAGCTACTCAGGAGGCTAAAGTGAGAGGATCACGTGAGCCCAGAAGTTACAGGCTACAGCAGCTATGACCACATCACTGCTCTTCAGCCTGGTTGACAGAGTGAGACCCCATCATTCATTCATTTGTAAATATGTGTGTGTGCATTTGTGTGTGTGTGTGCATATATATATATATTTATATTTATATTTAAATAGCCAACATCAAGAAGTATTTCATGTGTAAAGTCCTAAATCTATGTACCCACTGCTGACCAATTGTCCTCTTAAGATTCTCTAGGGGCCTGGCGCGGTGGCTGACACCTGTAATCCCAGCACTTTAGGAGGCTGAGGTGGGCGGATCACGAAGTCAGGAGATCAAGACCATCCTGGCTAACATGGTGAAACCCCGTCTCTACTAAAAATACAAAAAAAAATTAGCCGGGTGTGGTGGCGGGTGCCTGTAGTCCCAGCGACTCGGGAGGCTGAGGCAAGAGAATGGCGTGAACCTGGGAGGCAGAGGTTGCAGTGAGCCGAGATCGCGCCACTGCACTCCAGCATGGGCGAAAGAGCAAGACTCCGTCTTAAACAAAATAAAAACAAAGATTCTCTAGGAATTGCCAGGCCTGGTGGCGCACACCAGTAGTCTCAGCTACTGAGGATCTCTTGAGGCCAAGAGTCTGAAGCCAACATGGGCAAATTACCAAGAGCCCAGCTCCATAGCAACTATAAATAGGTGTTTGATAATTGGCCTTACCAGCTCAGGGACCACAGAACCCCCAAAAGACACAATGTAGGTAAGAATGTCCTTATCTGTTGTATCTCCAGTCTCATGGATACTTGTTTCCTAATTCTAAAATCTACCTACCCCACCTCCCATGCCTAACAGTCCACATATCAAATGTTATGACATAATATTTGTAAATCTTAGAAACTTAGAGCCTTTTCCAAGGCTCCAATTTTTTAAAAATATTAGTTACAGATACTAGGAGCATCAGAATATAAACGACTTTCTACAAATAAAAAGATGTATGATTAACATGAGAAATCTAATAGCTACTATATGCCCTACCTATTATATCACTTTCTATTTTTTTGGACTGAAAGTTTATAAACTGAGGAAAGCCTGCCCTTCAACATGGCAAAATAACTTTCAGGCAAGATGGCCCCAGGTGAAATGAAGTGGCCAGGTTCTTTTTTTGTTGCTTGCTCTCAACAATGTACCAACAAATGTAAGTATACATACTCCAGACTAACTGCATGTAACGAGACTGTGTGTCAGGACATAATCACCTAAATTAATTTTAAAAAGAAACCAACTACTAACAGATGCTACAACACGGATGAACCTGGAAAACACTACACTAGCTGAAAAAAGTCAGTAACAAAAGACCACATATTGTAGGATTCCATTTATATCAAATGTCCAAAATAGGCAAATTCATAGAGATAGAAAGTAGACCAGTGGTTGCCTAGGAGTGGGGAGGGTTGGGGTGAAATGGGGATTGTGACTGCAATGGGTAAGAGCTTCCTTTGGGGAGAGATGTTTTAAAATGGACGCTGGCAAAGGTTGTACAACTCTGTGAATATGGTGTAAACCACTGAATTGTACACTTTAAAGGGGTGAACTGTATGGTATGTGAACTGTATCTCAATAAAGCTGGTTTCTTTAAAAAAAAATCTTCTTCATGTTAACTTTTACTTTTGTGTTACCTCTCTTTCCATATCCCCAGTTCACTTATTCTTAAACAAGGAATATTAGGTTACTAAACAGTTTGTAGATTCTTGTTCAAACTTCCTAAAGAAAAAAAGTGCATCAAAAACAAATTCACAATATAACACAATTTTTAATGTAAATGTTATAAAGGTTAATTCATTTCCCAAGTTTCCTATGTAAACATATGCCATTACTTTTCTAATTACAAAGAAAAGTGTGATTTGATAAAAGGCTTACAAACTTAAGACCTTTATCTTCACTGTGTTGTCCATTTCTATTATGCCCATCACAAGGATGGGGGTTTAATAAGACTGCATGAATACCAGGCTGTGTGATTTGAAAATAACACTAATAAGCAACATAAAAGGCTGTCCCTCAGCATTGTGCAGAAGGGGTAGGGAGAAAGATAAGTTAATGAGGGGAATGAAGAAACTTTTATTTGTATTATACATTTCTCCTCTGCATTAGTTTTGAGGTTTTGTTTTTTTTTTTTTTTTTAATCATAACTGTGTTTACGATTTCGGTTTAAAATATCAATTTTGGCCAGGCACAGTGGGTCATGCCTATGATCCCAGTACTTTGGGAGGCTGAGTCAGGAGGACTACATGAGACCAGGAGTTCGAGACCAGTCTGGAAAACATAAAGAGACCCCCATCTCTTCAAAAATAGAAACAAAAAATAAATATCACTTACACTTACCACTTACAGTACTGTGTTCTACTTTGACTGAAATTATTTACAAAAGAGTTTTTTGTTTGTTTTTTGTTTTTTTGAGACAGAGTCTCGCTCTGTCGCCTAGGCTGGAGTGCAGCGGCTTGATCTCGGCTCACTGCAAGCTCTGCCTCCCGGGTTCATGCCATTCTCCTGCCTCAGCCTCCCAAGTAGCTGGGACTACAGGCACCCACCACCACACCCGGCTAATTTTTTTTTTTGTATTTTCAGTAGAGACGGGGTTTCACGGTGTTAGCCAGGATGCTCTCGATCTCCTGACCTCATGATCCACCCACCTTGACCTCCCAAAGTGCTGGGATTACAGGCGTGAGCCACCGTGCCCGGCCAAGAGTTTGGTTTTTAAACACATGGTAGGAACAGACTGCCTATTTTTTGTCACTGTTGCCAATTTTACTTCATTATAATGACACAACTAATGATCTGTAATGACAATGTCTCTGCAGTATTCACTAAAACTGGCCCTGTGGGCTATTGTTATTAAGTTCCAATTATGCTTGAAAAAGTCTATCTTCTTTACTTGTTGGGTGCAAAGTTTTACATGTATCAACAGACCAATCTTGTCATTGTGTTGTTCAAATCTTCTATGGCCTTAGTAAGTTTATGCCTACTTCGAGAGAGAGATGTGACTATCTCCAACTAAGACTACAGTTTTCTTCATTTCTCCATAAAATTCTGTCAGTTTTTGCTTTATATGTTTTGAGACTATGTTATTCAGTGCAGGTTCGGGCTTGTTACATCTCCTGAAAGAACTGTTCCAGTATCATTGTGCACTGGTCTCTTTGTTTTTTGCCTTACGTATTTTTTCCTAATATTAATATTATTCCACAAACTATTTTTCAATTAGTATTAGGGTTTCATCACAGAAGCAAAACCACTATGAGTGATAAGGATTATAGAGATTTGACCAGTAATTATGGGAGCTAATTAAGCAGTTTGTATAGGGCTGTTGCTTCTCCATCTAGTGTTGGGATAGAAATCAAAGGGCAGGCAACAGGGAAGGAAAGATGGATGTGAAGTTGGGGAAGAACAAGGACAGACTGGAAGTCACATTTATTTCTCACCAATCTGTGACAGAGAATTTGCAGTATAAGCTGGCACCCTTCATGACAGAGCCCACAAATCTGACCTAGAATTTGGAGAAGCTGATGGAAAAGAACCAGTGGGAGCTGGAGGAGCTGGAAGCCAAACGTCAACATGGTGATACAGCCAAGTCAGTGACAGGGTGTGTGAGCTGCAACAGTGCCTGACCATATACCAACCTTCTGAGCAGAAATACAGCTCTTCACTTCTACCTTACAAAGAACATGCAAATTTCTCTTGTGGCTGACCCAAACTGAAACTATTTCGGAAAGGAAATTCTCGGAAAAGTAGTTCCAGCTCAGTTGTACCGACACAATACAAAGCTGTCACAATTCGAATGGATATTTTCTTCCACTCTTTGTCTTTTTTCCATATAATTATGTTTTACATCTGTCTCTTGTAAATTACACATAGCTAGAATTCTTCTTCTGTCCTATATAAGGCTCTGTCTTTTAGTTGTCAGGCTCTATCTTCGAACTGTCATATTTAATCCATTTACATTTATTGCCATTTATGACTTTCATAATTTAAAAATAATTTTTAAAAAATGAAATAAATATGTACTGAAAATATATGCATGATGTGCATTTCTGAAGTATTTTATACACAAAACTTGTTACTTACCACTTCTCCAGCAGAGGCAGCCAACATATGTTTCATAGGTGTCAAATATGAAGATGAATCAGCATGCAAAAACCACTTCACATATTCATAGGTGATAAAAAATGCAGCAGCTGAAATTTAAAACAAGCCAGTCTTTCACAAAGTTTAAACATATATTCACACTGTTAAGAAACATGTTTCTCAAAAAGTATGACAATAATTATTAAATTATGAGATAAGAGAAAAGGTGATAAGCACATATCTTTTCTTCCTACCCCCACTCTTTCAGAGTTTACTGACGCCATGGTATATGCCTGATCTTAGACTTACAAAAATGCAGAAAATATAACACCTACCCTGAAGGAGCACAAGTGCTAATCTAGCACTTACCGTGTTGTACTGACAAATTACTTATACATTTTTAAAGTCAACTTTAGAAAAGGATATGAATTTCTGTGATCCAAAATATCATTATGGATGGCCATAAAACAATCAACTACATTGATGAATAAACAGGTTAAAATTGCAAACATACTTTAAAGAAAATGTCTATTCTATAATGTTTTATTACTGGTTACTCAAAATAATCATGGCTATTTTTTACTGCATGAATTCACTTTTACATCAAGAAAACAATCAGCCATTTAATTAAAATCTCTAAAAACCTCTAAAAAGCTACCCCTATCACAATGAACTAATCATAGCTGCATATGACGGCTTTAAAACTTTCTATGTACTGTTAACCAAAAAATGTTTATCAGTTGGATAAAAGATAAGGCACAAGAGATAAAGGAATGACAAATTCATCTTCTGAAGGGCATCTGAACATGTCACTAACTCTGAAACACTAAGGAAAACAGCTTGATGGTGAAAATCAGTTCTCCAAAGTCAACAAAAGCTTGTAAAGGATCTTCACGTGCTAACAAATATACACTAGGCTAAATGAAGAGGCACTCTGTCCATGAATGAATAATGACCAGTTCAGGTAGTTTTACCTGGTTAACACAAGTCTATTCCCATTTGTGTTTCTTCATGTGATTTTTCCCACTTCAGCCCACTTAATAAATGTGCAGCTATAATACCTCTAATTGCATTCAGCTGTTAAGTTCTGCCACTCTACATCCTACCCTCCTAACCCCCAAGAAAAGGGAGAGAGACAGTGGTAAAACTTCCTCCATTTCATGGTTAACCACCTCAACTTCATCTGACTTTATGGCTTCTTTTGTAACATAAAAGGTTCTTTAAGAATATAAGTTCCAAACCTCCCTCCACCCTCCAGGTGGCATCCAAGAAGGCCTCTACTAACTGCAAATGTCAGTACAGTCAGGTTCCAAGTTGGGGGCTGAACAAGTTAAAGCAAAGAATAGGGGCTGGGCTAGCTGATGCCTATAGTTCCTTCTGGCTCTTTAAAAAAAAAAAAAGCTATGCTTTCTCTACATTCCCTTCAAAATAGGGACTAAGGCTCCTAAACATGGTCTTCTCTTCACCTCTTTCCATCTTTGTTTCCCTCTAGCCCCACCCCAACCCCTCACTCCTGCAGCATAGGTTTACAAAAACATCCACATCCACTGATGATCAACTACAGTGAAGTTCTGTACTTAGATTAAAACCGTAACCAATAGCAAAAGAAAAAAGACACCACACACAAAAGTCCAATTCTTTCAAACTTGGCAGTAAAACAAGGCTATTTTTGAACCCTGGTACTCTGACTTTTCCCTAGCATCTCCCATTCACTGAAGTTTCATGGATGGCAAAAATAATACTAATAATTCAAAACCACATTATATATGTAAACTCCCGAGGGAAGAATGTAAAACCTGTGATCTTAATGACATCACTATGTAACCTACGCACTACAGCTAATTGTACATCTTCCCAAAATAATCTTTCTATGCAATATGTAAGATAAAAGGATCTTTAGAAGAATGAGTGTAGAGACACCATAAAAAATGGTGACCAAAAGATAGGGACTTTGTGACATGTTTCTTTGCAATTCCCTAGTTCAGAGGTTCTCAAACTTGTCTGAATTTAAGAATCATCCTGGGATTTTTTTTATAACATCCAATGCCCAATCCACACCTCAGACCAATTAAGTCACAATGTGTAGGGTTGGGTGACAAGCAGCAGTACAGGTGATCCTTGAACACGGGTTTAAACGCACAGGTCCACTTACACATGGCTTTTTTTCAATAAATATACTGGAAAAATTTTTGGAGATTCGTGATAATTTGAACAAACTTATAGATGAACCACATAGCCTAGAAATACCAAAAAATTAAGAAAAGGTGGCCAGGTACGGTGGCTCACGCCTGTATTCCCAGCACTTTGGGAGGACGAGGCAGGTGGATCACGAGGTCAGGAGATCGAGACCATCCTTGGCTAACACAGTGAAACCCCGTCTCTACTAAAAATACAAAAAAATTAGCCGGGTGTGGTGGCGGGTGCCTGTAGTCCCAGCTACTCAGGAGGCTGAGGCAGGAGAATGGCATGAACCCAGGAGGCGGAGCTTGCAGTGAGCCAAGATCGCACCACTGCACTCCAGCCTGGGTGAAAGAGTGAGACTCTGTCTCAAAAAAAAAAAAAAAAGAAAAGAAAAGGCTAGCCCTGTCATGAATACATAAAATATATTTAGATACTAGCCTATTTTATCATTTACTAACATAAAATATAAAAAGTTAAAATTCATCAAAACTTACAAACACAAACCATATAGCACATCATTCATAGTTAAGAGAAATGTAAACAAATGTAAAGATGGGCCAGGCACAGTGGCCCACATCAGTAATCCCAGCACTTTGGGAGGCTGAGGCTTAAGCTCAGGAGTTCAAGACCAGACTGGACAACATGGAGAAAGTCCATCTCTACAAAAAAATAAATAATTAGCCAGGTGTGGTTGCCCACACCTGTAATCCCAGCTACTTGGGACTGAGGTGGGAGGATCACCTGAGCCTGGGAGGTTGAGGTTGCAGTGGGCCAACGTCATGCCACTGCACTCCAGTCTGGGCAACGGAGTGAGACCTGGTCTCAGGGGGAAAAAAATGTATAGTGTTAAATCATAACTGCACAAAATTAACTGTAGCACATACTATACTACTGTAGTAACCTCTTTGCCACCTCCTCTTGCTATTATAGTGAGTTCAGGTGTTGCGGAGTATCCACTTAAAATGCCACGTGACACTAATTATCTCCACAGGAGCAGTTCATGGCCGCAATAAATTGCCTATCACAGAGCAAAAGGATCTCTCCCAGTTCTTATGTATTTTTTGTCGTGGTTAGTGCCATACCACAAACTTTGAATAACACCACAGGACCCAGATGAAGTGCCACTAGTGATGCTGGAAGTGATGACATTTCAAGAAAGCTCCTAAGAAGCAGAAAGGAGTCATGACATTACAAGAGAGAGTCAAATTGCTTGTTAGGTACCACAGACTGAAACCTGAAGCTGTGGCTGCCAGCCATTTCAAGATGAATGAATCCAGCTTAATCCACTGTTAAAAAAAAAAAAAAAAAAAAAAAAGAAAGAAAGGAAACTCATTAACCCATCGCTGCAGCTATGCCAGCAGGCATGAAAACTTCACACTTCCTGCAAAGTACCTTTTTTCTTGTTTTGAAAATGCAGCTTTCATGTGGGTAAAGGGTTGCTATAATAAAGGCATACTTACTGTCTCTAAAATGATTTGAGAAACAGCAAAGTCATTTCATGACAAGATCAAACAAAAGGAAGGTGAAAGATCTAAAGCTGAAGAAGTTAATGCCAGCCAAGGATGGTTTGATAATTTTAGAAAAAGATTTGGCTTTAAAATGTCAAGATAACAGGAGAAGCAGCTTCTGCCATCCATGAGTCAGTAAACAAGTTCCCAGCTGCCATTAAGTAAATTATTGAGCAGAAAGGACATCTGCCTGAATAGATTTCTAATGTAGATGAGAGTGCCCTGTTCTGGGAAAAGAAAAATGTCACCAAGGACATTTATCAGTAAGAAGAGAAGTAGGCAAATCCTTCACAGTATTCATGACAGAGCCAATCAAGAAAACCATAAAAGAGATTGTGGATGTGGCAAAAAAAAAAAAAGGTTGGGGATGAAGGGTTTCAAAACATAGATCTTAAATTCAAGAGCTAACAGACACCACACCAGAGGAATTAACAGAAGACAACTTGGTGGAGATGAGTGCTTCCAAACCAGTGTCAAATGACAAGGGAGAAGATGTAGAAGAAGGAATGCCAGAAAAGAAAATGACATCAGACAATCGAGCAGAAAGGTTCTGATTATTAAAGACTGCTTTTGACTTCCTTTATGACAAGGACCCTTCTATACAATATGGGCATTGAAACTAAAGCAAATGGTGAAAGGATTGGTACCATAAAGAATCATTTTTAGAGAAATGAAACAGCAAAAAGGTGAGACAGAAACTATGATAAATTTCCATAAAGTTACACTATGTGAGCCTGCTTCTCTTGCCTCCCCTTCCACCTCCTCTACTTCTTCTGCCTCTGCCACCCGAGACACCAAAACCAAGTCCTCTTTTTCCTCCTCCTCCTCAGCCTACTCAACATGAAGACCTTATGATGATCCACTTCCACTTACTGAATATACGTTTTCTCTTCCTTATGATTTTCTTAGTATTTTTTCTCTGGCTTACCTGATTGTAAGAATACAGTATATAAAACATTTGCCAGGCGCAGTGGCTCACACCTGTAATCCCAGCACTTTGGGAGGCCAAGGCAGGCAGATCACGTGACGTCGGGATAACATGGTGAAACCCCGTCTCTACTAAAAATAAAAAAATTAGCCAGGTGTGGTGGCGTGTGCCTGTAATCCCAGCTACTCAGGAGGCTGAAGCAGGAGAATTGCTTGAACCCAGGAGGTGGAGGCTGCAGTGACCAGAGATGGCGCCACTGCACTCCAGCCTGGGGGGTGACACAGCAAGACTCCATCTCAAAAAATAATAATAATAATAATAAAACACATAAACATGTGTTAATACATATCTTAACACACAAAGTATGTGTTAATCAACTGTTTATGCTATCATTAAGACAGCAGCAGGCTATCAGTAGTTAAGTTTTGGGGGAGTCAAAAGTTATATTCTGATTTTTGACTGCACAGGGGATCGACACCCCTAACTGCCAAATTGTTCGAGGGTCAACTGTATTTGTTTAAGCTCTTCAGTAATCAGGTGATTCCAAAGTGGACAAATTGGGGAACCCATGCCCCTCTCACGTACTTAAAACTATGCTTGGCATGGAGTGGATGCTCACTTAACAACTTGTTACAATTACTCAGAGTATTAACATACACAAAAATCGAAAGATGACCAAAACAGTTTGCCATTCTAATGATGGCTGGGGGATGGGGAAGGGCAGGAGAAAAAAAGAAACAGAAATACTGTTTTTCTCTTTGCACTACAAACCTTTATGTGAATGCTATGCTCACAGAATGAACATTTAAATGTCAGGTTAACGTAAGAGAAAAAAATTCTCATGAATCATCCTGCGAAAAACAAAAGCAATCCCCAGAATTTAAGAATCTTCTAGAGCTGTGGTTTTGTGGGTGTGTCTTATATATGGTGATTTTTTGTTTTGTTGCTTTAGTTTACTTTCAAATGCCACTAGAGGCATCCAACAGTAAACAATTAAAATAAGTATCTGCAAACAGTATACCAAGAAGCAGATTAAACAAAACAGATTACATTGACTAAAGAGTAAGAGCGTCATAAGTCACATGACTTCAGAACCAAAACAAAAGACATTGGAAGGACAGTATCCAGGAGAACATTAGTGAGAAACACTTGCATCATGTAAGAGCAATTTAATTAGGATAGAAATGTGTAATGCCTCTTAGGTTCACCTGCTCTCTAAGATGCTCCAAAGCAGCTATTATCAAACTTGGCTTCACAGCGGAGTCACCTTGGAAGTTATTAAAACTCCTAATACCCAGGCGAAGCCTAGACCAATTAAACTTCTAGGATGACACAGGACATCAGTATTTTTTAAGGCTTCCCAGTAGATTCTAATGTGCAGGCAAAGTTGAGAATGATTGTTCTGAAGAATCACAGCATTAAAATAACACTTTAAGGATTCTAGTTGGAAATTTTAACAACAGAAACAATTTTTAAAAGATTGCTTTTTTTTTCCCTACTACAAATATATTGAAATGGAATCTATAACACTATCTGATTCAAAAATAATGGGTTAGGCCCAGCACAGTGGCTCATGCCGACTATAATCCCAGCACTTTGGGGAGCCCAAGATGGGCAGATTGCTTGAGCCTAGGAGTTCAAGACCAGCCTAGACAACATGGCAAAACCCATTCTCTACAAAAAGTACAAAAATTAGCTGGGCATGGTGGTGCACGCCTGTAGTCCCAGCTACTTAGGGGGCTGAGGCAAGAGGATTTCTTGAGCCCAGGAGGTCAAGGTTGCAGTTAGCTATTATCTCACCACTGCATTCCCACCTGGGCGACAAAGTGAGACCGTGACTAAAATAAATAAAAAATAATAATGACACCAGGTTAAAGAAGGAAATTCAGAAGATAAGCTTCAACACACAAGGAATTCTATGGGGGTAAGACCACACACCATTCTGAAAATCCCATCTTATCTTGGCTTTACAGAAGTGAGAATATAATTTTTTACCATTAGGAAAGGATCCAATAGCAGCAGAAGGAACGCCAGCATATATTCCATGAAAACCACCAGCCTTACTAAATCCTTGGGGACTCTGCAGCCTGGTTTTAATGGTATCCAGAGGAAATAATATCAAGTCAACAGAAACACCTGCTACCCCACCAGCCTTTGAAAAAAAAAGAGGGAAGAAAAAGAAAAAAAAAAGGTTACAACAAAATAAGCTCTCGGCCACTTGGGGGCGAAGATAGGAAGACAGTCTTTAAAGCACATTTCTCATTCCTTTCAGTCCACAACTTCTGCGGCACAAAGGACCGTCAGCCTAAATCTACAAGTTTTCCTGGGAAAATAGCCATTATTGTGCTATATTTTTAAGTTGTAAATTTTATATTTTCTTTTTAAATCAATTTTTAATAAAAAAATTTTTAAACAAAATTTAAATTCATTGTTAATATAGTACTCACATGGTTCAAAAAGCCAAAAAAAAAAAAAAAAAAAAAAAAAAAGTCCAGATGTGGTGGCTCATGCCTCCCAGCAGTATGGGAGGCAGAGGTGGGAGGATCACTTGAGGCCAGGAGTTCAATACCAGCCTGTGCAACACAGTGAGACATCATCACTACAAAAAATAAAAAATTAAGCTGGGCATGGTGGCACATGCCTGTAGGTCCAGCTACTTGGAAGGCTGAGGAACAAGGATAACTTGAGCCTAGGAGTTCAAGGGTTCAGTGAGATGTGATCCCACCACTGCACTCCAGCACAGGTGACAGAGCAAGACCCTGTCTCTTAAAAATAAATAGCCAACAAGAACAACAAATAAACTTCAGAAAAAAGGTAAAGAGCTCAAAGTCTCCTTCCAATCTTGTTCCTAATAACTCAGGTAAACCACTTTTATTGGTTTCTTGCTGTATCCTTCCAAAGTTACTTTAAACATATATAAGCATGTATGAACATATAGTCTCATTTTCTTTAAAAAGAAAAGATGATGTACAATATGCACTATTCTGTACTTTTTTTAACGATTTATCTTTTCACGTCAGACCAAATGTTATATTGTTGTCTTAACTAATAAGCAGTGAATCCGAATTGACTCCTTTCAGACTGGAATTTTGAAACAGCTTATAATCTCTGTGAATCTGGATCTGTATTTTAATAATCACACATCTAAGGACTCATACAGTATTCTCTTTGCTTTAAATGTATTTGAAAATTCCTTGATAATTTTTAAATCAAGTGAATAAATTGATTTTTTTAAGAGCTAAATTCCTAAAGGAAATTAAAATCTGGCCCAAACTAGTCATCTCCCAAGAGATACCATGTTGCTTTGGGGAAGCTGTACTTTAAAAACTGATTAATTTCTGCTAAATGGATTTTGGGGGGAAAAAACTGATTAAGAACTAACTCTGTACCTCATGATTATAGTGACAAATATGTAGAATATTTTTAAACTCGTTACACCTTAGTCAAAGAAAACAGAAATTGACAAAATATGAACACGAAGAGCATCAAAGAAAGGCTAATACATATGAATCCTTACATGTGTGATTATTAAAATACAGATCTAGATTCACAAGGATCATTAGTTGTTTCAAAATGTGGGTCTCAAAAATGTCAATACAGATGCACTACTTACTAGTGAAAAAGACAAAAACATAACGTTTGTTCTGATACGAAAAGATCACCCAGATCTAAAGGCATCATTTAAAGATGTGAGTCAAAGTCAGTTTACAGCAGGCAGGCAGAGGCATTATAAAGAGGAAACTTTCCTACATAGTAATTTTTTAACTAAATTGCTATTTTTTGCTATATTTTGAAATCAGAACCATGTAAATACATTACCTATTCAAAAAGTAAAAATACACATTTTTAAACTATACATTTCATGACAAAGGAAAAAAAGATCATCAGTATTATTCAAACATACAATTGAACTTCAAACTGATTGTTTCCATCCTTCGAGTTTACAAAATGTGCAATGCTACAAAGCTTGGTACCTAGCAAATACTATCTGCTTTACTTACCGCTCACCATAAAACCATCCCAGGAGTTAACTTGAAAAATGAAATACTTTAATGATAAATCCAATACCTATTTTCAAATTAACTAGCACAGGTTAATTATTAAAAATTAATTTACACTAGACAAGTACATTACTATAAATAGTAATACTATACTTCATGATCAGCCCAAAGACATTAAAGAAGCCCAAAGACCCTGAAGTTCTAATCTGCAAATTACCTAAGAAGACGTCACCCAAAAGGGCACAGAGATGTGCCAGTAGAGAAACCAAGTAGTACCAAAAGAATATCCAATAACGTGGGATTTCTTTCTGGATATAAAGGTGGCCTTCCCTAAGTCATGGGAAAAAGTTCACAAGTAATGTAGGAAAGTAAAAAGGCCAATTGTCAAAACTCTTCTTAATTCTTGTTTCAGGATTTTTATAAAATTCAGTAAGTAGAGCCGGGCATGGTGGTATGTACCTGTAATCCCAGCTACCTGGGAGGCTGAGGCAGGAGGATCGCTTGAGCCCAGGAATTTGAGATTACAGTGAGCTATGATTATGCCCATGAATAGCCACCACGCTCCTGCCTGGGCAACACAGGGAGACTCATCTCTAATAATAATTTGGTAGGCAAATATTTTGCATGCCTCCTCGTTTTCTCAAAATACAGAGAGAATAGAACCCTGGCGAAAATGTCTCGTGCGACTAGATTATTTAAAAACATGCTGCACTTCACTCTAATTTTCTCTTTAATCTTAGGAGAGAATTCAGAGAAGTGCTATCTACTGCTAAATTTTAATCAATAATTACTCTTTCAATCTAGTTGGCTACCTTACATGTATTGATTCTCTAACCCTTCTTTCATCACAATTATTATCTTCTGAGGAAAAAAATGACCAGATTCAATTTACTTGTCTGGTAAAACATCACTCAAGGATTACTAAACGCTTCTATCGATTTCAAACTTCTATATAACTCAAATGTCATTTAAATTCATGCGACTGAAAAAAAAGAAAAACAGCTAACAGAGAACCTGAAGAATAAGAATACCTATATATTTATCCACACAACCACATATTTCAGATTTAAACAAAATCCTTAAGGAATGCCTATATCAATATTGTTTTGTATGTAATTATGTAAAAAATATATAAGCCAGTAACAACCTAATTATAAAGAACTCCATCAAACTCTTTTATTCTTTAGCCTGAAAATGTTATTTTGCTATAATCATCTATCAGAAAGTTATCAGGCAAGTGATTCATTTCATAATTTATGGTAGCTTATACCGAAAAGTTCTAACTAGAAAAAAATCCAAAGAAATAGGACATAACCCAGATAACCAGCAAACCTTGCTACAGCATCACAATGTATCGAGACCTCAATATCTTATAGATAAAATACATGTCTCTACCTTAAGTTAATAAACGTATGAAGTGTTGGCAGACTGTAGAGAGGAAGTGCCCAATTAGTGCTCTGCAATTACTCTGAGAAGTTATAGGTCAGAATTACATGCTATAAAACTTTTTTTCTCAAAAGGAGGAGGGCACACCATAAAAACAGCATTGCTGCTCCCCTCTAGGGCAAAACCAAACCATCTGTGTAATGTAACTAAGCAAAATTAATAGAGGCCACTGGCCTAAACGACAGCTAAGAAGAGCCAGCCATAACATTAACATGGCTTCTCAAGGGAAACATTCCCGACAGTCTCGGTTTCCTCCACCATGAAGTTGCCACCCATGACTTGAACCACCATCTTCCTCACTGCAGAACTGCCACCTCTGCTTTCTGACATACCTGTCGTCTTCCCCACTTCCCATTCATTCTCCCTGCAGTGCTCGCTGCCTCTCTGTACTAATCATTTTCATAAAATCCAAATTTCATCTTGCCACTCTCCAGCCTATAAATCTTCCAAACTTTCCAACAGCCCCGAGGATGAAGAAGAAAATCCTAGCACAGCCTTCCAGGCTCTGGAGGTTCTGGAGCCCCTCCAACTCCCAAAACTCGCACTATGTGCCCTTTGTTCAGTCCTTTCTTTCCACCTGGATCTTTTCCTCTAAATCATCTGATCTTCCTCATTTCAAGGAGTTTGTACAGATGCCCCCTAATCTCCAGTTCAGGTTTAGATCTTGTTGTTTCCAAGCACTGAACACAATTTTAATTACATAGTTTTGCCTCTGACCATTTGTTCAGTACCAGTCCAATTAAACCACAAGATCTATATCTGTTTTGTTTACTAATATGTTTCCAGCACCAGCACATATTAATAGGAGGCATTCAATGGCTCTAATAAAGGGTTACTATCTATATTTTAGAAGGCACTACAAATCAACCTTAAAAAGGTACACTGAATTTTTTTCAAAAATAGCAAAAGACAGGACCAGGCAATTCCCAAAAGAAAAATATAAATGACTAACAAAAATATGAAAATATGATTCTCTGTCATTATCAAATAAAAACAAAATGTTTTCCCAATTAGAAAAAAATTAAAAATATGAAGAATGGGTACAGGCACTGTTAACGAAAACATTACCATAATCTACTGGAGGACAATTTGGCAAAATGAACATTTTAAATTATCAAACCTTTGATCCAGTTATTACTAAGCATTTCTTCCACAGAAATAAATGCACAAATATACAAGAATGTCTACTACAGCATTTCTGTAATAATAAAAAATTGAAAACAACCTAAAAGTCCATCCACTGGGGCCCTGTTAAGTAAATTAAGCTATACACAAATAATGAATTGCTACATAGCCTTTAAAACAACAAGGTAGGCTGGGTGCAGTGGCTCATGTCTGTAGTCCTAGCTGCTGGGAGGCTGAGGTGGGATGCTCACTTGGGCCCAGGAGTTTGAGGTTGCAGTAAGCTATGATCACGCCACTGCCCTGCACTCTAGCTTGGGCAACAGAGCAAGATCCTGTCTCTAATCAAAAAAAAAAAAAAAATGAGGTAAACCCATACTTATTGGCACAGAAACATACACTATATTCTTAAATTAATCAAATTAGCTATAAAACAATATATGCTATATAATCCCATCTTTTAAAATGTGTAACTATTTGTATATGCATAATTAGAAGTCTGGAACATAAACAGTAAATTGCTAGAAATTATTGCCTCTGTGGAAAGAGATTCAGGATGAGAAATACTACTGTTAATAATATTTCTTGTTAATTTTTTAACAATTAATTTTTAAATAATTTTTAACAATTTTAAATAACAAGAATTATTAATTTTTTAAACAACCTTGTTAATTTTTTATTTGCTCAAGTTTTGTAATGAATATTACAAATATATAAAAGCTAAGCCATTCAAAATTCATGCTTCCCCTGGGGAAAAAAAAAATCTCTAATTTACTGGTTGTACTTGATATATAGAAGCCACTCAGCAAACGGTAACTAAGAACCTCAACCTACTGACCCTAAGCTACCTCCTCTGCAGCTTCATGAAGCTTCACCCTCTATAGACCTTGGAGTGTTCAACCAATCTGACTACTCGAACATCTCAAACACGTCCTGAAACAATTTATTTTTTGAGATGGAGTCTCACTCTGTCACCCCATCTGGAGTGCAGTGGCACAATCTCAGCTCAATGCAACCTCTGCCTCCCAGGTTCAAGCGATTCTCCTGACTCAGCCTCCGGAGTAGCTGAGACTACAGGCACATGCCACCATGACTGGCTAATTTTTATATTTTTAGCAGAAGCAGAGTTTCACCCTGTTGGCGAGGCTGGTTTTGAACTCCTGACCTCAGGTGATCCACCAGCCTTGGCCTTCCAAAGTGCTGGGATTACAGGCATAAGCCACTGCACCCAGTTGTTTCCTAAAACTTCTCATTCCTGTGCTTCTGCTTAGGTTTTTCTCTCAGTCTAAAATTCTGGTTTTTTTTTGTTTTTTTTTTTTTTGAGACAGAGTTTTGCTCTTGTTGCCCAGGCTGGAGTACAATGGCACGATCTCGGCTCACTGCAACCTTCACCTCCCAGGTTCAATTGATTCTCCCGCCTCAGCCTACCAAGTAGCTGGGATTACAGGCGTGAGCCACCATGCCCGGCTAATTTTTTGTATTTTTAGTAGAGACAGGGTTTCTCCATGTTGATCAGGCTGGTCTTGAACTCCAAACCTCAGGTGATCCGCCCACCTCAGCCTCCCAAAGTGCTGGGATTACAGGCATAAGCCACCACGCCCGGCCTAAAATTCCCTTCTTATCCTTGTCTCCTGCCTATTGCAGCCAGCAAACCACCATCGCCTCCACCCCCCTACATACATACATGCACACACACACCCCTGACAAAATCCTCTCCGTTCTTAAAGCTGCAACCCAATGCCACATTCCTCATAAAGCCTTTCCCAATTTTCCAGTCAGAATTAAATGCTATGTCCTTGACTCTAGTATATAATGTTGTTTATATTTCACTTTTGGTACTAACCATCACTCTAGTATATAATGTTGTTTATATTTCCTTTTGGTACTAACCATCATGTCTGACGTTTAGATCCTTCAGAGTAGAAACCAGATCAGTCACCTGCCTTCCTAAATATCTAACCGAGTGTTTCTTATATAGCAGGGGTGCTAAAATAGAAACGTGGGATGATGAGATAACACTTTGTAAAAAGAGGAAATGTTCAGAAAAAATCTTGCAGTCAAGCACTGCTTGGTGGTCCCTGTTCTGGTCTGCCACAGCATGTGTGACAATCAAAAGTCAGGGTCAGCTATCTGCTGCTATTCTTCGCAGCATTCCTCAGCCACCATGACCACTTTGTGGAATACTCAGGGGGACTTCTCCAGAAATCTCTGCTTAATATTACCTCCTAATGGAAAGAACTGTGTACATTCAGTTTTTTTTTTAGTGAGGCTATTCTCAAGAATACAATAATAATGGTTCTAGAATCTGACTCGATTATTCTTCCATTTCTCCAGGAATTCTTTCAAATTAAGTATTGCCTAAGAACACAGCTTTGCCATCAAACAGATTTAGCTTCGGTTTCAACTTGGTCTTTGTATTAGTCTGTTCTCACACAGCTATGAAGAAATACCTGAGACAGGGTCATGTATAAAGAAAAGAGGTTTAGTTGACTCACAGCTCCGCACTGCTGGGGAGACCTCAGGAAACTTACAATCATGCCAGAGGGCAAAGGTGAAGCAGGCACCTTCTTCACAGGGCGGCAGGACACAGAGAGTGCAAGAGGGGAAATGCGAGACACTTATAAAACCATCAGATCTCATGAGACTCACTCACCATCAGGAGAACAGCATGGGGGAACTGTCCCCACGATCCAATTACCTCCACCTTTGGTTCGTCCTTGACACATGGGGATTATGGGGATTACAATTCAAGATGAAATTTTGGGTGGGGACCCAGCCAAACCATATCAGTCTTCTTAGGGAAACTAACCTCTCTAAGCCTTTGTTTCTTGACACATGAAACAGGGAAAAGAGTACCTATACTTCATAGAGTTTTTGAGAATTAAATAAAATAAATGAGAACTAAACACAATCAGATGAACCTGTTATATGGTTAGCAAAATGCCTAGGCCTTAATCAATTATCAATAAACTACTATTTTTAGAATTATATTACTATAAACATCCTTCAAAGTTTGCTGGTACCAATACTGACATGCAAATACTAAAAACCACGCAAAAGCCTAAAGAGTACTTTACCAAACACTGAAGATGACATTCCTATATTCAACTCAACTGACAAATTCATATATTAAAATCTGTAAATTCAAGTTTTTCACTAGCAATAATGAATTAAAAGCTCTTCTCAAATTCTGCTCTCTGGACAAGAATCCCCAGTGAACTGACTCAACAGAAACCAAATCATGTGATGCATGACAGGAACATTCAGCATCAACTTCAAAAACTTAAAGAGAAATATAAGTGTTCAAATTGCTTTATGATTCTTGAATTCAAACTTACATGTTAATTTTTTAAAGTAGAATATAAAATTATACCTATATGACCTCAGCTATGAAAAAGTTGCATAAGCACTTTTAAAGTGCTCAGTAAACAGTTAAGTGTTACCACCACTTGGAATTATATAATTAAGTTTCGTTTAGCATCTGCCTCCTACTAGACTCTAAATCCCTGAAGGTGGGGGACCATATTTTTCAGGCATTCAACCCCAAATAACACAGCAAAGGCCAACAAATGTATCTGGTTAAGCATGTAAAAGACACCTGATTTGGGGAGGTGAGATAACTGTGGGTGTAACTTTTATCTTTCCTTTATTTGGAATTTAATTAATGTTACCCAAATTTTGTCTGTATTACAAAAGATTTAATATTTAGAGCAACTTTCAACATGTAGTAGTAGGGTTTGGAAGTGGTAACAAAACCACATTAACAAGTCACTTACAGCTAAGTTATCAAATACTAAAACTTTCCAAGTATGCCTTTCTTAAACAGAAAGAAAAATGAAAAAAGAAAGGTAGTCCCATCTGTGGGTAGTAGAGATGCACAAAAAAATGCCTCCATCACAGTGGTGGTTATCAGTTGTGGTCCTTGCATGATTGGTGCTCTCCAAGCAGTGCTTTGCATGCTCCACGGGCTGAGCAAAATTTGGAATATACTTGTGTTTAGATAATTTCTTGCTCAACACAAAAGCAAGCAAAAAGGGAAGACCTGCTCACTCTGACGTAAATGCCAAAAATAAACAAGTCACACAAGTCCTGAGAAAGAGAAGCATAATTCTCAATTTTTTATAAATTTGGAGATAATCTTTAAAGATGCCCTTTACTCCAAATTGAAAACTAGGAGGTCACTATCCAGAAAAGATAAGAGGCAAAACAAGAAAAACAACAAAACAGAAAACCTCTTTTAATAGTATACCCAATACTTCATTCGTATTACCTTTCTTCACTCCACCCAAGAACCCCTGCCATCATAACCCACATTGTTCCCCTCAAGTATCCTACTGCCTGTAAGGTGGTTCTCAGCAGAAGGGCAGGTCCAGTGAGAAGACACCCAAGTATCACGAAAAAGCTCCCCAGATGACAGCACCAGCCAAAAATCACCTCACTAAAAACAGGAAAACAAAAACTACAAGCGGTCCTCACTTTGCATGGTACCTACATACATGAATTTCAGTTACCATGATTTACTTAAATAACATGAATCTCCCAATGACCCAGGTCAAATTTCAGTTACCACAGCATATTAACTATGAGTAACTGGATAAAGTGTAAACTTCACCACTTGTTCAGTCCACAAATCACAATACAATTAACAGAAATCACTGCCTATTACTCAGTTTACGCACAGACAGCAAATAGTTGTTACCTCATCTCCCAGTAATAAATGCACACGACATTTTATAAAAATAGACAGAAAACTGATGAACAAAGATGAAAATGCAAAAAAAATGAAAAGTGGTAACACAAAGTTAAACAAAAATCAGACATAAATGGTATTAGAGAACAAACAGCTGGCCATGGAAATATTCACACTGCTGTCATTAATCTAGATAAGTAACTAGAAAAAATAAGTGAGAGCAAATTTAACATAAATAAGGAAAGTAGTTGTGATGAAAAGGATGAAAATGTCCCAGACTAAGTTATGTCAGCAAGTCTTCGCATTAAACGAACTCACAACATTGAAAGCACAAAAAATAAAATGTTAGAAGTTGATCCAAACTGAGAAAGCAGTATGACAACTTGCCAAGGCATAAAAAGATGCTTCTTCTATAATACATAATGAGAACACAAGCAAATGTTCAAACTACTGTTGATAAGGTTTTGTCCAAAAAATTAAGTTATTAATGTTTCTAATGTTTTTAATTACAGTGTACTAAATAAACATCAGCTTTGCAATTTTTCCCCTATATATTACAACCAAAGCGTTTTTAATGTTTTGACAAAAATTCTTAGGGTGGGCCAGGTGTGGTGGCTCATACCTGTGACACCTCTTTCTACAAAAAAAATTTTCTAAAAACTGTAAGAACAACATGGGCTGGGCTCAGTGGCTCATGCCTGTAATCTCAGCACTTTGAAGCTGAGTCAGGAGGATTGCTTGAGGCCAGTACTTCAAAACCAGCCCTGGCAACACAGCAAGACCCTGTCTCTACAAAACAAGAAAATTTTTAATTAAAAAATTAGCCAGGCGTGGTTGGTGCATGCCTCTAGTCCCAGCTACTCAGGAGGCTGAGGTGGGAGGATCACTTGAGCAGAGACAGCACCACTGCACTCCAGCCTGGGCAACAGAGGAAGACCTTGTCTCAAAAAAAAAAGAAAAGAACGCACATGAAATGGTTTGGCTCTGGGTCCCCAACCAAATCTCATCTTGAATTGTAGCTCCCATAATTCCCACATGTTGTGGGAGGGGCCTGGTGGGAGGTAATTGAATCATGGTGGCAGGTCTTTCCCATTCTGTTCTGGTGATAGTGAATAAGTCTCACAAGATCTGATGATCTCATAAAGGGGAGTTCTCCTGCATACGCTCTCATCTGCAGCCATGTAAGACGTGACTTTGCTCCTCCTTTGCCTTCTACCATGATTGTGAGGCCCCTCTGCCAGCCATGTGGAACTGTTAGTCCATTAAACCTCTTCCCTTTATAAATTACCCAGTCTTGGGTATGTCTTTATCAGCAGTGTGAGAACAGACTAATACAGGAAATTGGTACCCACAGTAGGGTGCTACTATAAAGATACCTGAAAATGTGGAAGCGACTTCAGAATGGGTAACAAGCAGGGGTTGGAACAGTTTGAAGGGCTCAGAAGACAGGAAGATGTGGGAAAGTTTGGAACTTCCTAGAGACTTGTTGAATGGCTTTGACCAAAATGCTGACAGTGAGATGGACAATAAAATCCAGGCTGAAGTGGACTCAGATGGAGATGAGGAACTTCTTGGTAACTGGAGTAAAGGCCACTCTTGCTATGCAAAGAGACTGGCAGCATTTTGCCCCTGCCCTAGAGATCTGTGAAATTTTGAACTTGAGAGAGATGATTTACAGTATCCGACAGAAGAAATTTCTAAGTGGCAAAGCATCCTAGAGGTGACAAAGCATAAAAGTTTGGAAAATTTGCAGCCTGATGATGCGGTAAAAAAGAAAAACCCATTTTCTGGAGAAAAATTCAAGCTGGCTGCAGAAATTTGCATAAATAACCAGGAGTCAAATGTTAACTGACAAGACAGTGGGGAAAATGTCTTCAGGGCATGTCAGAGACCTTCATGGCAGCCCCTCCCATCACAGGCTCTGGAGGCCTAGGAGGGAAAAAATGATTTCCTGGACTGGGTCCAGGGCCCCCTTGCTGTGTGCAGCCTCAGGACTTGGTGCCCTGTGTCCCAGCCATTACAGCCGTGGCTAGAAGGGGCCAAGGTAGAGCTCAGGCTATGGCTTCGAAGGATGCAAGCCCCAAGCCTTGGCAGCTTCCACATGGTGTTGGTACTGTGGGTGTGCAGAAGACAAGAACTGAGCTTTGGGAACCTCTGCCTAGATTTCAGATGATGTACGGAAACGTCGGGATGTCCAGGCCGAGGTGTGCTGCAGGGGTGGGGCTCTCCTAGAGAACCTCTACTGGGGCAGTGTGGAAGGGAAATGTGGCTGCCCCAGTAAGGAGTCCCCACCAGGTCACCACCTGGTGGAGCTGTGAGAAGAGGGCCACTGTCCTCCAGACCCCAGAATGGTAGATCCACTGACAGCTTGAACCCTGTGCCTGGAAAAGCTACAGACACTGAATGCCAGCCCATGAAAACAGCCAGGAGGGGAGCTGTATCCCACAAAGCCACCATGGGAACCCACCTCTTACAGCAGCGTGACCTGGATGTAAGACATGGAGTCAAAGGAGATGATTTCAGAGCTTTAAGATGTGACTACCCTGTTGGATTTCAGACTTGCATGGGGCCTACAGCCCCTTCATTTTGGCCAATCTCTCCCATTTGCAATGGGTGTATTTACCCAATACCTGTAACCCCATTGTATCTAGGAAGTAATTAACTTGCTTTTCATTTTACAGGCTCATAGGCAGAAGGGACTTGCTTTGTCTCAGATAAGACTTTGGACTGTGGACTTTTGAATTAATGCTAAAATGAGTTAAGACTTTGGGGACTGTTGAGAAGGCATGATTGGTTTTGAAATGTGAGGATAGGAGATTTGGGAGAGGCCAGGGGTGGAATGATATGGTTTGGCTCTGTGTCCCCACCCAAATCTCATCTTGAATTGTAACTCTCATAATTCCAATGTGTTGTGGGAGGGACCTGGTAGAAGGTAACTGAATCATGGGGGCAGGTCTTTCCCTTGCTCTTCTGGTAATAGTGAGTAAGTCTCACAGGATCTGATGGTTTTATAAAGGGGAGTTCCCCTGCAGCACATGCTCTCTTGTCTGCCACTATGTAAGACATGACTTGCTCTTCCTTTGCCTTCCACACAACTGTGAGGCCTCCCCAGCCAAATGGAACTGTAAGTCAATTAAGACTCTTTCCTTTATAAATTACCCAGTCTCAGGTATCTTTGTTAGCAGCATGAGAACAGACTAACACGATGTAATCCTACCACCAAAAATACTTAGTGCTATTTTGGAGTATTTCAATCTGGCTTTTTTTCCCCATGAATGGAATAGGTTTTAACATAGCTTTAATTAGGTACAAGCAAATATACATACATGCAATGTTTTTCTCTTAATTTTATCTCATAAGCATTTTCCATGTAATTATAGTACATTCTCTTCACAAGCACTATTTTTTATGGCTGCAGACTAGTCCAAGAAATGGGTTTCCCATTGTTTGTCTAATTCTTCCCCTCTGTCCCATGTTTTAGCAGCTTCTTACTGTCTTCACTGAGTTAAATGTTATTTATATAAATATCTTTAGGTTGCTAATACATAGTTCCAGTTGCTTTCCTAAAAGTATGCACTGATCAATGTACTCTTTGAGGATTTTGTTTCTGGATACCCCACTCTGTGCTCCAAATGATAACTAACATCCCAGAGGCTCTCCACTTATTCAATCCTCTTCATGAAGCTTTAGGAAGGGAGCATTTCAATGTCTGCTACTTGCCAGGCTCTGCTCTGTGTGTTTAATGTTACCTCATTTAATTCTTCAAATCCAAGTTTCAAGACTTCAGCAATCATCTAGGCTTTTCATTCAAAGTAGTACTGAGTGCTTACCTAGTGCCAGGTACTGGTAAAAGAGTAGTAAGCAAAACCAAACTCCCTCAGGAGTGTTCACTGTGTCTCAAACGCACTCCAAGACATTAAAAAGTAGCCACTCCATTTCCGTACTACTCTGATAATAAAACATTTCAATGGCTTCCATTACACTACAAATGAAATCCAAATTATTTTCCCTAGCCCATAAAGCCCCACCTCAGCTGGCTTTGCCTACCCCTCCCATACCAACCCCTGCCATGCTATCCTTACCCATTAGGCCTCACCACTTGAAAACTCTAAGCTCTTTCCACTTGAGCCATTCCCCATGACTGAACCTCCCACTCTGATCATCAAAAATTCAAGCCCCTTCCTATCTTTTAGGTCTTAGCTGAAATGTTACCACTTCGTGGCTTTCCTTGGTCACTCCATCTAAGAGGTTCACCAATATTTGCCTACTCTGTCGCATCTTCAGTTCATTTCTTTCATAGCACTTATTCATTGCAACTGTTTTATCTGCTGGCCTTTCTTCCCTACTTGAAATGGGGTTATCTGCCACTGTATCTACAAAGCCTACCACAATACCCAGTGGGCAGAATAGATGGAAGAAAAATTGTGTGCTGAATGCATAAATAAAATGTTTTTCCTTTACCTGGAATGAAATCTAGTTTCTTGAAACTTCCACCTATTGATTCTAATTTTACCCTCTATAAATACATTGGGAAAAAAGTATACTTTACTGCATGTGTATCATACTTTAATTAAGTATATACTAAATCCATTCTTTTGTTAACTGCAGCACTCACCTGTGTTTTAGCAATTGCAACCTTTGCTGACTTCGGAGAGTATCAAGAAGCAGATAAGGGCACGACTCCCAGGTGACATCACCTGGGTTGGAATATGAGCTCCAATACTTACACAGACGAAATGGATCTCACTTGTGTGATTTTGAACTAGTTATCTAATCTCTTGGTATCCCACTTCCCTCATTTGGAAAATTAGGATAAGAGTTCAATTATTGTGAGAATTAAATGGGATAATGTATGTAAAGAGCTTACCCCAGTTCCTGGCACAGGAATGTTAGCTGACAAACTACTGCTGCTGTGTCACCAGCTAGACAGGAAAGCTCCTTAAAAGCGGTAACATTGGCCAGGCGCCGTGGCTCACGCCTGTAGTCCCAGCACTTTGGGAGGCCGAGGCGGGCGGGATCACGAGGTCAGGAGATCGAGACCATCCTGGCTAACACGGTGAAACCCCGTCTCCACTAAAAACCCAAAAAATTAGCTGGGCGTAGTGGCGGGCACCTGCAGTCCCAGCTACTCGGGAGGCTGAGGCAGGAGAATGGCGTGAACCCGAGAGGTGGAGCCTGCAGTGAGCCGAGATGGCGCCACCACACTCCAGCCTGGGCGAAGAGTGAGACTCCTTCTCAAAAAAAAAAAAAAAAATCAGTAACATTATTTCTTTATATTTCTAAGACCTACCTTATACAAGTTTCAACAAATCTAGATTTAAAGCTATCATCCTACAAGTCTGGCTAAGACATCCCTACTTCCATATATTCCCCTAACACCCTGAACCTAGCCCACCTGTTATTTATCCCAACAGTCATTTTACTATTTTGTCTCTAACACCTGACCCTTAGGAGCAGGTCTATCTTGTTCACCATGTTATCCTCAACACCTGCAACACCAAAATTCGATAATTAAGTGACTAAATCACTGTGGGCCTCCATTTTCCCTATGAAAATCATTTTAAAAATTATTTGTCTGTCTCTGCCCATTCCACACAATGAAAACGTAGGCAGCCAAACTCTGTTTTGTTAACTGCTGTATCTAGTATCCTCTACCAGACGCTCCAAAATATTTGGTAAAGGACTTTTTTTTCTGTTAATTCATGTTGATTCTCGTAGTTTTCTGCTACGGAATTAAATACTAAGCCTGTTTATTGACTCCGCAGCGTTCCCGATGAGCTATGTGTGCTCACCAATATTTCTCCAAAGCCTAGGCTTGGAGCAGAAATAGCAGATTATGTATTGAATGAACAGAAGGACATGTCATTTTCTAAGACTGAAAAGAGATGCAGCAAAATGAGAAACGTAGTATTGAATAGAAGGGCTGGGAGCGATGTGAGTAAGGTTTTTGTTGTTGTGTTACATACATTTCTTTAATTCCCAAGATCTCTAGAGTAGTTACACTATTTAATGAAAGAGTAGTTAACAGTGTATAATAGAAGCTCTTTTTTAAGTAAATGAGGGTGCAAAAGACAATGACTCACCTTCCTTCCCCCACCTGGCTCTTATGACCTGGCAGTACAGACATAGCCTTAACACCTGGCCCGCCGGTGGCCTGGGAGCCTCGTGCTCCCTCTCAGACCTGGCTGCCAGTAACCCGAGGACAGTCCAGCCCGCAAAACCGGAAGAAAACCAGTGCAGAGAACGCCCGCGGGCTCCAATGCCGGACGCCGGCACTCTGAGCAACCCACCCCACCGCCCCGCACTCACCACCAGCGCTGCCACGAACCCCGGCCGGTCCATGGTCGCTCAGACCTCGTCAAGGCTACAATCCAAGCCGGAGCAGAAGCGGATCACGTCCTCGCGCGCTGGGCGCCGCCATGTTTGAGGCGGGTCTGTCTTGAACTTCCGGGACCACGTGACGTAGAACCACAACAACTGCACGTGCAACGCGAGACACCTGGGCCTAGGGGAGGGCCAGAGAGGAGGGGCGGGGCCTCGGGGAGTGTGGTGGAGCTAAGTCTCGGCAAATCCCTTACCTCGGTTTCCTGCAGCAGCGTTGTGTGCAGCTAGACGGAGGAACTTTCGCGAGCAAAAGATCCGTGGCCGAGATCCAGGAGAGAGCAGCGGTAGAATGAGGCCGGCGTGATTCTGAACTGTAAACCCAGAAGAGGCGTGGCTGTGGCGGAGGGAGGAGTCGTGAGGGGTAGTACTAACCTCGGGAGGCGCGATTCGGGATCCTAATCGGATATTTCATTTTGGTTTATCTCTTAGTTTTGTCAAAAAATTTTATCTGAGTTTATATTAAATTAACTCATTATCAGAAGATTATTAAATAAAGATATAGAAAAATACATCAGAAGTTTCCTGACCGGAGTTAAAAATTAGCATCCTCCATTTCTCTTTACAGAGTTACTGCATTTAAAATTATTTGTTTGTTCAGTTATTTACCTGCTCATGTTGTTCGCTGTTGTACTCATGTGTACACCTCAAAGCACACGTTATTAAGTACTTAATAACATTTCTTGGAGTGGACCTGTCTTTATTAAACAAACAAATACCTTGTAAACTTCTGTATATATTAAGGGCCAACTACATCTCAGACGTGGTGCTAAGTGATTGACAGACATTTTTTCATTTAATCCTTTCACCAACCCTATGATGTCAGCAACACTAGTGTCCTCATTTTACAGAGGCTCCTGATGCTCCAACAAGTAACCGACTCAATGTGGCTACAGAGAACACAGCAGAGCAAGCACTGAAAATATACTTAATGCCCTCATCATCTTTCCTCAAAACCGTTATAATAACCTGAGCAGGCTCCTTGCCTGGCCTTTCTTCAATCCCTATTCTATAACACTGCTAGAATTATTCTTATAATTATTCTTATTCTCTTCTAGGTAAAATGATCTAGAAATGATACGCAGAATAGCTTTAGGTGTTAGATGGAATTCAAATTCTATCACCTGCTGGGTTTGGGGATAAGTTTTCCAAGATTAAGTTTTCTCCCCTGTAAAGTGGCGATAATGATAGTCACTTTGTCATGCGGTACTATTATATTAATAGATTAAATGAGATAATGCACTCAAGTTCTTAGCCTAGTTCCTGGCTCATAGAAAGTACTCTCTAAAGGTGATGGTAATGTTATTTCCCTGCTTACAACTCCCCTCTGCTGCCAATGGAGACAGTCCAGCTCCCTAGCATGGTATACACCTCTCAGCTGGTGTCTCCTGTCACTCTTCCCACTAGCCGGACTACACACAGACAGACTATACACTTCCAAGCCTCCTAATTTTGCCCATGTTGTTCTCTCTACCCAGAATACCTTTCCCTAAGCTGCCTGTAGGCCCTCTCAAAACATGCTAGTTCACTTTGTCAATGCCAGCAGAAGAATCTCTGTTGCTGCTATTAATGTCTTTCAAAGTCTCATGTGCTTTGGTCAGGCCTACCCAGGATAATCTCCATTTTTATTAACTCAAAGTCAACTGATTAGAGACCTTAATTATATCTGAAAAATTCCTTTTGCCATACGTGACAACATAATCATGGTGGTAATGTTCTGTCATACTCACAGGTCCTGCTCACAATCAGTGGGGTGATTATGCAAAACACATTAGGGGCCAGGAATCTTGAGGGCCACCTTAGAATCCTGCCTACTTCACATTCCTATAAACCCTCACCGGCAGCCTCCTCAAAGGCCATCAAGTTTCTATTAATAAGCTTTCACTGACATTTCCCTCACAGTCTTCCCACCTTTCACCTACTGCCTGGTGCCAATGGCACTCCCACAGTTTAGGAATTACAGTAGCGCCCACCTCCAAGTACCAAAATCTGTATTATTTGTCTATTTCTGCGTAACAAATTACCCCCAAAATTTAACAGACTAAAGCAACGATAAACTTCTATTACCTCACACAGTTTTCATACGTCAAGAATCAAGGAGTCATTTAGCTGGGTGTTTAAGACTCAGAAATTTTCATGACACTACAGTCAAGATGGTGGCCAGGGCCATATCATAAAACTTGATCATGACCGCAGGATCCAATTCCAAGATGGCTCACTCCCATAACTGGCAGATTAGTGCTAGCTATTGGCAGGTAGCCTTAATCCCTCATGGCATACATCTCTCCATAGTACTGCTTGAGTGTCTTCATGATATAGTAGCTGGTTGTTCCTAGAGTAAGTGGTCTGAAAGAGAACAAGACAGAAACTACAAAGTCTCTCATGACCTGTTCTCATAAATTACTCAGTTGTCATTCCAGCAATAGTCTATTGTTTACACAGGTAATCGACATTTATTATGGGGCTGGACTACCCAAAAGCCTAAATACCGGAAGATGAGGATCACTGGGTGCCATCTTGGAAACTGGTTACCACATCAGGGAAATGCCGGTGAACACCACAATGAGATATGAATACACTAGAACTCACTAGAGTGGCTAAAATTAAAAAGCCAAGTGTTGACAAGGATGAGAAGCAACTGGAAATCTCATACATTGCTGTTTCGAATTTTATATGGTACAACCATTATAAAATCCAATGCCACACTTAGGTATTTACCCGAGAGAACTAAACATTTATACAAATACTTTTACATTATATTTCAAAGCAGCTTTATCCATAATAGTCAAAAACTGAAAACAACCTGAATGTCTATCAACTGGTGGTATAAACATATTATGATACATCTTTATAATGGAACATCACTCAACAATAAACGGACATGAATTACTGATATATGAAACAACATGGATTAATCTGAAAGCATTATGCTATGTGAAAAAAAAAAGACCACATGTATTGTGATTCCACTTACGTGAAATTCTGGAAAAGACAAAATTATAGTGACAGAAAGTATATAAATGCTTTCCAGGCGGTGGAGGTAGAGGCAAAGTATTGACTATGAAGTGGGCACAAAACAATAGTTTGCAATGATGAAGATATTCTCTTGTTATTATTGTGGTAGTAGTCGCATGGGTGTGTACATTTACTAAAACGCATTGACTTGCACAATTAGAATGGTTGTACTTAGTATATATAAACTATAAGGCTGGGCGCCGTGGCTCATACCTGTAATCTCAGCACTTTGGGAGGCCAAGGTGGACGGATCACCTGAGGTCAGAAGTTTGAGACCAGCCTGGCCAACACAGTGAAGCCCTGTCTCTACTAAAAATAGAAAAAATTAGCTGAGTGTGGTGATGCGCGCCTGGAGTCCCAACTACTCAGAAGGCTGAGGCAGGAGAATCGCTTGAACCCGAGCGGTGGAGGTTGCGGTGAGCTGAGATTGTGCCACAGCACTCCAGCCTGGGTGACAAGAGCAAGACTCCATCTCAAAAAAAAAAAAAGTATATGTAAATTATAGCTCAATAAAGTTGATTAAAATATTACTATCTCGCAGGATGATGAGGAATAAATAATATATGCACAGAAAGTTTTAGTCCAGTGCTTGTCATATAGAAATATTCGGTTTATTCCGTATTTTCCTATTTAAGTTAGAGATTCTGAATATTATGAATGAGAGACTGATAAGTTATCAAGGTGCATAAGTACTTTGTGATACATACTACTATAGCCTCCTAAGTGAAAATAAATCTTATTTCTAGCTACTAATGTTCCTGGAAGTTTTTGATGTAATTCCTTCCCTAAGAGAAAATTTAACCTAGACTTATACCTTTAATTTTGATTTAATACATCCTTTGAAGTAAAATTAAGAAAAAAATTCCTTTCCTCTTCAATGCAATGGTTGTCTTTAACTTTGCAAGAAAAAATTGTGTTGATGTCATTTTCTGGTAACTTGGAGGGAAATGTAATTTATCAGGTATCTTTCAGAATCAAGAAGAAATACATAGTCTCTCCTTTTATGCAAGGTAAAGGCTTTACCAGGTATTTCATGATACCACTGGAATCCTTTTAGGAAATACAGATATTACAAACATGACCTAGGGCTTCCTTTTCATGAAATGCTAGCAGAAAGACTCATTACTACTTGTGCATGCTTTTTAAATGGAGTATTTCAATGCATCATCATTATCACCACATTGCAGGCAGCATATGTTCTCAAATCTTTCATTTTAAAAGATACAGGCAATGTGGTAAGCACTGATTTGCATTACACATGTGATATTATAATAATCCTGTCTTTCTCACTTAAATCTATCACTGTAAGCCAAGTTTTCTTTTAAACAAGCTCTAAAATCTTAATAGTATTTATAAAAATTAGCAAGAAACCAAAGACATAGCTCAAAAAATAATTTAAGCCTAGCACAAAAAAAAAAACAAAAACAAAAAACAAGGACATAATCTTCAACCAGGACTAGGCTTAAGTTCCAAGCCCCGTTACTGTTTTGTTTGTTGTTGTTGTTTTTTGTTTATTTGTTTGTTTGTTTTAAGACAGGTTCTTGTCCTGTTGCCCAGGCTGGAATGCAGTGGTGCCATCTCGACTCACTGCAGCCTCAACCTCCGGGTTCAAGCAATCTTCCTGCCTCAGCTCCTCAAGTAGGTGGGACTACAGAGGCATGCCACAACACCTAGCTAATTTTTGTATTTTTAGTAGAGATGGGGTTTCACCATGTTGCCCAAGCTTGTCTTGAACTCCTGAGCTCAAGCGATCCACCCACCTCAGCCTAGAATTATAAGTGGGAGCCACTGCGCCCCATTCCATGTTACTGATTTTTATTGAAAAATACGATAGTATTTGTTAAGATCTGAATGTGTCCCCCAAAATTCATGTGTAGAAACTTAATCGCCAGTGTGATAAGAGGTGGGGCTTTTAGGAGGCAATTAGGTCATGATGGCTCCTCCCTTGTGAATATGACTAAAGTCTTCGTAAAAGAAGCTTCACAAAGTATTCAATCAGCCTTTTTTCCCTTCCACCTTTTGCCACCTGAGCACGTAAGGATACTGTTCAAAAGTACCATCTTGGAAGCAGGAACTGGGCCCTCCCCAGACACCGAATCTGCCAATACCTTGACCTTGGACTTCCCAGCCTCCAGAATTTTGAGCAATACATTTCTGTTCTTTACAAATTAACTAGTCAGTGGTATGTTGTTATAGCAGCACAAATGGATTAAGACAACAGTTAGAATCATTTTCAATAAAAATATTCCTGGAACTATTTCAATCCATCTGCAAAGGGTAGTAAATATATAAAATGGAAAGAAAGTCAAATGAAAAAATTTTAAAGGCCTGTTTGAAAAGTCAGTTTTCCTTTAAGTGATAGAATCAACAGAGTACCAGTCATATGGCTTTATGTTTGCATTTAAAATTAGTGAGAGAGAAAAAGATGACTCTTTCAATAAATGCTTTTGGGACTATCAGCTAACCATTTAGAAGAAAATAATGTTTGATCTCCATCTTACGCTTTGCCTCCTAAAACGGTTACATATTTTTTCATTGATATAATTAAACTATTAAAATAGTACTGAATCACAGAACTGTGTGAGACTGAGGTAGGAGGATCACTTGAGTCCAGGAATTCAAGACCAGCCTGGGCAACATGGGGAGACCTTGTTTCTACAAAAAATAAAATAATTAGTCATGCACAGTGGCACATGCCTGTGGTCCCAGCTAGTCGGGAGGCTGAAGCAGGACAATCATTTGAGATAAGAGGTCAAGGCTGTAGTGAACCGTATTCATGACACTGCATTCCAGCCTGGGTGACAAAGCAAGACCCTGTCTCAAAAAATAAAAATAAATTTTAAAATTAATAATAATAATAGAACAAAAAGGTAAACATTTTACATTTTTGTTTTTGTTTTTTGTTTGTTTGTTTGTTTTTGAGACAGAGTATCTCTCACCCAGGCGGGAATGTAGTGGCGCTCTCTAGGCTCACTGCAACCTCTGCCTCCCAGGTTCAAGTGATTCTCCTTCCTCAGCCTCCCAAGTAGCTGGGATTACAGGCACCTGCCACCATGCCCGAATTTTTGTATTTTTAGTAGAGATGGAATTTCAGCACGTTGGCCAGGCTGGTCTGGAACTCCAGGCCTCAAGCCATCCGCCCACCTCAGCTTCCCAAAGTGCTGGGATTACAGGCATGAGCCACCGTGCCTGACCAAGGTAAACATTTTTCTATTCTTGAGATAAAGAAACATCTTCTATGTCTCAAAAAAAAAATTTCAGTTAATAGCTTTGTTATTAAAAATTAAAATTAAAATAAATTTGACAGGGAAAATATGTGCAATGTATATAATCACATCAAATTTTTAAGTGTAAATAGTTCCCATAACTCAACAGAAAAACACTAATACCAATAGAAAAAAATGAGTAAAGATCACAAAAGTAGAAATACAAATAGATAATGAACATGTTAAAAAATATTTTTCAATTCATTAGTAACATCGAAATGAAAATTAAAACACCAACAAAGCATATTTTTTAACATTTTAAATAGGCAAGGATTTTTTTCTAGAGGGAGAGTTGGAGCAACTTTTCTGGTGAGCAATGTGGCCATATGTAATAAAATCTTAATGTGAGTCAGTTTTGCATCGTTATAAAGGAATACTTTAGGTTGTGTAACATATAAAGAAAAGAGGTTTATTTGGCTCACGGTTCTGCAGGCTGTACAAGTATGGCACCAGCATCTGCTTGGCTTCTAGTGAGACCTCAGGAAGCTTTTATTCATGGCAGAAGGTGGGGTGGGGGTAGGCATGTCACATGGTGAGAGAGGTAGAAAGATAGCTGCCAGGCTCTTTTTAACAACCAGCTCTCATGTGAACTCATTACTGTGGAGATGGGGCCAAGCCATTCAAGAGGGATCCACCCCCATGACCCAAACACCTCCCACCAGGCTCAACCTCCAACACTGGGAATCACATTTCAACATGAGATTGGGAAGGGACAAACATCCAGACCATATCAAACCGTAAACTCTGACATTTCTGGGGATTTTTGCATTACTGATCATTTTTAATGAATAATTACTTTTTTTTGAGACAGATGATCATTTTTAATGAATAATTACCTTTTTTTTGAGATGGAGTGTCACTCTGTTACCCAGATTGGAGTGCAGCGTTAAGACCTCAGCTCACTGCAACCTCTGCCTCCTGGGTTCAAGTGATTCTCCTGCCTCAGCCTCCCAAATAGTTAGGACTACAGATATTGTGGGTAGGAGCAATGAACAGGTGAAGCACAGAGAATTTTTTGGCAGTTAAACTATTTTGTATGATGCTATAAGGGTGGACACATGTTATTATATGTTTGTCCAAATCCATAGAAAGTACTACACCAAGAGTGATTAACCTAATGTAAACTGTGGATTTGGGGTAATGATGTTTCAATGCAGGTCCATTGATTGTAACAAATATACCCCTCTGGTAAAGAATATTGATAATGTCATAGGCTGTGCATGTATGGGGGCAGAGGATATATGAGAAATCTCCGTACTTTCTGCTCAATTTTGCTGTGACTATAAAATTTCTCTAAAAAAAATTACATTAAATATATATATTTTAAAAGAAAGTCATTTTACTAGGCTTTTTTTTTTTTTTTTTTTTTTTTTTTGAGACAGAGTCTTGCTCTGTTTCCCAGGGTGGAGTGCAGTGGCATGATCTTGGCTCATTGCCACCTCCACCTTCTGGGTGCAAGTGATTCTCCTGCCTCAGCCTCCCTAGTAGCTGGGATTACAGGTATGGGCTACCACACCTGGCTAATTTTTGTATTTTTAGTAGAGATGGGGTTTCACCACGTTGGCCAAGCTGGTCTTGAACTCCTGACCTCAGGTGATCCACCCACCTCGGCCTCCCAAAGTGCTGGGATTACAGGCGTGAGCCACCGCGCCTGGGCTGCGCCAGGCCTAGTTCTTGAAATTCCCAATGGTAACATTCCTTAGTCACGTTTTATCCTCCTTTTATCCAGGGAGGATAGAGGAAAGGAAAGGATAGAAGGAAAGAAGGAAAGGACAGTAAAAGGAAAAAATAAAAGTAAGATGATTTAAGAAAAGGAAAAGATTGTGTCCCTCTGCTCCATGTTTAACAGATACTTTTTCTACAACCGAATGTCAATCGGCAAATGAATGGGTACACAAAATATGGAATGTACATTTATACATATGGTAGAGTATTGTTTACCCTTAAAAAGGAAGAAGATCCTGGCACATGCTACAATGTGGATGAAACTTGAAGACATTATGCTAAGCAAAATAAGCCAGTCACAAAAAGACCAATATTATATGATTCCATTTAGGTGAGATGTCCAGAGTAGTCAAATTTATAGAGATAAAAGTAGCATGGTGGTTGCCAGGAGCTTAGGGGAGGGGGAAATGGAGAATTCAATGGATACAGTATTGAATTGTTCATTGAATTGTTCAATGGATACAGTATATCCCCCTTATCCATGGGGGATACATTTCAAGATTCCCAGTGGGTGATGCCTGAAACCTCAGAAAGTACTGAACCCTATGTATACTAGGTTTTTTTCCTATACATATATACTGATTATGAAGCTTAATTTATAAATTAGGCACAACAATAATGAATAATAAAATATGAATTGGCACATTGGCTTGCATTTGTAATCCTGGCACTTTGGGAGGCCGAGATGGGAGGACTACTTCAAGCCAGGAGTCTGAGGCCAGCTTGGGCAATAAAGCAAGGCCTTGTCTCTATGAAAAAAAAAAAAATTTATTAACCAGGCATGGTGGTGTGCACCTGTAGTCCCAGCTCCTCAGGAGGCTGAGGTGGGAGGATCACTTGAGCCCAGGAGTTTCAGGCTGCGGTTAACTATGATTGCACCAGTGCACTCCAGCCTGGACAACAGGACACCCAGTCTCCAAAAAATAATAACAATAAGTAGGACAATCATAACAATATACTGTAACAAAAGTTATGTGAATGTAGTCTCTCACTCACTCACTCTCTAAAAATACCCTAACATTTTTGGACTGCGGTTCGGTTCACTCGGTAACTGAAATCACAGAAAGTGAAACTGCAGATAAGGGGAGATTGTTACAGAGTATCAGTTGGGGAAGATGAAAAAATTCTTGAGATCTATAGTAGTGATGGTTGCTCATGTACATTGAGCAGCAAATGTACTTAATGCTACTGAACTGTACGCTTAAAAATGGTTAAAATGGTCATTTTTATGTTATATTTTACAACAATAAAAGACATACTTTTTCTTCAGAAGAGATGGAATGCATTTAAAATATTTGATTTCAAAAATGAAATGCTTGTGAAACATTTGTGAAATTTCTCAGTCTCACAGAAAAGCTGACATATGCAATGTTCTTACTTTTTTTCTATTTTTAATTTTTTCTCTCAACTGGTCACATCACAGCAACATTCCTTAATCAACCAATAATCAAAGCTCTCTCCTCCCCCTTCAATGCCATTTTGTTTTGTTAAGTAAGAGTTTCTGGATGGAAAGACCGGGGGAGGCAGCAATAAGTGCAAGCTATATTAAGAGCCGCAAGACCCCAGGTAATTTCCCAGTACGGAAAAGTTTAAAAGAATAATAGGGATTTGAATTTCCATTCACCGGCTCCCTCACGATTACGTGCCACTTTCAGGCTGTTTGCCATTTTTTACCTTTCTCATTGCAAACCTTCCAAAGAGCTTCAGGGCACTGTGGTCTTTTTGTTTATTACCTTCTGTCAAACAAACAGCAGGCCTCCACTCCAAAGGGCACAACCCCTCTATTCTTCTGAGCTACCATTGTGTGTCCTAAATGAACACAGTCCGCTTAATGCTACAGGTCGAACATCAATATTCTTGAACTGTCCCCAGGTGAATCCCCTCTTAGAGTTCAAGGATCTCTTGTAAAAGATGAGTGAATACATTTGTTTTGTCATTTCTCAGATCCAATGGTGCTGATATAGCAAAATAGCCACCATTCCCCAAATAATTACAAGAGGACATGGTCATGTTACCAGCTGTCCAGTAATGTGCCATGCAGGTGCAGTGCCACAGCCTCTATTAATTTTTAGTTCTGTGCTATTCACATGTTTTATTTCTCAGTAGACATATGTTTGCTTTTAGCCTGAGTGATCTGGCCCCTGACTGTTGCCTCACCTTCATAGCTCGCCAGTCACGTCTCCTTGCTGACAAACCTTTGGCGATACTCAGCTTTTTGCTAACTCAGATGAGTCGAGGCCGGGCGCAGTAGCTTGCGCTTGTAATCCCAGCATTTTGGGAGGCTGAGGTGGGAGGGTTGCTTGAGCCCCAGAGTTCAAGACCAGCCTGGGAAACATGGCAAAAGCCCATCTTTACAAATAAATACAAAAATTAGCCTCGCATGTTGGCCTGCTTCTATAGCCCCAACTACTCGAGAGACAGAGGTAGGAGGATTGCTTGAGCTGGAGGTCAAGGCTGCAGTGAGCAAAGATCACACCACTGCACTCCAGCCTAGTGACAGAGTGAGACCCCCATCTCAAGAAAAAAAAAAGAGTCACAGTTGTCCATACCTTCAGCCTCAGGACATTTGCATATGCCAACCCCCACTCCCACATTTCTCATTATCCTTCACTGACAGTTCAACTTAATGTGGTTTCCTAAGGGAGACTGTCTTTTCCAGTTCAACTTAATGTGGCTTCCTAAGGGAGATTGTCTTTTCCTTCACATCACCCCACTCCAGCTTTTGTCCCATAGCATCATATTTTTTCCCCAGAACTTATTGCAATCTATAATTCTAGATTTGTGGGCTGATGTTATTAATATCTGTCTCCACCACTAGATTATAAAAATGTGTGAAGACAGAGACAATGTCTATCAAGTTTGCCACCGAATACTCAGTCCCAGATACATCATATAGGCTCAATTGCTGGAATAGAAAAGGGAGAAGGAGGGAGGAAGGAGGAAGTGAAGGAGGCCATACATAGTTGCATCTTTAGCTCCATAACAAAGCTGATGTGCATCAGGAAGGTCCAATAGGCATCCGAAACTCCTAAAAGCCTATGCTAGGGGATTGGTATTGCTATAGACATCTTCAGGGTACTCTTTCCCCCAGGAAACTACTGCATATATATATATATATATATATATATATATATATATATATATATATATAAATAGAGAGAGAGAGAGAGGAGTATATATATATGTGTGTGTATACACACCTCTCTCTATATATAAGGTGTGTGTGTGTGTATAGATACACCTTTATATAGGTGTGTATATATATATATACCTTTATAGATATACCTATAAAAGTTGTATATATATATCCATACCAATATATACCTATAAAATATATATATCTATATATTTATATATACCTATATATACCTATAAAATATATATATTTATATATATCTATAAAAGGTATATATATATAAAATAGATATATAGGTGTGTATATATATACCTTTTATATATATATGCCTATACTTTTATACGTATATAAAAGGTATATATATATACCTTCTATATTTTGATAGACAAAACACAAAGAATATATAACTATATACCCATATAAAAGTATATGTATACACCTTTATATATATATACACCTTTATATATATATCTTTATGTGACTATATATAGATATATATACATATACACATATACATACATATAGATACATGTACATATGTATATATATACATACAGATATATATACATATGTATATATACATACATATAGATATATATGTATATATACATACATATAGCTATATATTATATATACATACATATATACACACATATATATACACCTTTATATGGGTATATCGTTATATATTCTTTGTGTTTTGTCTGTCAAAATATAGAAGTTATATATATATATATCTTTATATACCTATAAAAGTATAGGTATATATATATATAAAAGGTATATATATCTTTTTGTGTATATATATATATATATATATATACATCTTTATATGGGTGTGTGTGTGTATATATATATATATATATATATATACACCTTTATATGGGTGTGTATATATATATATACCTTTATATGGGTACATAAATATATATATATATACACACCTTTATATGGGTATATATATATAAATGTATATATATGTGTATGTATATATACACATTTATATATATATACCCATATAAAGGTGTATATATATATATATACACACACCCATATAAAGGTATATATATATATGTACACCCATATAAAGGTATATATATATACCCATGTAAAGGTGTGTATATATATACCC
This sequence comes from Homo sapiens, assembly GCF_000001405.40. Lineage (NCBI taxonomy): Eukaryota > Metazoa > Chordata > Mammalia > Primates > Hominidae > Homo > Homo sapiens. Next base: position 185,677 of record NW_012132916.1, on the reverse strand, counting down.
ATATATATATATACACCCATATAAATATATATATACACCCATATAAATGTGTATATATATATACCCATATAAATGTGTATATATATATACCCATATAAATGTGTATATATATATATATACCCATATAAAGGTGTGTGTGTATATATATTATATATATATCTATATACTTTTTTTGAGGTTTAGAGCAGAAATTAAATAGGCGAAAGAAGCAGAATAGCTCTCTGCTACAGGGAGGGTCCCGGAAAAGTGGGTTGTCCTGCTCCTATATTTTTGACAGACAAAACACAAAGAATGTCAACTTGAATGTTTTTCTGGCAAGAGGGCATGTGAAATCCATGTGGCAATCTCTTTCCTAATTTCCCTGATCAGGGCCTTTTCCCGAGTTCACTGACATTGGCCTGCCATGATTTCCTTTAAAAAAAAAGGTTCTCTCAGAGACATAACTGATTCCAACTAGAGCAATGATAAATCAGTTCTGTTGTGATCCAGTTGGCAATAAATTGGCCATTTCACAAGAGCAGAAAATCATCTCTCTTTTTAAAAGTCATTATGATGAACAATGAAACTCTATGGTGCTTGCAGAAGTAAAATAGGAAGATTTAAAAAAAATCTAGATTTTTATTTTAGTAAAGCTTAAGAGAGAATGATTAAAAATAAAAGTTTCCAAAACGTGAGAATACCATTGACTAATCGCTTGGAAATGGAGTCATTTTTCTGTAGCAATTTAACTATATAAAGTCTTTTTCCATGCAATATATAAGTTGCCATCAGTTAGTATTTAGAGAACACTGTGCTTGCATAAGTGCTCACAGTTTACTTTGTTCTAGTGTATAATGGATATTTAACCCACAAGAATGCTACCTCTATCTTGCTGATAAACTGTCTCAACAATTGGGTAATAGCAATAGTACATTGTCTATTATACCACCTTTCTTTTCCACTTCTATTTCTTAATTTCTGCAATTTCCTGTAAAAGAAAGATTAGATGGGCAAGAAAATTGGCACAAGCGTTACAAGAAAGATTTAAAGTTGAGAAATACATTTCTAAAATATATACTGTGTGCCTATCTTGTCTCTCAAGTATTCTACAATTAAGACTACTTTGTAATGAGAAAATAATTTAGTTTTAACTATGCATTTGTTTACATTAAAATTTATAGCATTTGTCAGTTACTTTGGGCAGGAATTTAGAGATGAGGTCCATTGTTTCATAAGCATTGTATTCTTTTTCATCCAAATTTATATACAATGTTGTGAGTAAAATCAATCAGGCCTGGGCTGAACAAAGACTTGCCTTTAAAACAAGTTTGGAGTCTGTCTTCCCATAATACTGTCTCATTGGAAATTAAGATTATCTTAATATATAATACAATGATCAAATGGAGATTAAGATATATGTGGATGGTTATACCTGGCTTGTTTGCCGTGAAACCCCTAATTGTTGGAACTGCACCAAGAGTGGAAGACCCATGAACTGGACTAGTATGGTCTAAAGGATGGGGGGGATAACTGAGGCTGTAGCTTCTCTGTGTTAAAGTGACACACCATACCTTGTTTGAGGCAGCTAGACATGACTTACGTAGGTGAGGCGGGTACTTGGGTAGCATTTGGGTCTCCTAACAAGGCACAGATACCATACATGTGGTCCTGTATCCATCTAAAAAGCTAAGAAAATATCGTATTAGGTTTTAAAGCCTACCGAGTCTTTTGAGTCTGATCGCCACATAGAACCTGTAACTAGGCCAGGTGAGGTGACTCACACCTGTAATGCCAGCACTGTGGGAGGCCAAGGCAGACAGATGACTTGAGCCCAGGAGTTCAAGACCAGCACCTCCCCCGCCAGGCAACATGGCAAAACTCCGTGTTAAAAAAAAAAAAAAAAAAAAAGAAAGAAAGAAAAATTAGCCAGGGGTGGTAGTGCATGCCTGCAGTCCCAGCTACTTGAGAGGCTGAAGTGGAAGGATGGGAGGATTGCTTGAGGCCAAGAGGTGGAGGTTACAATGACTACTGGAGTGCATGCCACTACACCCCAGCCTATGCAATACAGCAAGACTCTGTCTAAAAAAAAAAAAAAAAGAACCTGTAAGTACTGCTTGCTGAGCGATGCAAATATGTTAACTGAAATCTTCTTTATTCTGAAATGTCCTCTGTCTAATGCTTTATAATAATTTACTTACTCTCCCAAAAAATAATACCTACCCTTCAAAAGAGGATTTTCTTATAAAAGAAACAGTATGTACAGCCTTGCAGATTGTGCATTACATGGCTCCAAGGGATGCCAATTATACAGACATCCCTGTGAATGTGCTACAGATTTTTCATTGCCCAGCTCCAGGCAGTAATAATTACAATACAGTCTATGTACTTGGCAGTCTTTGGGCTTAAATGGTGCACAACTGGCTAATCCTAAATAGCCATATGTGGCAGCCCTGGATCTACCTCAGTATGAAGTTTGTTGGTTCCAAAATGGACCCTGCCTCGAGGTAGAGAAAGTAGGATTTTTTAGTAGATGTTGCAGATACACTGCCCCGTATCTGCTTGGCTCGCCTGCATTGACGTACAGTTATGGCGGACAGTCCCTGGCACACTGAAAACATCCCAACATAGGAATTAGTGTCTCTTGTTTTCTCTACCTGAGCCCTCTCTCTTGCACCATGGGAAGTTTGCAGGCACAACTGAGCTATGTGGGTGTATACTCATAAATATCCCAGCCTTCCCTCTGATGGGGATATTTTGTATATGTTTCCAGTAGTTTCTCAGAGGTTCCCAGGAAGATTGAGACATAGTTGCTTACAGCACTAACCTGCTCTATTACGCATACTTTATCAATTTTTTCCCTTTTTCTGCCTCACTTTTTTAACTTTCTTATTTGTGCTTCCAGGGATTTTCTCCCTGCAGAAGCTACCTGCACCCAAGTCCTTCTCTCAGGGTCCATGGTAGAGGAGATCCAAATTAAGACAGATGCCCTATGAACAAATGGCCTTAGTTGGATGTAAGCTTGAATGTTGGCCCATGGCTAGATATTTGTTAACTGAATAAACAAATAATTCTTCCACAGGGTCAAGGGGCTGCCTCCACTTATCAGGAAGAGGAGAGGCAAAAAGAGCTAAGTTGTGAGTTCTCATACTTCAAACTGCATGTGTGACAAAGTGATAGAAAATTGAACTGCCTCCCAGCTATGCAATAAAGTATGCATCAGTCCAAATATGAATGAATCCTATTTTATATAGCACTGGCATAGTTGATATTGCAATTCTGAGTGCGGGTAGACACAAGACCCTTGCGTTTATGCTGCAAAATATCTCCCTCCATATCTCAAATTATCTTCATTATTTTAGTCAATTACCTGCAAGCACCCCCATTCCAATCCTAGACTCAAAAACTTAAGATAATCTAGCTTTGGAACAATAGCTACACCTATGAGTGCATCTGCTTCCTAACCAGAGAAAGATGTAAGACTCTGGGGACAGGAAATTTTTAATTCATTTATTTGTTATTTAAAATCATTCCATAAAGGAATAAACTCTGAGCCTCCACCACGCTTTTTTCTTTCTAATTGGAAGAAGAATGCATGTTCAAGGAGTGTGAAATTAATATAGTACATGCACAATCTCAATAAATAAACACAAAAATCTTTTTGTTGCACATTGCAGGCTTCATTCAATTAGTGAAATGTTAAAACACTGCTGTGTTGCACAACTTAATCTTTCAGTATCAGGAAAACCCAAATAAAACAAATAACTAACAAATAAGAAAGTCAATGTTCTTAGCCAAACATGGAATCAGCAGAATCTGTTTTCCGAGATTCACGTTTCCATCTCAGAGCCCCATTAGCCCTCCCAGTCAATACCCTTCCCTACCTGCTAGTTCCATAGTCTTCTTTGCAGTCAGCTGTTTAAAATGTTGACTGATAGCTAAGGCAAGAAGAGTGGTTTAACATTCATGGCAAACATGTTACAGGCACCCTAACTTTGCCTACTGTACACACGGCAGACATTGATAATCTATCACTGAAATGATATTGTACTCGGTAAAGTGCTGCCAGCCTCCATCGGCAATCAGAATTGGTGCAACAAAGTCATTTCTCAACTAATCTTTGCCGAACTTATACATGTTCCTGTCAATGTTCTGACTCTAGGAATATAGATGAACAAGATAGACAATGTTCTTGCTTTTTCTGGGGTGCTAGCATTCTAATTAATGCTTTTAAAACAGAAAACTGAAAATCCGAAAGGATAAACCTCCAGGAGTTGATGATATTGGCATTTTAGATTTCATACTTCTATCAAATAGCCATTCTCATTATTTTCTTTTTTCTTTTTCTTTCTTTTTTCTTTTTTTCTTTTTTTTTTTTTTGAGACGGAGTATCACTCAGTCGCCCAGGCTGGAGTGCAGTGGCGCGATCTCGGCTCACTGCAAGCTCCGCCTCCCGGGTTCACTCCATTCTCCTGCCTCAGCCTCCCGAGTAGCTGGGACTACAGGCGACCGCCACTACGCCCGGCTAATTTTTTTGTATTTTAAGCAGAGACGGGGTTTCACCGTGTTAGCCAGGATGGTCTCGATCTCCTGACCTCGTGATCCGCCCATCTCGGCCTCCCAAAGTGCTGGGATTACAGGCGTGAGCCACCGCGCCCGGCCCATTCTCGTGATTTTCATGCAAGTTTCCTCCTATAAGTAAGTCCAGCAATTCTAGCATTGCATCATTAGGTCAATTATCTCATTATTAATAAAACTTCATGCCTAGGGGAAGAAGGTAAATAAACTGCATAGAATATTCCATTCTTCTCTTTGCCTCTTTCCATTATACAATACTGAGTGCCTACTGTGTATCGGGGCTAAATTTGGAATAGGGAATACAAAGATAATTTCATTCTCTGCCATTGTGAGGCTCATAGTGTAATGAGGGAGGTAGAAACATAAGCAGATGAACTCAAAGTAATCCTATAGAGTACTAGGACCTGAACTCACTGTGTCAGCTCAACAAGCAGACCCTAGAATGTAATCAATTCATTGTAGAATTGTTGCAGTAAATATTCTGGATGTAATGGATTACTTTTATGAACTATACCAAAATAATTAGCATCTTTAAAGTAAGCAGTCTTTTCTTTTTTTCTCTAGACATAAGGGACACCCAAAGGGGAAACAGTTAAAAACCATGCTCTAATTTTTAATGAGCATTTATCTCCCATTATTTTAAAAATTTAAAAACGCAAAATCAAACATCTATGTATTAGCACCCAAAGGTATTTTTATATTTTATTAGTCTACTGATGTTTTAATAAGGGTAAGTTAAAATTATATTTAGTCAGCAGTTTTTGTATTTTTTCTTTTAGAAATTACAAGCATTTAAGGGTAATTTATTAATTGAATTGGGCTTAAGTTTTTTTTTTTCCTTTTTTTGAGACAGGGTCTCACTCTCATCACCCAGGCTGGAGTGCAGTGGCACGATCACCACTCACTGCAGCCACAAATTCCTGGGCTCAGGTGATCCTCCCACCTCAGCCTCCCAAGTAGCTGGAACTACAGACACATGGCACCATGCCTGGCTAATTTTTTAATTATTTATAGAAACAAGGTTTTGCCATGTTGCTGAGACTGGTCTCAAACTCCTGGGCTCAAGAGATCCTCCCGCCTCGGCCTCCCAAAGTGTTGGGATTACAGGTGTTAGCCACTGCACCCAGCCAGAACTAAGTTTCAAAAGTTAGTTACGAATCTAGAAATTACAATTAAGTTAATATATTAAATCTTTACGAATTATATTAATATAAAATATTATAAAACTTAACCATTTAAGAAGACAACCACTGCTATGTCATTTAGTTAAAAACAACGTAATACATGTATAATTTTACGTTTTAAATTTGGTCTTGAACAAAGCAAAATAATGTGTCAAGCTTTTGTTATGGTAAACTAATTTTTCAAGACTGAGTGATGTCAAACTTCAGGATTCACACTCAGACACTTGCCACCAGTTATTTAAGTGGTGAACCCAGTGTAACTTAGCAGAATTCCTTCTTTTGTCTCTTTTTTCATTTTAAAATGTTTTTTTTAAAATGGGAGTTCTTAGAGCTGCTGATGTGTGTAGATCACATATGGAGTGAAATTAGAATTATTCCAAGATGTGTGGGAGTTCTCGCTGTTGAACAAGTGTCTCCAGTAATTCTTACAACGAAGCAAGCTTGGGACATCTACCCTTGTTAAGGTCAACTTTGCCAATAGATTTTTTTCTTTCCTTTTTTTTTTTTTTTTTCATTTTACTTTAAGTTCTCGGATACATGTGTAGAATATGCAGGTTTGTTACATAGGTATACACATGCTGTGGTCATTTGCTGCACCCATGAAGCCATCATCTAGGTTTTAAGCCCCACATGCATTTGGTATTTCTTCTAATGCTATCCGTCCCCTTGCACCCGCACCCCCATGACAGGCCCCAGTGTGTGATGTACCCCTCCCTATATGCATGTCTTCTCATTGTTCAACTCCCACTTATGAGTGAGAACATGTGGTGTTTGGTTTTCTGTTCCTGTGTTAGTTTACTGAGAATGATGGCTTCCAGCTTTATCCATGTCCCTGCAAAGGACATGAATTCATTCTTTTTTATAGCTGCACAGTTTCCAAGGTATATATATGCCACATTTTCTTTATCCAGTCTATCACTGAGGGGCATTTGGGTTGGTTCCAAGTCTTTGCTATTGTAAATAGTGCTGCAATAAACATACATGTGTGTGTCTTTATAGTAGAATGATTTATAATCCTTTGGGTATATCATTTTTTTCTTTCTTAAATGATCTTTTGTTGGCAGCTTCCTTGATTTCATGGCTTTGTAGCAGTTTTCATTTACTTCTGCTTTCACTCTTTTGTCCTATGTAGCGTAAAGTACTCTATATTGCATCTGTCTTTCTTAGGTTTTGGTAGTTTAATCGTGAAACTCTCTGTCTTGCCCATTCAGAGCTATGGTGCTTATGGTTGCAAAAGAAATAGTCATTTATTTTGTTGATGATAGAGCTTAAAACCAACTCAGAAATGTCTCAGCAACATCAATTCCTTATATGCAACATGCAGGCACAGTATTTGTAGTGAAGGATTAAAAATTGTTAACTCACTTGACAAGTTTAAAACAGAGTCTATCTATCTAGAAAAGGTTCCTTTTAAAAACAAATCATTACACCTATAACCTTAGGATTTTGGGAGGGTGAAGTGGACAGCTCGATTGGGCCCAGGAGTTTTAGACCAGCCTGAACAACGTGGTGAAACCCCATCTCTATTTAAAAAAATAAAAAATTAGCCAGGTATAGTGGCACGTGCCCATAGTCACAGCTACTTGGGAGGCTGAGGTGGTAGGATCACCTGAGCCTGGGGAGACTGAGGCTGTAGTGAGATGTTATTGCACCACTGCACTCCAGCCTGGGTGACAGACCCTGTCTTTAAAAAAAATTATATATACACACATATGTATATAAACAATCTTTATATATATCAACATATATTTTGTTAAGGTATGTATAACAATATAATATATAACTATATGTAACTACATATTATATATGAAGTGTATATATAAAATATATATATAAACAATCATTACCATTTCTTTTCCTTTGTCCTAATTTCTTAACTTATTTGCCTCATTTCTTACTGGTCTCATTTCCCCTGGTAAGGAGGAAAAAGGAGTGCAGTCAAGAAACAATGATTATGACAAAGAACAGTCAGTCCATTGTCTTTCTTCCACCCTTACCATTGCCTCTTCTTGTGAATTGCTGCATGCAGAAATATCAGTCTTTTTCTCATAGTGATTATACGGTACTAGACTAACTCCTTTGTGCCACAGCACCCTGGGGCTGTGTCTGGCACATAGGGAGTACTCTGTAATCTTAGGGATATTTCCCCCACTTAGTCAGTTGCTTGTTTAGTTCAGTGGCATTTTCTCGGGAAGCAGTTACCAATGAAAACCTTATCCAACATGAACTCTCAAAGGTTTATACCACCTCTGTAAGTAATTTCTGATTTTGATTTCTATTTTATAAGATACATAACTCTGTGGCCTATAAAACCAATTTTCCAATTGCTAAAAATAGCTTTTATGAAAATAGCTACTGAAAACATAAGTACAGGTTTGCTTGCTAGCTTTCTTCTGTGGGAGACCATGAAAGTACCCTGATCATTTATCTCTTTTGCTCTTATAAGGTATGGCTAATATGTGTATGGTCATTCTCTATGGAGATCCATTGGCAGAGCAACCACAATAAGCAGTAACCAGTGTATAGTCTTTGTAATACCTTTTATTTAAGAAAATGATGCTAAAAGGATCCATTGTGATGGCCATGACACTTGGATCCATAGCTGTGAGCCATGAGCCAAGAACTGTGACCACATCCTTGTGGTCTGTATGCTGTGCCACCCACCATTCTTCACTGCCTGGATTGTGCAGCCAGCTGGCTTACCCCACCCGGCACCTGCCAGGGAAAAGGTAGTAAAGACGAGAGGCAGTAGGTGCAGCCAAGCACAACAGCAGTCTCCTTGGCCAGCCAGGAGGCCCTTTTAGGGTGCTAGAATCAGTTTGGAATCCTGGGAAAGTTTACATTTTTAGCCCTCTAATTCATCGACTGCCATAGGGATAATTTGCCAAAGTAACAAAAAAGAGTAGTAATAGCCACTATATATTTGTTTATATTTTTTACCTCATTGTAATAGATCATATTAACATGAATCAAAGCAGTATATTTGAAAATAAGCAGCAAAAGTTTAGGCAAGTTGGTAAATGTCCATAATTCTGAAAATTATTTTCATATTGCAAGTTACAAAAGATCTAGATGAAACTAGAATGTGTGTGCATAGATCATGGTCATACTCAGCTTAGTGATGAGGGTGCATGTCATGGTTAGGGTGTAGTTGAAGGTCACAATCAGAGTCAATGCAGCTCTGGTCAGGGTTAGGATCAACTCTGCATAAGGATCAGGTGTCAGGTGTAGGGTAAAAGTAAGATTCAACTCAGGGTCATGATGAGGGTCAGGGAAAGGGTCATGACAGGGTGCAGCTGGGGGTCAGGATCAATATCATGGTGAGAGTAAGCTTCAATTTCATGATGAGGGTCAGGATGAAGTTGAGGCCAGTGAAGGGTTTAGTGTCACAATGAAGGTAAAGAAGGGTCAGGTACAGATTCAGGATCAGTATCAGAGGGTTAAGGTCAGAGTCAAGATGAAGGCCAGTGTACATTTCAGGGTCAGTTTTAGTATAGTTGTCAGTGCCAGGGACAGGGTCAGGTTGAGGATTGAGGTCACTGTCAGGGTCATGGTCAATGGGGACAAGTAAGAGTCAACGTTCAAAGGAGGCTGAAAGTCAGTGTCAGGGCCAGGATAAGGGTTAGGATCATAGTCAACATGAGAGTGACAGTGAGGTTTAGGATAAGAGTCATTGTTCAGGGAAGGGTAGGGGTGAGAGTCCAAGTCAGGATGAGGGTCAGAGTCAGTTTCAGTGTCAACATGAGGTAAGAGTCCATGTGTGATTTAGATCACAGTCAAGGTCATGGTCAGGGTAAAGGTAGGGTGAGAGTCAGGTTCAGGGTAGGGGTAGTGTCAGGGTCAGAGTCAGCATCAGGATCAAAGTCAGGGTGATGGTCAGAGGTAGGGCAGGGTCAAGTAAGGTACAAGGGTTGGGGGATGAGAGACAGTGTCAGGGTGACATCAGGTTTGAGTCAGATTTGAGGGTAAGGATCATGAGAAGGGGGAGGATGAGTATCAAGATCAGAGTAAGGGTCAGGCTCAAGATCTCAGAACAAAGGTCAGAGTCACGGCCATGGTTAGGGTTGGGGTCACATGGAGGGTCAGTGCCAAGTCAGGTCAAGGTCAAGATCAGGGTCAGGGTGAGGGTCAAGATACAGATCAAGGTCAAGATCAGTCAGGGAATGGGTCAGGGTCAAAACGCGTGTGAAGGTCAGAGTGAGAAGAGAGTCAAGGTAAGGGTCAGGGTCAAAGTGTGCCACTGGGAACGTGAGGGTAAGAGTTAGTGTGAGGATGAGGATCAGGGTTAGGCTGATGGTAAAGATGAGGGTAAAGGACAGGTTAAGGTTAAGGTGAAGATGCGGGTCGGATTCAGTGTCAGGGTGAGTGTCACAGTGAGTGCCGGAGTTAGGATGTGGGTTGAGGTCAAGTGAGGTGTCAGGGACATGGTGAGGGTGAGTGTCTGGGTGAGAGTAATGTAGAGGGTGTGGGTGGGATCAGCCTCAGGGTCATGGTGGGGAATAGAGTCTTGGTGTGGGTGAGCATCAGGGTCAGGTGCAGGGTCAGGATGGACAGCATGAGGGCAAAATTCTAGGTCAAGGCAAGGTCCTAGTGAGGGTCACTATGAAGGTCAGACGCACATGAGGGTCAAGAGTAAATGGACATATGACCACTATGTCCCTGACATTCACTCCGTTCATGAACTGCAGTGTCTTGGTGAGGATGAGAGCTACCATTAGGGCAAGAGTCATGTTAACAGACATGAGTTTCAGGCTCAGTGTCAGGCTGAGTGTCAGGTTAAGTTTGAGGGGTCAACTTGACCCTGACTGTGCCCAGAACCTCAATTATCATCCTGTTCTGAAAACACCCTGACCTAGACAGTGATCCTGAAGCTGACTCTGACCCAGATAATACTCTTACACTGACCCTAATCCTGCACTTGACTCTGGACTTTTCCTGACCCTAACCTTCACTCTGACCTTCACCATGATGCTGGCTGACCTTGACCGTCAGCCTGACGCTGACCCTGACTATCAAGCTGACACTTTCTCTGACATATACACTCACCCTTAACCTTATCCTTATGCTTATCCTGATGCTCTCTGACCCTGATCCTGTCTATGACCATCACTTGTCCTTGGCCCTTCCTCTGATCCTCATGCTGACTCTGAGCTGACTTTACCCTGAATCTAACCCTGATTTTCTCCCTGAATTTTATTGTCAGATTCACCATTTTTATAACTGTGAGCCTTACCCTTACACATATACTGACTCAGAATCTCCCTCTCATCTCACAATAACCCTGTCTTGCACCTGACTCTGACCTTGACCTTCAGCCTCACACTGACTTTACTTCTGACCATGAACCTGACACGCAAACTCACCCACCTCTGACCCCTAATTCCTACTCTTTCTCTAAACCAGACACTCAAGTTCACCCTGCATTTGACATTACCACTCATCCTATTCTCACATTGACCTTGACCCTTGCTTACTTAGCCTGACAATTATTTCAATCCTCATCCTTATCCTTAACCTAACCCTGACCCTGACCCCATCCCTGATCTTTTCTAATGTTGATACTGACCCTCACCTGATGTTGATCTGACCTTGAAGCTGAGCCTGAGACTTATCCTGATCCTTTCATTGTAACACTCCACTTGATGCTGATCCTTATATTGAAACTTACTCTGAATTTCACCATGACCCAACCTTGACACTCACCCTTACCCTGAACTTATCCGTCACTATGTCCCTGATGCCTATCCTCATACAGACTCTGACACTGACCTTCACCCTGAATCTGACCGATACTCATTGTGTAAGGTCAGGTACACAATGTATATATATATATCTGAGTTTAGGTTGGCAAACAGAAGTAATATTGAAAAAAATTCATATTGGGGCAAACCAGCTCAGCCTTCTTACACATTACTCTCAAATGAAACTTCTTATTGCTTTTTAGAGTAAACTGACATAAACATAAGGACAGCAAAACATACTACTTTCAAAGGCGCATTCTTACTAAAATAAAAAAATATACAAAAGACCACATATAAGCCATATTTTAACTGACCCTTATTTATTAAATTATCAGTGAATTAACAAAATATGCCTTGGATGATAATACATATATGCTTGTATTTGCCTTCTCAAAACTTTTAATTAATATAAGATAATGCTTATTAAAAAATGACCCAGATGGTTTTTAACTTTCTGTCCTCTAGGTGTCTCTTATGTCTACAGAAAAAGAAAGAAAAGGCTGATTAATTCAAGATAATAATTAATGTAGATGGTTGATTATATAGGGTATAAGAATTACAGAAAGAGTTTCTAATTGATTTCTTATTAGTTTTTTTAAAGTTATTGCAGTTAATTCACATAATAATTTAATTTGATATAGATTGTTTTATTTAATATACTGATAAATTCTATTTTAAGGCTATAGTTAAACACTTTATTATTTAATAATGTGTTGTATATCCACAAAATAGCTAATCTAGAATTAGCTCCACTTTCTAACAATACCAAATCTAGAGCAAAACCCTCACTTCCTTAGACCCTTCCCCAAGTCACCCAACAAAAGATTACATTCTATAACAGGTACTTTCTGACGCCTTTTTACTGAGACACCCTGTAGTTCCCAGTGGTGTGCATTCTCCCCCAATGCAAGCCATAATAAGCCCAATTTATTCATCTCAGGTATGTGCCTAGGGGGTCTTTGACACAAGGACACTGACAAGTTGAGTGCATAGATACGCACAGAAGCTGCGAAGTCAGCATGACCAGGGCTGGATCCCTTGTTTTTGCCTTTTCAAAATTTTAAAATACTGGAAGATAAATTCTTATGAACAAATAAGTTGGATGGTTTTAAACTTTCTGTCCCCTGGGTTTTCCTTATGTCTAGAGAAAAAAAACAGACTGATTACTTACTTAAAGATAGTAATTAATGTAGATATTGATTAAACTGAGTATAAAGATTGCAGAGATAAAAGTCTATGCAGAGGATAAATGTATTTTCAATAGTCAGAAACCTATTTTTATGTTTGTACACGTGTGTCTGCCTAAATTCATACAAATAAATGTATATCAATAGCTCCTACGCTTGATCTTAGCCAAAAGGCGGACAAGCAATATCAATAGTTCCTTTACTACAATTTGTTACATAAATAATTTGCCAAGTGAATAATTAGAATTTAGGTCTTCCATGTAAATTTACCAAATATTTTTATCCCCAGATCAATAGAGGTTTCTTTTGTCACCAAATTATTCTGTTAATTCTCAATGCTTTTTGCATATTCTTCAACCATTCTTTTGAGACTCCTTTGGATAGTGTTGACCTAATTTTATTTGTTCATATTTTAAAATGCCGGCACCTACTGTAATACACCCCTAAAATACGGACCACACAACCAGAAGATGGAGACGCCGAGCGCGTGCGCTCCTCGCTCGGCAGCACCACCCATCAGCCAGACGCTAGCCCGAGGGCCTGCCCGGCGCAAGCGCACTTGCTTGAAGGAACAGGTGGTGGGAATCTGGTTTTTAGCTGAGCCTCCAACCCTGCCTCCTGTGTCGTTCTTCCTACTGAGGAAAGAAGAGGATGCAGCAGATCTCCCCGTTAATCCCTAATCCTTGTCAGGCCGTTGCAGCAGGCACTCCCGGGGCTGCGGATGGCTCCCTACCGCGGGTTCCTGGAGAACAGCAATTTGGCAGCAGCTGCACCTGGAATAGTCTGTGCATGCTCAATAGTTGGGCAGGGGGCTTTTCCCCCAAAGATCAGCACAGGACAGGGTCAAAGGGATTACAGCGGGTGTTTCCTAGCAACGGTGAGTCCTGCCCACTGCAGATTCTGGGTAGGGGGTATGGGGCGGAGGCTACTCTCTGAAAACTTTGCCAAGAGTGGCAGTACAGCATAATTGCGAGCATGCGTTGGGGAGCAGTGGGAAGGTGACTTATGCCAAAAGAACTAAATTGCAGGATTCCGGGTGCATTAAACTTGAAATCCGTGACTGGGTCACTGGTAAAGGAGGTGGGATTGGGGTGGGCAGACAGCTCTGTTTCACCTCCCTCCCTTCCCCACCAAGGGGAGGAGTGGGTGAGTGGCTGGGTGGGGACCCCAGGTAGACCACAGGGTCCAACCACCCGTTCCTTTAAGCAAGTTTTGGGCCCGGCGCGGTGTCTCACGCCTGTAATCCCAGCACTTTGGGAGGCCGAGGAGGGCGGATCACCTGGGGTCGGGAGTCCGAGACCAGCCTGGCCAACACGAAGAAACCCCGTCTCTACTAAAAATACAAAATTAGCTGGGCGTGGTGGCGCATGCCTGTAATCCCAGCTATGCGGGAGGCTGACTCAGGAGAATCACTTGAACGGGCGCGGAGGTTGCGATGAGCCGAGATCGTGCCATTGCACTCCAGCCTGGGCGACAAGAGCGTAACTCCGTCTCAAAAAAAGAGTTTTCATCCTTGCAGAATAAGGACCCTAGAGAGGGTTGATTTTAGATATGAAAGCTAATAGTAATGCTTTCTGCCATGGGAGTTTAAGAGGTTTTGAGAGCTTTGCTAATTTTAGTTATAAAATTCCATTCGTTCTCTCTGTTCATCTTGAGGACTACAGATGATAAGGACAGTGAAGTTTCTGTGTAAAAGTACTTCAGTGCAGTTCTAGTAAAATGAGCACCTCTGTCATTGGAGAGATAAATGGGAATTCCCCAGGTGGGAAAACAAAACCAAGCCATCCCCTGAACCCTTTCAACCCCCAACCCAGCATGGAATAGCTTTCCAGCAAGGAAAAACTTCAGTCCACCCTGAGAATAAATACACAATGAGCAAAACATATTTATAATTCATTGTAAAAGGTATTTGTATGAAGTCCATTTGGAGGTATTTAAAGGGGCATAGAGGCTTTGATTCCTGTCCATGAGCCCACCTTGGCAGTTTATCAGGATGTGTCACTGGCAGATAAGACACATTTTCAAACACATCCTTGGCAGCTACATCTAAAATTAAGCCACCAGTGTTGGTCTAATATTGTTGTCAACTTATCGTTCCTTTATGGTTACATCATGAAGAATTTTCGTTAAGCTCCATTTTCAAGTGTTGAGGCACGCTCAGTTGACCATCCTGGTGATCATCTAATGATCATCCTAAATTGAATTAGAGACTTGTTTCTGACAGTTAGGAACAGCCTCTCTGAATTTCTCCAAGACTTTTCTTGTCCGTGTGATGATAGGACTGTTTATCTAGGTTAATATTGTTTGTTTAGCATAGGGGCCAGCCAAAGCATTACCATGAGTTTCTAGGTCTTGTCTTTTCAATGACTGTGTTTTTATGATAGCTGTTTTCTTAGGTAATAGCAAAGCATCTAAAAGTTCTTTAATTTGTCATTTAATTGGTGTAAGTTTTTTTTTTCAAGGTTAGAAACATCTCTGTTTCTAAACAATTCTGAATTTGTGGACTACCCCCAAAACACATTTACTATCAGCATAAATAATTGCTTATTTATTTATTTGTGAGCTGCCAAGCCCAGATAAGGACAATGATGTTAGTTATCTGAACTGATTTAATTTCTGGAAGTTGTCTATGTTTTAAGGGTGAATTTCACTCCATGATAGCATTTTAACTTTGATCAAATAAAATTAGGTCAAGGTTATCCAAGGGAATCTCTGATGATAGTTGTAGAGAATACAAAAGCAGTAGAACAATTTGTTGACAAAAAAAGGAACCTCTGTTGACCTGGGCATAAAATAAGTCACCTCATGCAAAAGACCTAAATTCTAATTTTATTCTTTTGGTATATTATTTATATAACAAATTGTAGTAAAGGATATATTCCCTTTTTGTATGCATCAAGACATACAAATATAAATAGGTAATAATTTAAAGTTTTAAACTATAGCTTTAAAGCATAATTGTCAGTATACTAAATAAAGCAGTATGTATTATATTAAATTTATTATATGAGTGAACTACACAACTTTTAAAAATATACAAACAGAAAATCCTATATATACATACCTGTATCTCTCTGCAATCCTTGTACCTAGTATAACGAACTGTCTTTGTTAATTACTATCTCTAATTAAGGGAATATTTCTTTTCTTTCTTTTTTTTTCCTCCAGACATAGGAGACATCTACAGGATAGAAAGTAAAAAACTGCCTAGGTAATTTTTCATGAGCATTTATCTCATGTTAATTAAAAGCTTTGAGAAGGCAAATATACACAAATATGTCTTATTATCCAAAGGCATTTACATATTTTGTTAACCCACTGACATTTTAAGAAGGAAGAGACAATTAAAATGAGGTTTAATAAACAGTGTATTTTTATCTTTTTTCTTTCTAGTAAGAATGTGCCTTTGATATGTATTTTACTGTCTTATCATTTATCTTGCTTTACTCTGAGAAGCAATAAGGACTTCTAATAGGAATGTCTGAGGCCGAGCCTGATTGTACTACTACAAATTCTTTTTAATACTACTACTTAGATTCATTCACCTTTGCTCTGTTGCGTTAGTCAATTGGGCTGCTATAACAGAATACCGTAGACTGAGTGGCTGAAACAACAGACATTTATTTCTCACAGTTCTGGAGGCTGGGAAGTCCAAAATCAATGCACCAGCAGATCCCGTATCTGGAGAAAGCCCTCTACCTTGCTTACAGGTAACTGTCTTCTCATACCCTCGCATGCTGGAGGGTCGAGAGAGGGAGCAAATTCTGCAATTTCTCTCTCTTTTTTTTTTTTTTTTTTTGTGACATGGAGTCTTGCTCTGTTGCCTAGGCTGGAGTGCAGTGGTGCAATCTTGGCTCACTGCAACCTCCGCCTCCCAGGTGCAAGCGATTCTCCTGCCTCAGCCTCCTGAGTAGCTGGGATTACAGGCACCCGCCACCACACCCAGCTAATTTTTGTATTTTTAGTAGAGATGGGGTTTAACCATTACTGGACATGCTGGTCTCGAACTCCTGACCTCGTGATCTGCCTGCCTTGGCCTCTCAAAGTGCTGGGATTACAGGCGTGAGCCATTGCACCTGGCCTATTGGAATCTCTTTTTATAAAGGCACTAAACCCATTCAGGAAGGCTCCACTTTCAGGACCTAGAGGCCCCATTTCCTAATACCATCAGATTGGGGGTTAGAATTTTAACTTTTTTTTTTTATTATTTGAGACAGAGTCTTGCTCTGTCACCCAGGCTGGAGTGCAGTAGCACAATCTTGGCTCACCACAACCTCCGCTCACCGCAACCTCCACCTCCTGGGCTCAAGCAATTATCTTGCCTCAGCCTCCCAAGTAGCTAGGATTACAGGCACGTGCCACTACTGCCTGGCTAATTTCTGTATTTTTAGTAGAGATGGAGTTTCACCATGTTGGCCAGTCTGGTCTTGAACTCCTGACCTCAAATGATCCACCCACCTCACCCTCCCAAAGTGCTGGGATTACAGGCATGAGGTACTGCAGCCAGCCAGGATTTTAACTTACAAATTTGGGGGGAACACAAACATTCAGTCTATACCTACCTTGAAAAAAAAGAATACACCTTTTAGATGGATATGTGTTGTTCTTCTTACATTCATCTTAGTTTACTGCAGGAAACAATAAGGAGATATTTTTGAGAGGAATGTCTAAAACTGAGTTTGCTGATGCTAATACAGATTCTGTGTGCGTGTGTGTCTGTGTGTGTCAGGGACTCATTCTGTCACCCAGGCTGGAGTGCAGTGGCACAGTCACAGCTCACTGCAGCCTCAACCTCCTGGATTCAGTCAATACTCCCGCCTCAGACTCCTGAGTAGCTGGAACTACAGGTGTGTGTTACCATACCTGGCTAGTTTTTTGTATTTTTGTAGAGATGGGGTTTCGCCACATTGCCCAGGCCAGTGGATTCTTTTCAGTACTTCTGCTTAGACTCGTCCTTATTGTTGTCCCTTACAGTAGGGCTGTGCCTTTGCAATGAATGACACATACTCATATGTGCTTATGTCCATCTCAGTTTACCCTAAGAAGCAATAAAAAGTTTCTTTTGAGAGGAATGTCTGAAACTGAGCTTATATGCACTAATACAGATTGTTTTCAATGCTACCTCTGTTTGCCTAAACCAAGATGTATTTAAGATTTATTTGACTCCAAAAAACTCAGAAACTCATATTCATCTTGATTACAATTTCTTCCTGTGAATCAGAACAAGATAAGAGGAACCTATGCTATATATGTGAAAATGAGTTCATATTTACACACTGTCCTCAACAGTAATTTCTTGCGAGTTAAAGCAGATATCATTGAAAATTGTATTTATGTGAACAGACTAGCATTAAAGAAAAAATCAGACACTTGTCTCTAAAGAAAATTCTGGTCAGGCACAGTGGCTCATGCCTGTAATCCCAGCATTTTGGGAGGCTGAGGCGGGTCAATCACCTGAGGCCAGGAGTTTGAGACCAGCCTGGCCAACATGGTGAAACCCCATCTCTACTAAAAATACAAAAATTAACCAGGTGCGGGTGTGCACACCTGTAATCCCAGCTACTTGGGAGGCTGAGGCAGGAAAATCACTGGAACCCAGGAGGCAGAGGTTGTAGTGAGCCGAGACTGTGCCACTGCACTCTAGCCTGGGTGACGGAGTGATACTCCATCTCAAAAAAATAAATAAAATAGATAAAATTCTTAACTGTTAGCATTAACCTATGCTTTACCTGAGGCAAATCAATAAGAACTACACATTTTTCTCAACTGCAGTTTCTTTCTTTTCTTTTTTTCTTTTTTTTTTTTTGACAGGGTTTCACTCTGTTGTCCAGGCTGGAGTGCAGTGGTGCAATCTCAGCTCACTGCAACCTTTACCTCCCAAGCTCAATCTATCCTCCCACTTCAGCCTCCCAAGTAGCTGGAACTACAGGTTTATGCCGCCATATTTGGCTAATTTTTTAAAATTAGTTTTTGTAGATGGCTTTTCACCATGTTGCCCAGCCTGGTCTCAAACTTCTGGACTCAAGCAATCCACCTGCCTCGGCCTCCCAAAGTGCCGGGATTCCAGGCCTGAGCCACTGCACCCAGCCTCAACTGTAGTTTCTTACTTTGAGGGAGACCACAAATCAAAGCAGCATATTTGAAAAATACAGTAGGCTGGGTGCAGTGGCTCACTCCTGTAATCCCAGTACTTTGAGAAGCTGAGGTGAGAGGATCACTTGAACTGAGGAGTTCCAGACCAGCCTGGGCAACATGGTAAGACCTTGTCTCTATTTAAAAAAAAAAAATTAATTACCTAGGAGTGGTGGTGCATGCCTGTAGTCCCAGCCACTCAGGAGGCTGAGGAGGGAAAGTCGCTTGAGCCCAGGAGGTTGAGGCTGCAGTGAGCCATGATCATACCAATGCACTCCCACTTGGGCAACAGAGCAAGATCCTGTCTGAAAAGAGAAGAGAAAAGAAAAGAAAGCACACAGTACATGTGTAAACAAGTTGAGAATTAGTTCTCAAAAGCACATTCTTATTGAGAACAGTAAGAAATCCAAAAGAAACTAGAGTGTGAGTGTATAAGATTTCATGTTCAAACTCAACTTGGTGATGGTTAGGTCATTATTAGAGTCAGAATCATTATAAGGGTCAGGGTGACAATAAGGGTCAGAGAGAGGGGGTCACAGACAGGGAGAGGTTAAGCGTAAATGTCATGATGATGGTGAGCTTTAGGATATGGTAAGTGTCAGGAGCAGTATCACAATCAGTATTAGGATCAGCATCTGAGGGTGTATTTGGGGATCAAGTTGGGGGTCAGGGTCAGTGAGGGGGTTAGTGATAGGGTGAGGTGCAGAGGGTCTGGTACAGGGTCAGAGTGAGAGTGGGTGTATATTTCAGAGTCAGTGTCAGGGTGATGGTTAAGGTCAGGGTCAGGGTCAACATAAGGGTCAGTATGAGGGTTGGAGTAAGAATGAGGTCAAATAAGGGTCAGTGTATGAATGAAGTTCAAGGCCAGGTGAGGTTTAGGATCAGGATCAAGGTGAAAGTGAAGATGAGGCACAGGCACAGTCATTGTTCAGGGGAGAAATGATGTGTGTATCTAGATGAGGAGTATCCAGATGTGAGTTGGGATGAGGAATCCAATCAGGTTCAGCATCGTTGTGAGGTAAGAATTAAAGATCAGGGTCATTGTAAGGATCAGGCATCACAATAGGGTGAGGGTCAGGTTCAAGGTAAGGGTGGTGTAAAGGTCAAGGCTAGGGCATCAGGTTCAGCGTGACGAACAGGGTCTGGTCAGGTTGATTATCAAGGACAGTAATGTTTGAAGAGTAAGGGAGTCAGATACAGTGCCAGGGTGTTAATCATGGTGGGGGTGGGGCTAAGTACCAGGTCAGTGTCTTAGTCCATTTTGTGTTGTTATAAACGAAAACCTGAGGGCTGGGTAATTTATAAAGAAAAGGGGTTTAATTGGCTCACAGTTCCGCAGACTATACAAAAAACATGGCACTAGCATCTGCTTCTGGCAAGAGCCTCAGGCTGCCTCCACTCATAGAAGAAGGCAAAGGGGAGTCACATGTGCAGAGATCACATGGAGAGAGAGGGAGTGAGGGAGAGTAGAAGGGGAGGTACCGGGCTCCTTTTAACAACCAGATCTCATGGGAACTAATAGAGCAAGAACTCACTCATTCCCCTCCTTCCCTCTGCATACTCCAGGAAGGGCATTAATCTGTTCATGAGGGATTTACCCCCATGACCAAAACAACCTACACTAGACCCCACCTCCAACACTGAGGATCAAATTTCAAAATGAGGTTTGGAGGAGACAAACTTTCAAATCATTGTAGTCAGAAACTTGATAAATATAAGGGTCTGGGTCAGAGAAAGTTTGGGGTTGCAGGTGAAGATCAGCATCAGGATCATGGTGAGGAGTAAAGTCAGGATGAAGGTAGGGACAAGGTCAAGCACGGGATCAAGGACATGGTGAGGTCATGATACATTTGAGGGTGCAGGTTAGGGTTTGTATCAAGATTACAGTGAGTGAGAGGATTAGAGTGACGTTCAGTGTTAGCTGAGTCTCAGGGTCAAGATGATCATGAGGATAGGGTTCTAAGTCAAGGTCAGAGACATGGTAATAGTGAGGAGGGTCATAGTCAGCATGGCAGCCAATATCAGGTATGTGGTGAGGGATAGGTTCAGGGTGAGAATAAAAGTTAGAGTCTGGGTTGCGTCATGACGATGTTCAGGGTAAGCTTCAGCTTCAGAGTCTTTTCATTCTCAAGATAAGGGTTAATATTAGATTGAGGGTCAAAGTGAGGGTCAGGGTCATTGTGAGGGTCAGCATAAGGGCCATGATCAGGATGAGTCTCAGGGACAAGTCAAGGTCCAGTTCATAGTCAAGGTGTTGGTCAGGGTGTGGGTGTGTGTGAGTGTAGGGGTTATGGTCAGGGTCAAGTTATATGGAAATAGAAGGATTGATGAGAATGTCATTGGTACAGTTAGGGTCAAGGTTTGCATGAGGGTTTCAGAGGAAAGATTAGGTTGACTGTCAGGGTCAGTTAAGGTTCAGGGTAAAGTTCAAGGCCAGGGTAAGGGTAGAGTCAGGGTGATAGCATGAATATCAGGGTCTTTGTGTGAGTCACTATCAGAGTGAGGATTACTATAAGGATAAGGGTAAGTTTCAAGATGTGGGTCATATGCAGGGTGATGGCCAAATCCGAGTAAGGGTAAAGATGAGAGTTAGGTGCAAGTCAGGTTCAGAGTGAGAATAAGAGTCATCATAAAGGTCCAATTCTGGATGAGGCCTGGGTGAGTATACGATTTGATCCAAGGTCAGAATCACTTTCAGGTGAGGGTCAGGGGAAGGGTAAGGCTGTGTGTGAAGGTCAAGGTGAAGGTGAAGATCACACTCAAGATCAGGTTCAGCGACATGATAAGGATCATGGATGGTGTCATGGTGAGGGTCAGGGTCAAGGTCAAGATGCAAAACAGTTCAGGGTAAGGTCAGAAAAGTATCTGGTTGAGGATCAGGGTCAGGGTCAAGATTAAGATTGGAGTTGGCCAAGGCTCTGGGTGAAGTTGAGGATCAGGGCTGATGTGAGAATAGTATCCATATCATGGTCAGCTTGAGTGTCAGAATCAGGTCAAGATGTTGGTCAGGTCAGGGTGATAATCAGGGCCAGGATCATGATAAGGTTAGGGCCAAGTAGAGGGTGAGGATCAGGTAGAGGTTAAAGTTCACAAGCAAGCTCAGGGACATGGTCAGGTCAGGGTTAAGGTTAGAGTGAATATCAGAGTCTTGCTGAGTGTCATGGATAAAGTCAAAGTCAGGCTCAGGGCCATGGTGAGACTCAAAGTCAGGTTGAGTGTCAGTTCAGTGTGAAGGTCAGGGTCAGGGTAAGAGTGAGAGTCATGATATGACTCAGGGTAAGAGTAAGGATGAAGGTGGTCAGGGTTATGGTCAGTATCAAGTTCAGTCAGCTCAGGTTTGGGGATATGGTGAGGGTCCCAATTGTTTTCATATTTATGATCTGGGTCAGATTGATGGTCAAGTTCAAATTTATGGTCAGGTTTAGGATAAGGATCAGGTTAAGGGTCAGTGTCAGGGTAAAGGTTAGGGTCAGGTAAGGTTCAGGATCAATGTCAGAGTGCTGGTCAGGGTCAGAGTGATGATTAAGGTGAGGTTGAGGGATAAGATAAAGGTCAAGTTCAGCAGCAGGGAGGTCAGTCAGTTTCAAGTTGTCATCATGGTCAGATTTCATTTAAGGTCAATGGAGAAAGGGAAGATAATGGTCAGGAACAAGTTGAGGGTCAGATTCAGAGTCCAGTTTAGGGTCAGGGTCAGAGTGAGATAATATCATGATGATGACAGTCAGTATGAAAGGTTGAGGGTCAGGGTCTTCATAAGGGTGGAAATCAGGGTCAGTGTGAGGGTCATGTTTAGGATAAGGGACAAGATAGAGGGTCAATATCACGCAGGTTTAGGTTAAGGATCAGAGTAAGTATCGGGTGGCCAGAATGAAGAATAGGGTCAGGTATGCATCAGGGTCTTGGTTAGTATCAGGCTTATTGTGAGGGTGAGAATCAGAATCGGTGTCAGGATGCGTGTCAGGGTCAGAATCATGGACAGGGTCATGGTGAGGTTCAGGGTCATGTTCTGTGTGAGGATAAGGGTCAGCTTTAGTCTTGACATCAGGGTGAATGTGAAGGTAAAATCATGGTGAGGTAAGGGTTAAGTTGAGGTCTGATTCATGGTAAAGGTCTGAAAAAGATCAAAGTAAAAGTCTAGTTCAAATTTAGATACAGGGTAGGGGTTAATTTCAGGGTCTAAGTCATGGTCAAAGAGAGGTGAGAGTCAGGGTGAATGTAAGTATATGTATAAAATACAGAGTCAGGGTCAGTGTGAGGTTAATAGTATGGGCCACGGTCAGGCTCTAGCACAGTGTAAGGACATGGTAAAAGTCAAGACAGTGCCATGGTTAGGGTCAGCATGATAGTCACATTCAGGGTGAAGTTCAGGTTAAAAATCAGGTAGAAGGTCATTGTTAAGGTCAGGATGTAGGACAGGGTCAGGTAAAGTTCAGCATAAAAGATAGGGTCACAGCCACTATGGAAAACAATATGGTTGGTTCCTCAAAAAATTAAAAATTACTAGATGATCCAGCAATTCTACTTCTAGGTATATATACAGAAGAATTGAAAGTAGGGTCTCAAAGAGATACTTGAACGCTCATGTTTATAGAAGCATTATTCACAACAGGCAAAAGGTAGAAGCAACCCAAGTGTCCATGGACAGATGAATGGATAAATAAAATGTGGTATATACCGAATATTATTCAGCCTTAAAAAGGAAGGGAATTCTGACACATGCTACTACATGGATGAATCTCAAGGTTATTATACTAAGTGAAATGATCCAGTCACCAAAGGACAAATACTGTATGATTCCACCTATATACTTAGATTACTCAAAATTATAGAGACAGAAACTATGATGGTGGTTGCCAGGGTCTGGGAAAGGAAAAAAGAGGGAGTTGTTATTTAACGGGTACAGAGTTTCAGTTTTGTGAGATGAAAAGAGTTCTGGAGATTGGTTGCACAACAACGTGAATGTACTTAGTGCCACTGAACTGTATACTTTAAAATGTTTAAGATGGTAAATTTTATATTACATTTATTTTACCACAACTTTTTAAAGCCAGACTCAGTATAGTCAGTTTGATGATCAGTGTGAATGTCAGAGTCTTGGTGAGAGTCAGTGTCAGGTTGACGGTCAGGATCAGGGTCAAAGTTGAGTTGTTGGTCAGGGTCACGACCAGGGACAGGTTGAAATTTAAGTTTAGGGTAACTTTAGAGGGGTGGGATGGTTAGAGTCAATGTCAGCATGATATCAGAGTCAGAGATACTTTTAGGGGCAGGATCATGGACACAAGATGAGAGCAAGAGGGAGGGCCAGATGAGGGCCAATTTTAGGGTGAACATCAGAATAAAGGTCAGGGTCAGGTTTAGAGTGAGGATTTGGTTGAGCATGTAATACATAGTAAACTCAAGGTGAGCATGTAATACATAGTAAACTCAAGGTGAGCATGTAATACATAGTAAACTCAAGGTGAGCATGTAATACATAGTAAACTCAAGGTGAGCAGAGTCAGATGAACATAACGGTCCTGATGAGGATGAGTGTCTGGCCCAGCTAAAGTGTTAGGGTAGTGGTGAAGTAGAATCATTTGATGGTCACTGTGAGTGTCAGGGTCTTTTCAAGGTCATAGTGATGATCAGGACAAGGATAAGGGTCAGAATTTGGGTCAGGTTCAGGGTGAGGATGAATTTAAGACCAGTATGATAGGGTGATGGTCTGGGTCAGGGTCGGGATTGAGTCACTGTTCATATCAGGGTGAGGGTAAGGGCTACAGTCAGGGTCATAGCTTCATCAGGGTCATGATGAGGGTGGGAAAGTCCAAGGGTCAGAGTTATGGTGAGGTTCAGGGTGAAAGTCAGTGTCAGAGACAGGTTTTGGGTTAGGGACAAATTCAGAGTGAGGGTAAGGGTCAGAATAAGTATTAGAGCTGTGGTAAGAGTGAGGATGAGAAATTGAGAGACAGTGGCAGATTCAGGGTCTCAGTCACGGGGAGGGTGTGGAGCAGGGTCTTCTGAAGGTTAAAGTTTAGGGTGGGGTTCAGAGACAGGGCCAGATTTATGGTCAGGTTCAAGGTGAGTGTGAAAGGGTAAGGGTAAGAGTATGGGTCAACACCAGTGTGAGAATGAAAATTAGTGTCAGACTGAGTGTCTAGTAGGTTAGGGGTAAGGGTCAGAGTCAACATTAGATAAGTGTCAGGTTCAAATTAAGGTTTGGGAAAAAATTAAGGTAAGGGTCAGACAAAGCTCAGGGTGAGGGTGAGGATGAAGGTAGAATCAGGGTAAGAGCCAAGTTCAGGGTCAGGTGCTTATTTAGCATCACGTTCAGTGTCAAGCTCAGGTCATGGTGAGAATCAGTGTGAGGTTCAGGTTAAGGGTCAGAGTTCAGTCAGGAAGAGAGTCATGTGAGTATCTAGATCAAGGTCAGGGTCAAGATCGTGATGAAGTTCAGATTCAGGATCTGAGTAATTGTGAATGTCATGGTGAGGATTAAGGTCAGATTCAGAAGGAGTGTGAGGTATATGTCCAGGGTCAACATCACGATAAAGGTCAATGTCAGCATCAGGGTAAGGGGTAGGGTTAAATTGAGAGGGTAAGTGTGAGGGTCAGAGTCAGCGTGAGGGCCATATGTTCGGGGACACGGTGAGAGTCAGGTTCAAGATTAGGATCAGATTCAGGGTGAGCATAGGGTTAGCCTCAGAGTTAGAGTCTGCCTATAGACAAGTTCATTGTGAGGGTGAGAATCTGAGTCCATGTCAGGGTCAGAGTCTGGGTGAGCATAGCTGAGAGTCATGGTAGTGTGAGAAACAGGATGAAGGACAAGGTCATGTCCTGTGTCAGAGTGAATGGCAGGCCAGGCTGAGGCTATGGTTCAACAGGAGGCTCAAAATCAGGGTCAGGGTCAGCGAAAGGATTAGGTTCAGGGTCAGCTTCAGGCTGAGGGTCAGGTCAAGGTCAGGGTGTGGGTCAGAGTCTGGGGAAATGCAAGGCCAAGGGTCACCAACACTTTTTGGGTATTTGTTGTATAGAATAACCAAAACACACCCTAGGCCTTAGAGGTGCATTATTTATATGCACCGAAAGCCAACAGCTGCTTCATTGATCCTCCGCATCCCCTGCTGTCCAACCTACTACTTTAGGTCCTTGGAAAGACCGACCTGAAGAACCCTGGCTCTTAGGAAGCCATCTAGAACAGCAGGAGTATCTGCTTTTGTGTTCCAAATGCCTCCCCAGTTGCATCCTTCAGGCTCATTGAGCTAGTGACCTGGGGTTGGTCCCAGCCTCCTAAAGGCACATTTTAATTCTCTTTATTAGGAGCAGAGGACGACTTGTCAGAGATTCCCTGGTCTTTTCTACTGATACCCCACCCCCCCCCCCCGCCGCCCACTGCAGGTTGAGGCCGATGCTGGGCTCAGCCAATCCTGTTATAAGCATTAGATCTTGTGCCAGCGACTTCTCTTGTTGCCTCATCTGTAAAATAGGGGAGTTAGGTTTTATGGCCTTTTCAAACTCTATGGGAACCTTTCAAGCATTGACTCCTTGCAACTTTTAGGCCTTGCTTCTTTTCTGAAGACTCTATGAAACAGTGTTTTCCAGCTTTTTAGATTCAAATCCCTAATGGCTAAAAATACACGGTGATGATCTCAGCTCTCACAATTCAGAGGCCGCCTCCCGTTTCATTGGGAATTGCCATAACTCTTACATAATCCCAAAGGTCAAAAAGGTTCTGGACAGCTTTAATTTCTATAGTTTGTACTATGAGAATAACAGCTTTTGGGGGACATTTTTCTAAATAACAAATTGCAATATGAAATCTGCTTTTTCAAACACCGCGCCCTACCACTCACTCCCTAGGAGAGCCCAACAAACTTCCTCAGGCTGTCATTTTCAGGTCTCTTCTCACCTCCCATTTGGGAATTTCTGCTCTCGAATCATTTAAAGATATTGATTATCTGCTCCACCACGGACCCTGTTCTCTTTCTTTTTGTCCTAGTTGCCTGTGCTTCGTGTCAGTTTTCAGATAAGAAAAGAGAGTGCTGTCAAGGCTCTATTTATAATATATCCTTGAAAGCCAAGTGCTGTCTTTGAGCTAAAACAAGGCAAGGCCACCCTTAGGGAGAATGAGAGCCCTCAATGCCCAAATGTGGGCACACGGGCACGCTCCCAGGCAGGCTTGCTCATGCACACACACACAACATCCAGGTCCAAACGAACAAGAGAAAAGACACGCAGGTCCAGGGAAAGAAGAGGAAATGCCTGGAATGTGATAGAAACTCAATACATGTTTGGTGAAAAAAAAAAAAAAAAAAAAAAAGACAAGGGGAGGGGATCAGGGAAGGAGGAATTCAGAGGGACTGCAAATTTAGTGAGGAAAGCACTGAAGTTGGAGTCAGGGGATCTGGATTTGAAGCCTGGCTCTACTTTTCTTAGAAATTTGAGCTTGGACAAGTTCCTTTCCTCTCTGAATTTTGGTTTCTTCCTC
The DNA here is from genome assembly GCF_000001405.40 of Homo sapiens. Classification (NCBI taxonomy): domain Eukaryota; kingdom Metazoa; phylum Chordata; class Mammalia; order Primates; family Hominidae; genus Homo; species Homo sapiens. Next base: position 158,412 of record NW_012132916.1, on the reverse strand, counting down.
CCTTGAGTGGGTGTAAGATTTCCTTCCCAACTAATCTCATAAGATTGCTGTAAAAATCAAATGAAATAATAGCTATGGAAGTACTTTGTAAACTGAAACTACTATAAACAAATGAGGTGCTCAGTGTCGTAGCTAGCATTTTTTAGGGTGCCGTTTGCCAGTAACTACGACATGCTCTGTATACATTAAAGTATTTAACCTCACAACAATCTTGCAGATATAAGCTGTTATTGTTACTCTCCTACAGATGAGGAAACATAAAGACACAAAGTAATTTGCTGGAGGTCACACTACTAGTAAGTGATCAACTGGGATTTGAACCAGGCCTACCTTAGTCCAGCAGCCAATTCTTTTAACCACTCCACTACCTGCTAGGCCTTAATATGTATCCAATGCCTTGTCACATACACAAGTGAACTTCAATCTGCCTTTCAGTGTTAAAAGACATTGTATTAGTTGCCTAGAACTGCCAAACAGAATACCACAGACCAAGCAGCTTAAAGAACAGAAATTTATTTTTTCACAGTACTGAAGGCTGCAAGTCCAAGATCAAGGTACCAGCAGGGTTGGTTTCTGGTGAAGGCTCTCTTCCTGGCTTGCAGACAGCTGCCCTCTCCTTGTGTCCTCCCATGGCCTTTTTCCTGTGTATGTACACTCCTGGTGTCTCTTTCTCTTCTTATAAGGACACCAGTCCTATTGGATTAGGTCCCCACTCTTGCAAGCTCATTAAACCTTAATTACATCCTTATGGCCCTGTCTCCAAATACAGTCACACTGGGGGTTAGGGCTTCAACACATGAATCTGAGGGGGACACGTTTCATTCCATAACAGACAAGCAATAGATAAATACTCCAAAAAATAAAAAGTTTGTCTACTTCCCCTCTCTGTCCCCCACCCCGCCCCCAGTGAAGGATTTTTTAAAAAAATCTCATCAGGTCAACAACAGGCACTGCAGCAAAATTTTTCAGCTCTGACTTCTGCCCAGATAACTTGCTCTCCCATAATGCCAAGCAGCTCTGCTGTGAAGGAACGAAGCAAGTTTTGTGCAAAACATTGAACATGTTTCTGTTCTCTGCCTCCTGCTCAAGAGCATTCTGAAGAAGTGGAAAGATCTGTCCCACCTTTCCCTCTTGCCAGCCATTCCTATTTATAGTTTCTGATGCTGGTGGGTCTGAAGGAGTCAAGAGTTTTGAAATCACTTCCGTTGCTCTGCGGCATGTTCCCTGCCCCTGCATTGGCTTCTCCTAGGCCATTAGAAACTTATTATTTCTGGTTCCCATGTGGTAGGGGTTGGGGTCAAAGGGAGACAGAGAAAGAAAGATTTGCAGCATGCAAAAGTGTGGGTTCTTTTTTTTAAAAAAGCCTCAGAGGAAAATAAATTGTGGTTGTATCCCCGTAGTGTTTTCTGTTTAGGTCTGCTCATAACTACGCCTCCCAGTCTGTTCCTGGAAACCTAGAGAAAAAGTTTTAGGTTGACTTCATCCTTGAATCCTACTTCACAGAGATGCTGATGAATCTGAGGGCAAAGAGAGAAAGGCAAGAGGAGTTTGTTGCCTGGATGCCAGAAGCCAGTAAAGGGTTTTGCAATGCATCTCCCTATTCCTGGCGGCACATGATAAATTACCAGCATCAATCTATCTAACAGTATCAGACTTCAGAACTTGTGAGTCATATGTTCATGGCATTGCTTTGTGCAAATAGATACTGTAACTATGCATCAATCTGGCACATTTTATGAATATTTATCAAAATGTTCTCTTGTCTCCCAGCATGTATATTAATAACAATAATACTAAATAATACCAAGTTGCAGCCATGCACAAGACTCCAAACTCTGGATTTAGTTTGCAAATGTAATGAAGGCTATTTGTAATCATAACAAGAAAAAAAAAAGCCCAGTAACAAGAAGTTCTTATGGAAGATAAACTAAAGCGTATATGTTATAGTTCTATAGAGGGACGATAGAGGAAATATAGAAGTATAGTTGAACTTGATTTATTCCCAGTAAAAATTCTGCATTGGAAAGAACAGAAATTCTTTACTTTGAGAACCTTATCTATGTGACTGTGAACTAAGTCATATCCCATATTTACTCTCACAGTGCTAATCTTACATTTTCGGAAAATAAATTAGATATACTCTTTAAATTTCTCTGTTAGCTGGACTTACATTGCCTTATGAATTTGAGGGGGAAACGTTTCATAATGTTGCCATAGTCAACAAGGAGACTTCTGAGTGTCTGAAGATACAGCAAGACTAACGCATAGTTGCATTTCAAATCAACACACATTAAATTAGAAAAAACATCTGGAGAAACATATCAATATCAAATCGGCAATTTTGCTTGGAGCTTGATGCTACATTTATAGGTCATCTTAATTTTTTTCAAAGCTTTGAACTTGCCAAATTTCATTTAAAAACATTTAAAGCTGCTTTAACTTTTTATCTAATTTGGGAAAACTTTAAAACGCGTAAGAGAGAAAAATATGACAAATGTTCTTGTATCTCCCAACTAAAACAAGCTAATGTTAACAATTTTTTCAGCTGTCCTTTCAATCTTTGCTTTCAAATATATGACAAAACGTACAGATAAAGCTGAAATCCTCTCTATGCTGCTTGCAAGCCTCATGTTCCTGTCTGCCTCCCCAAAGCCACCACCACCAGGAATTTGGAAAACATCCTTTGACCACAAATATGAGCAGCCATTGATAACGTAAGATATTGCTTTGTGTGTCTTTAAACAATTATATACATACCTGACGGTATCATTCTTCAACTTAATTTTTCCTTCTGCATTATACTTTCTTGAAGGTTTTCTTTCTATGTTACTTGCTGGCGTTTAAAAATTTTTAATTTTTAAAACAATTTCCATCTCTTTAATTAGCAGGACAAGATGATTCATAACGTTAACAAATCAAAGTAACTGAGAGACATCTAGAATCTCAACACCTTACAGAATGTTATCAGGGAATGCTACTCCCTCGATGTCTCAGTTTGGGACTCCCTAAGATAAGGACTTGTATGCTCTTAGTCTATCAGGAGAACCCAGAAAGTAAGAGTGAGGGAAGTGGGGCGGTGGGCAGTGGAAGCCAATATAAATGTACATTACTGAAACTGCTACTGAGCTTGGACAACAAGGGACAACGTCTGTCAGTACCTCACGAAAAGTGCACCAAACGCTGCCCAGAAACGCTGCCCCAGGAGGCGGGGATGGAACCTTCATCTGCCAGCTCCTCTTCCCCATTGGTTGAAGATGGCCTCAGGGCACTGACTTCCCCACACTTCAGACTATCCCTTCCATGAGCCAGGAAGGCTTCAGAACAGGTGCTGAAGGAAAACAGGAAAGAAACACAGTGCACACTTCCCTGGGGCTCAGTCACCCACCTAGAACTGTTGGGCCATCTGAACCTGGCCTCCAGCTAGGACCATTGAAGCTGGACAACAGCTAGTAGCAGGCCTCTGTCTTCCTTACACATGAATCTGACTTGACTATATGGAGTAGTGCTGCCCTGCTTCCTGAAATTCAACGAATGATGGGGAGAGTAAGTTTTCCAATTCCCACGAGCTGTCTCAGTTAGAAAATTCCAAACAAGGGGTCGCCATCTTTGAAGTCACCCATCTCTTACAGCCCCAAACAAACACACACACAATATCAATGCTATTTACGCCATTCATCTTTCCACATTCTTTTCTGTATGTAGAATAAAAGAGCAGCTGCCCAGCAGCATGAAAAAGTCAACACCTTTCTGGGTGGCCTATACCAGATTACAGTTCAAGGGAATGAGCCACATGTATTTCTAAAATTCCAGCGCATAGTAGATGCTCAGTAAATTTACGGTAAAGTGTTGACTCCTACTTCATATCTAAAAAGTCAGCTTTACTTTGCATTACTCTTCAAAGGATGAGTCCACAACCTAAGGTGGTTTCATACAGTGTTCAGGTCCCTTATTTATCTCACTCCTTCCCATCCCCTGGGCAGTCACAGGACAGACGATGGGTGTGTTGTGAGAAATAAAGGGACCCACAGCATAGGCTCTACATAGGGCAAAAGGCAACAGTGGGGATTTAATGTGAGGTGGAGGGGGAACAAGGAGTTGGTAAGGAAGAGGTCAGTAGCTCAAAGGGTGAGTGGGAGAAACTAGGAAGTGTTGTGGGTTGTTGCTGATGAAAACTTTCCGTATCTTCACAATTGCTAGGAGTCTGCTGTGATTCTCTTTATGTGCAAAACTCCATTCTTTCCAGTCATCTCTCTGGAATAATTTCTATATTCAGAGCCTTCTTGTTACTTGTCATTGTCACTCAGATTGCTTAAACTTACATGATAATCTATTGTGTTCAGTCCAACTATGTCAGCATTGCCAACATTCTGCAGGGCAGAGAACATGTCAGCTGACTTCACTGTGGTGCCCAGCGTATTTGCAGTTCTCAGTGAACCCAGTTAACTGCCCATTCCCTCAACCCAGATGGCCTTTCTTTTGATTAAACATATGAGGCTTCCAATGCCAAAGGGAGACAGAGGATGATAGTTATTTTCTGGAAGACTCCAGCCATAATCTCACTTTTGCCTAAGTGTGATTTTGTTTACCTTAATTGCCTTTGTAGCTAGAGGGAGACTTTACTCTATAGGGCCAGAAAAAGACCTACGAAGGTTATTTATCATCAGGATAACAGGCTTAATTATCTGTTAGAAATAGAGACTAGATCCCTCTACCCTTTCATGCTGTCTCTGGGAAGAAGGTCGATTTCCCAGGGCCTTCCCTTTTCATCTCACCACCTTTCACCCCTTCCCCAATTAAGGCAACCAAAAATAAAACACTCATCGGATTCTACAAATCAGGAGAGGACCCTTAGGAGAAATAACAATATGAGGTGTCTTTTGCGTCCCATCCACAAATAATACCTTTTATGTTATTGGTTAGGTATGATCTGATGTTAGACTTTCAAACCATGAGTCAAGTAAACACAAAAGTCTGAGACTTGCTAAACTCTAACACCCTGTTTTCTGGCTACCGTTTTTTCCCCTCAATAGTCTCAATTTTTAGGTAATATCCTGTAACTGCAAATAGGTTTTAGAAGACTGATTTGATTTTTTTTAGTTAATCAATAAGGTTCAAATGTATTTTTGATTTACTAGGCTGCGAGGCATACACTGCATTTATATTAGAGCTGAGCATTATAGGAAGCAAGGACTGTCACTTCTAAAGGATGCCACCATCCACACACTTCCTCTGTGTTTTCCCCCTTCTGGCTACAAGAGCGTTCATCATTCCTAGTTCTTTATGCTTATATAACATCTCAACACTTTCTTAGTTTCGATGGAAGACACCAGAATATTTTTTTCTTAAAGAACTCTGTGCTATAGATATGCATAGATGGCTTTTCAAAACAATTAATTAGAGATGTAGCTTATTCTTGTACTCCATACCAAACATACAATGAAACACTACCCTAACAACTGGGTAGGGTACCAATTTCAAGATTAAAAGCATTAGCCAGGTGTGTTTTTTCAAAGATTCCATTTTTCCAAACATCATGTTCAAGCAAAAGGATCAAGTGCATTGATGGTTTTCTAATTATTAAAGGAAATTTTTTTTTTAATTTAACAACCATTACTGTTTTGCTGAGTGGTTCCTGTTGATAGATATTATGCCATGTCTGTATGGGTGATAATTAATTTTATGTGTCAACTTGGCAGGGCCATGGATGCCCAGATATTTGGTCAAACAGTATTCTCAGATGAGGTTAACATTTAAACCAGTGCACTGAGTGAAACAGATAGTCCGCCCTAATGTGTGTGGGCCTCATGCAATCAGTTGAAGGCCTGAATAGAACAGAAGGTTAGCCCTCCCTAGAGTAAGAGAGAATTCCTTCTGCCTCGCTGCCTTTTATCTGAGACACTGGGTTTTTTCCTGCCTTTGGACTTCAGTGAAAATGTCAGTGTTTCCTAGGTCTCAAGCCTGCCAGCCTGCAGACTACAACTTACAACATTGGCTTTCCTAATTCTCCAGCTTGCTGACACACCCTGCAGATCTTCGGACTTCCCATTTCCATAATCACATGTGCCATTTTTTAATAATAAACCTTTATAGCTGGGTGTGGTGGCTCATGCCTGTAATCCCAGCACTTTGGGAGGCCGAGGCGGGTGAATCACCTGAGGTCAGGAGTTTGAGACGAGCCCGGGCAACATGGCGAAACTGTGTCTCTACCAAAAATACAAAAATTAGCTGGGCATGGTGGCATGCACTTGTAATCCCAGCTACTCAGGAGGCTGAGGCAGGAGAATCACTTGAACCTGGGAGATGGAGGTTTCAATGAGCCAAGATCATGCCACAACAGTTCAGCCTAGGTGACACAGCAAGACTCCATCTCAAAAGTAAATAAATAAATAAACCTTTATATAGTAAATCTGTGTGTGTGTGTATATATATGTATGTGTATATATACATATAATGTGTGTGTGTGTGTGTGTGTATATATATATATATATATATATATATATATACACACACACATATACATATACATATAATGTCCTGTTGGTTCTGTATCTCTGGAGAATCCTGACCAATCCCTAATACAGCAGGAATCTAAAAGTCAAGTTTGCAAACCACCATTATGCCCAGTGTACCAGTTGGGCTTCATTTAACATGTAAGTCCACATGCAATTCTACTCATTTTCTGGATTAATGAAGGTGTGGTGCCAGCTGGACCAAGCTGTACTGACTACATCTCTAGAGCTTCAAGTGGCATCCTCTGCATAGCAATATTTTGTGACTTTTCATAGCGCATTTTTTTTTTCTTTTTTTTTTTTTCTTTTTGAGACGGAGTCTCGGAGTCTTGCTTTGTAGCCCAGGCTGGAGTGCAGTGGCGCGATCTCGGCTCACTGCAAGCTCCACCTCCCGGGTTCACGTCATTCTCCTGCCTCAGCCTCCCGAGTAGGTGGGACTACAGGCGCCCGCCACCATGCCCAGCTAATTTTTTCTGTGTTTTTTTTAAGTAGAGACGGGGTTTCACCGTGTTAGCCAGGATGGTCTCGATTTCCTGACCTCGTGATCCGCCCACCTCGGCCTCCCGAAGTGCTGGGATTACAGGCCTGAGCCACCACGCCTAGCCTCATAGAGCATTTTCATAAGCCTGACATCATTTCATTTTGGCCTTCATTTAGAAATAATGATGAGTATTAATAAGTGCTTAAGGCACAATGTCTCTTTTCTCATGAGAGCCTTGTCAAATGAGTAAGTGAGCTTCTAGAAAGTTTGGTGCAAAATGGAAATGTGCATATAAATGCAAAAGTGGGGGGATATGGGTGTTCTAAGCTCTGTAAACTTAGGTACAACTTCCCAAGCTACTGCTTATCTCTGGTAAGGAGTTGGAGGGAACTCTGAATTTTCTGGAGAGAGCTGTTCAGGAACTATCTGTCATAGAAGAATTAAATAAGTCTTGTTTGGAGGAATACTGAACAGGAGCATCCTATCTGTTTTCTGCTACTTAATATTTTAAAGCAAGCCCATTCTACCAATGGTTTTGTTAGACTTTCATGTTTTTTTTTTTTCTTTTTTGAGACGGAATCTTGCTCTGTCACCTAGGCTGGAGCGCAGTGGCACGATCTCGGCTCACTGCAACCTCCATCTCCTGGGTTCAAATGATTCTCCTGCCTCAGCCTCCCAAGTAGCTGGGATTACAGGCATGCGCCACCACGCCCAGCTAATTTTTTTGTGTTTTTAGTAGAGACAGGGTTACACCATATTGGCCAGGCTGGTCTCGAATTCCTGACCTTGTGATCCACCCACCTTGGCCTCCCAAAGTGCAGGGATTACAGGTGTGAGCCACTGCACCCAGCCAGCTTTCATGTTATTCTAATCAACACACAGTGCCAGGTGGCAGACACTGTGTCACTATGAGGAATGCAAATCAAACCCCAGTAAAACTCACTCCATTTTAACCAAAGGCAATTATGTTCTTTTATATAATTGGTCTTTATTTGGATCAAATGCTACTCAAGGAGGGGAAAGGAAGTTTAAGTAAGTCATCAAAGAGAATCAGAAAATTCCACATCTGCAAGGCACCTTACAGATGATGTAAGTTCAAGTAAGTGAAGACAAAGGAAGCCTAGCAAGCTTAAACATCCACTCCCGGCTTATGAACCTGGATGGCACCAAGCTAGCAGAACAGCATTACCTACAAGACTGTAGTGGTCAGGTCTTGTCCACTTATGTGAGGCCTCTGCTGGTACCAGTACCCTATTTTTCTTCTGTGGACCCTCACCCTACCTCTACTCTCAATCTGCATTATACCATTAGAGCTGACCTAAACTCTAGCTCCCGGGGAAAGCATGTGACCCAGGAATGGCAAATCTGAATCTTCCAATCCCCAGACAGGCATCGGGTTGGTGACAGGTATGTGATCCAAGTCAGGACAACCACAGACAATTCTAAGACTTTTTCTTACAACTGGACAAAAAATGCATCTTTCCGATTATGGAGCTCCTGGTAGCTTATCACAATTTGGAAAGCGCCTGAACAATAATGAAGTAAACACAGAGAGCAGGGCCAACAGATGGAGAGAAAGATTTCTGAAAACACTGTTGAAGCCTGTTGGGGTTGAAATGTGTCCGCCTCCAAATTCATATGTTGAAGCCCTAACCTTCTGTTCCTCAGAATGTGACCTTATTTGGAAATCGGTTCCTTGTAGATGTAATTAGTTAAGATGAGGTGCCTAGGGTGGGCCCCTCATCCATTATGACTGGTGTCCTCATAAAAAGGGGAAATTTGGACACAGAGACATGCATCCAGGAAGAGCACCATGTGAACATGAAGGCAGAACTTGGAGGATGCTGCATGTGAGGGAACACCAAAAATTGCCAGCAAACTACCAGAACAAAAATTGTCAGCAAACTACCAGAAGCCAGGAAGAGAAGCAAAAACAGATTATCCCTCACAGCTTCAAAAGAAACCAACCCTGGTGACACTTGATCTCTGGACTCTAGAACTTTGAGACAATATATTTCTGTTGTTTAAACCAGCCAGGCTGTGGCTATGGCACTTTGCTATGACAGCCCCAGCACACTAATATACAGCCCCGACCAGTCTTGCCTGAAGGAGGCTTACCCTAGAATTTTTAGTTTCCTGAACTGAAAATTTATTTTTTTCTTTCTTTCTCTCTTTCTCCCTCTTTCTTTTCCTTTTTTTTTTTTTTTTTTTTCTTTACAGGTATCACTCTCTGGCCCAGGCTGGAGTACAATGGTGCAAACATGGCTCACTGCAGCCTCAGCCTCCTGGGCCCAAGCAATCCTTCCACCTCAGCCTCTTGAATAGCTGGGACTTCAGGTGCATGACACCATACCTGGCTAATTTTTGTATTTTTTGTAGAGACAGGGTTTTGCCGTGTTGCTCAGGCTGGTCTTGAACTTCTGGGCTCAAGTGATCCTCCTGCCTCCACCTTCTAAAGTGCTAAGATTACAGGTGTGAACTGCTGTGCCTGACATTTTTTTAAAACTTAATCCAATTTGATTGAGTTTCTAGCATTTGCTACATAAGATTCCTCACAAATACTCCATTAACCTACAAGCATCAGAGGAGGGGAGCGCAGGATGTTGATGGAATAAGACTGTGTCACCTAGGAAAGGTTGAGGGAGCTGGGAATATTTAACCAGCAAAAAGACAACTTTACAGGAAAGGGGGTAAGGAAGAGTAGCACCATCTTCACATAAGCTCCATGAGAGAAGGGATGTCTTCTGTGTGATTCCTTTCTGTATTTCCAGTTCCTGGCACATAGTAAGCTGCTCTACAAACATTTAAAGAACAATTGAAATGAACATCTCAGGGCCGGGTGCAGTGGCTCACGCCTGTAATCCCAGCACTTTGGGAGGCTAAGGCAGGCAGCTCACTTGAGGCCAGGAGTTTGAGACCAGCCTGAGCAACATGGTGAAACCCCATCTCTACTAAAAATACAGAAAGTAGCCAGGCATGGTGATGTGTGCCTGTAGTCCCAGCTACTTGGGAGGCTGAGGCATGAGAAATACTTAAGCCTGAGAGGCCGAGGTTGCAGTGAGCAAAGATTGCACCACTGCACCACATCCTGGGTGATAGAGCAAGACTCTGCTCAAAAAAAAAGAAAAGAAAAATCTCAGGGTCCTTCATTGCAAGCAATAGAACATGTTTAAGAGAACAAAAAAAGTAGGGGAAGGTTTATTAAAAGGTTATTGTTGAAGAGACCAAATAACTGCTAGGGATGGCTGGAGAACCCGACTAGAACGAGCAGCCAGCATCATAACCAAAATCATGCCACAAAACCAGATGTGAGGACTCCACTCACATTTGTCACTGTTACCAAGGACTAAGAGAAATTTTTTACAAAAACATTGCATTCCAATCTCAGTTTACCCATGCTACATTCTGGTCCACAAATGTAAAATATTCATAATGTCTTCAGGGATTAGACCATGTTGGGGATAGCTCTGCTGCCAACTCTTCTAACACAAAGTAATGTTTTCAATGAAACAATAATCACGGCCGGGCGCGGTGGCTCACGCCTGTAATCCCAGCACTTTGGGAGGCCGAGGCGGGCGGATCACGAGGTCAGGAGATCGAGACCATCCCGGCTAAAACGGTGAAACCCCGTCTCTACTAAAAATACAAAAAATTAGCCGGGCGTAGTGGCGGGCGCCTGTAGTCCCAGCTACTTGGGAGGCTGAGGCAGGAGAATGGCGTGAACCCGGGAGGCGGAGCTTGCAGTGAGCCGAGATCCCGCCACTGCACTCCAGCCTGGGCGACAGAGCGAGACTCCGTCTCAAAAAAAAAAAAAAAAAAAAAAAAAAAAAACAATAATCACATCTATTAAATGTTTGCTGTGTGCTGGGCTTCAGGCACTACATGTGTCCGGCACTATGTGTGTCAGGCACTGTGGGATTATAGATGGATGGAATAGCAGAGTTCTGCAGGGATATTTAACAGGTGTGTGTCTTTAGTTAAGTGACTGAACTCCTCAGTACCTCAGTTTCTCAATTTATAAAATGGCAATGATTCTTAGATGACATACCTCATACATTCTTAGGAGGATTGTATTAAAATTGAGTTAGTATATATAAAGTAGCTACAACAGTGCTTGGCATATAGTACCATGCGCTCTTCATCACAATTCTATAAGTGTGGTGTGACATTTTATGATGCTGAAACTAAGGTCCAGTGAGCATTAGTGTCCTGTGCATAGTAACACAAAGTGGTTGGTCCTAGATTCAAATAGAAATCTATCTGATTCCATACTCTGAAATCTTAGGCATCTACAGGATTGACATTAGAAGCAAATTATGTTGAAGTGCCTCAGTCATACCTGAGGTGTAAAGCCGTGCACAGTTTTGGACAACAGAGAAATTAGCACAATTTTCAAAATATATTTCCTGCTCCATTTTTGCATATCTTACACAAACTGCTTAGATACCTAAGTAGTTTCAAGTATTTCTTTAATAGATTATTAGTAAAACCACAAAGGCAATACAAGTGCTTAATTTGGAACTTGCTTAGAACCTGAATGCAGGGTGCCCGAGCTTGCAAAGCAAAAATACTGGTTGCCCAAGTGTGTGATTTTATGGAGCAGAATCGGGTTAGAGTCAGTCTAGATTAGCAGCAAGTCAGCCTCAGCCAGTGCCACCCATCCCACTGGAAGTATGAGGAAAATTATTGCTCTTCTCCCCAGAAAAATATACATATAATTTCAGAGGGTTCATGGACATGTAAAGATATCTGTAAATTCCAAGTGAATATCCCCTCTTCTTGATTAGTGACTCTAAAATAGTTTTTTAAATCTGCAATCATTTTTTGATTCAGCATCACACCATAGTTCCTCCTAATGTTCAGTAAAAAACTAATATCTGCATGCTAGTATGTGAAGTTGCATAGAAGCCAGATTTTTTCATCCAACAAATATTTATCGAGTGCCTAGTATACATTTGACATTGTTTCTAGGCACTGGTGACATAGATATGAACAAGATAAACCAGGCCCTTGTCATGGAGCTGAAATTCTAAGGGCGAAACCTACAATAAACATGAAAAAGCAACATACGAAATAAAACAGGGTAAGGTAACCAAGAATGGCTGGTGGCTATTTTAGATGGGGTGGGACAAGGAAGGCATCCCTGGAGAGTCAGCTGAGCTGATACCTAAGTGAGGGGACGGAGTCAACAGTGTGAAGCACTCAGAAACGGCACTTCAAGGCAGAGGAAATGGCAAGTGCAAAGCCCTAACAGGTAAGGGATTGGTCTAACTGAGAAACCGAGGCAGGACCAGTGTAGTAAATTAATACTGAATTTAAGGCTTCAGTAAATCTAATACTGCACTAAGTTCAGTTTCTGGATATTTAATTTGAGCAAGTACTAATAACTACTTAGTAAGTACTTAATAGATTTTTAAGAACACTCTGGTCCTGCATAATAATGAAAATCTAGGAAGCCAAAAGATGTCAAGAAAGAACGAGGATTTTCTTTTCTTTTAGACACAGGGTCTTGCTCTGTCACCCAGGATGGATAGCAGTAATGCGATCATAGCTCACTGCAGCCTCGAACACCTGGGCTCAAGTAATCTTCCTGCCTCAGCCTCCCAAGTAGTTGGGACTACAGGCACACACCACCATGCCAAGCTAATTTTTAAAAAATGTTTTGTATAGACCAGGTCTTGCTATGTTGCTCAATCGGGTCTTGAACTCCTAGGCTCAAGCCATCCTCCCTCCTTGGCCTTCCAAAGGGCTGGGATTACAGGCGTGAGCCACCATATCTGGCCATTTTTTCAATTATCAAATACCCTATCAGGAAAACCTGCATGGCTATCGATCAATTTTTAAGAAATTGCTGAACTAAATTCTTCCTTGGGGGACAGCCCCAAACTACCTCTATGAGCTGGAAGCTTACATGCACCCATCTTTTAGATCCTGCCTCAGTCCCTGCTTTTACTTAAAGCAGTAAATCTTCAACATCTCTAAATTATATTCCAAACACAAGCTTATTTTTGGAAGAAAGACAAAGTCTCATGTTTCTAGTAGGCATATTTCAAGTTTGGGGAAAAAAATAAAAGTAATTACAGTTCTGACCATAAGTCAAAACTCCAAGACTTTCTAAAAATGCCTTACAAAGGCAAGACTTTCTAAAGAACCAAAAAAGAAGGAAAACATTAATTTAAAAACTGCAAAAGTTTTTATCCTGCCTCAGAATTTCAGGAATGCTGCTATAATGGATTCATCTTAGTGCAGATGAAGTCGAGGACAGCAATAGAGTTTTCTATCACCCGCAACAGCAGCCATTTCACTGCCATTTAACAAAACATCACCAAAGTAGTGGTTCCCTGAAGATTCTTCCTATAAAGTAATGTAAAAAGCTGGTGGCATTCAACTTTGAGTAGATATATATGTGTGTGTGTGTGTGTATATATATATATATACACACACACATATATATATATATATTTTTTTTGAGACTGAGTTTTGCTCTTGTTGCCCAGTCTGGAGTGCGATGGCACGATCTTAGCTCACTGCAACCTCTCTCTCCCGGGTTCAAGCTATTTTCCTGCCTCGGCCTCATGAGTAGCTGGGATTACAGGCATGTGCCACCATGCCTGGCTAATTTTGTATTTTTAGTAGAGACGGGCTTTCTCCATGTTGGTCAGGCTGGCCTCGAACTCCCAACCTCAGGTGATCCGCCCGCCTCGGCCTCCCAAAGTGCTGGGATTACAGGCATGAGCCACTGCACCCAGCCAGAGTAGCTATATATTTTTAACCCATATTGAAATAACACAGAGATCTTTCCGTTTATTATCTAGTTTATTGAGAAATTTACTAGATGAAATGCATTAGCTTAATGTCAAGGGAAAGAAAATGGAAGGTTTTCCCCATCATCAGGGCATTAAGCCTGCAGGACAGAATTGAATGAAATAATATTTATTAAGCACTTAGAGACATGTTGAAAGATTAAAGTGTTAGCTCCCAGAGAACATTACTGCATCTTTTGTGTAGGGCTTTCAAAAATTTTATTTTACTTGGCCCTTATAATAACTATTATAGTTATCATATTAGTCTTTGTGGTTGTAAGTCAAAGAAGCATGTCTTAAACCTGCATAAGCATAAAAGGGAATTTATTGGCTTATATAAAGTGTGATGCATTCAGGTCTGGCTAGATCCAGAAGCCAAACTACCTCTCTTACTATTCTCTCTCATTCTCTATTGTTCCTTTCCCTATGTCTTGGCTTCATTTTTTCTGTTAAATTTAACATGTTAGTGTCATTTTCTCCTGTTGCAGATTATTTCCCACAGGCAGCTAAAGCTTACATCATCCTTGCAGATTGCAAGTCCAGATGAAGTGGACGTCAGATCGTGTGGAAAGTCTAAGTGGCCCTACTTTGGCCATGTACCCTTTCCTCGAACCAATCTCTATGAACAATGGAACCCTTTACCATCTGTATTAGTCCATTTTCACACTGGTGATAAATGGACTAATACCCGAGCCTGAGTAATTTATAAGGAAAAAGAGATTTAATGGAGTCACAGCTCCACGTGGCTGGGGAGGCCTCACAATCATGGTGGAAGGTGAAAGGCACATCTCACATGGTGGCAGACAAGAGAAGAGAACCTGTGTAGGGAAACTCACCTTTATAAAACCATCAGATCTCGTGAGACTTATTCAATATCATGAGAACAGCACAGGAAATACCCGCCCCCATGATTCAATTACCTCCCACAACTGGGTCCCTCCCACAACACGTGGGAATTGTGGGAGCTACCATTCAAGATGAGTTTTGGGTGGAGATAGAGCCAAACTATATCATCATTGACGAGGCTCATGTCTGTGGCCATTCCAGTGGCCAGGCACTGGATATGATTGACAGTCCAACCACAGCCATATGGAATTAGGGTTGGGGGTACTCACTCAGCAATGGAAAAGGGAGTGCTAAGCTGACAAAAGCTACAAATAGACAGTGCCAATATGGTTAGCCCTATTTTGCAGATGAAGAAACTTTAATGGTGAACTTAACCAAATTAAAAATTATCTGTTAATGCCTCAAATCTCTACCCGAAGATTAAGCCTTCCATTCCAAAAGACAGATAAGGTGTAAATTGTACAGTAACACAATGAATTAAATTCACATCGAAGTAAAACTATCTGTTACAAGATCCTTCTCTGAGAGTCTGTCTTATTTAGGGGACAAATACAGTGTCTAACTAAAGGAGGAAAAAGAAATGCAGCAAGGAGAGTTGTTTGAGTCTTTGTCATTCTTTCTCTAGGCTGCAAACTTTCTGAAGGAAAAATCTGCTACTTCCTCTTCTTTATCTCCTGCAGGGCTTGGCAAATGATAGCACACAGCAATAAAGGGAGCCAAATAAAAAGAAATAAATTAGCACCCTTTGCTTGTCTTCTTTTCCTAGTAAACTGATGTCAGATCAGTATGTCACCTTCAATTCTATGTTCATCTGATAGATAGGACTGACCTTCCACGTTGGCAGAAACTGAAGGCGTTTGATAGAGATTTGAGAGCAGAGCAAATAAGCCAGAATCAAGAATTTACAGAATATCAAAGCTGAGTTTTAAATACAATAAAATTCAACTGTTCTAATTTTATATATCAGAGAATATATTTCTGGATGCCAGAAAGTGTATACCAAGCCCAAAACTGTCTGTGGGGTTGGGATGGGGGTGGTGGGGAGAGGTGGGGTGGTGGGGGTAGGGAATTAGGTTGCTGTCCTTGGTCCTGAATTACCACTCCTTGCATGTTGTGTTTCCTAATGTTGGACACCTGGACTCCTGTCTAACCTCTCCAGGCACTATGGATTTTTTCCGTATTTTGTTTTTCAAGATTGATGGGGGGAAAAGGCAAATTATATACTACTTCAGAGAACAAAGAATTGAGCCTTATATCACAGTATATAGGTTATTCCATATGCTTTTGATAGTTTTCATTTTTCTGACAGTTATTCATCCTCTCATTCCCAGGATTTGCTTATGATGTCCAAAGAAGTGAGTTAGTTTGTTTCACGTTCACAAATGAACTAGAGGTTCCAGGCTTCCCGAATCCTAGCCAGCTGTTTCCCTCATCACCCCCACCCCTAGACCTCACCATCTTACTAGTATCTAAAGATGCCATTCTAAGAGCCTGGAAACTAAGGCATTCCCACTCTCTTAGAAACCTCTGTATTCATTATCTATGGCTGCATTAAAAATCACCCTTAAAACTAAGGAGCTTAATGTAATAGATCTGTATTATCTCATAGTTCCTGTGAGTCAAGAATTCAAAAGCAGCTTAGCTGAGTAGCTCAGGCTCAAAGTTTCTCATGAGGTTGCAGTCAAGATATCAGCCAGCATTGCAGTCAACTGAAAGCTTGCCTAGGGCTAGAGAATCTACTTCCAGGGCGGCTCACTCGCATGACTGGCAAGTTGAAGGTGGGTGTTGGTGAAAAGCCTTAGTTTCTCACTGTGTCGCCTGTGGAGAGGCCACTTAAGTGTCATCACAATATGACAGCCACCTTCCCCTAGAATGGGCAATCCTCAAGACTGGGGTAGAGGTAGCAATGTTTTTCAGGATACAGTCTCTGAGGTCACATACTGTCACTTCTATTAGTCCAAGAAACCAACCTGATTCAAAGGCATGAATGCTAGAGGCATGGATCATTGGGGGCATCTTGAAGGCTGGCTACCACAGCTTCTTCCATGCATCCTTGTCATCGCACTTGTCCCACTGCGTTATAATTACCATTCACTTGTGCACCCTTCTGTGGCAGATCCAGTTACCACCATGATAACTGGGTTGTGAAGAGAACCCTGATTTTGTGCAGGTGTTAGAAAGCCCTTTCTCCAGGGGTCAGCAAACTATGGCCCACAGCCTGTTTTTACATAGCCCATTAGCTAAGAATAGATTTTACATTTTTAAAGGTTGTAAAAATTGACAGAAGAAGAATGTGCAACACAGATCATATATTACATACAAGGCCTAAAATATTTGCTATGTGGCCCTTTACAGAAAATGTTTGCTGATCCCTAGTCCAAGTCATTGACGGTAATCCTATTTTAAACTTGCCCTTAATGGTTTAAGAATGGGAAGGTATCCCAAGTCTGGCCTGTAGGATATAAGAGAAAGCCTATTGGGCATTGGGGGGCTTCTGGAAAGGATTTTTCTCCCTCATTAAAAAAAAAACTGATATATCAGAAGAGATCCCTTATGCCTTTCATCCATCCTGCTTTGGGAGTTATTTGTGAGAATGGAGCTATGGCAGCTATTTTGCAACCATGAGGGAAAAGCAAAAAATATTCTGGGGAAGCTCACCCAGATATCTGACCTTGTTGAGTTGTCCAATTAAACAATCCTAAAATAACTTCCAGATGTTTGTTACAAGAGAAAATTTCAAGTATCTTTAGGAAATTCTTTGAGTATCTTGTTAATTGCAGCTGGAAAAATTCTAAATGATATATGCTCCCTCTAGATAATAAAATTTTAGAGAGCAAAGGTCCTGTTGATTACAAAATCTTCTATTTCTACAATAGGCCTGGAATATAATGAAGTTTTAAGTATTAATTGTTTAAATCAGAGTTTCTCAACCCCAACACTATTGACATTTTGGGCCAGATAACTTTTTTACTATAGGGGCTTCCCTGTACATTAAAGGATGTTTAGCAGCATCCCTGGCCTTTACCCACTAGATGTTACTAACATCTCTTTCCCACAGATGTAACAAACAAAATGTTTCCAGGGACTTCCAAATATCCCCCTGGGGCACAAAATCATCCCCAGGTGAGAACCACTAGTCTAAATAAATGATTATTAGGATATTAATTTCTACCATAAATTGTCATGCAAAACTTCAGATTCATCTTGGGGCTCAATCAGACTTTGGTCAAGGCAGAGAGAACTTGGAGACAGTGGGTTGAGAAGTGAGACAGAACTATAAAGACAGTGAAGAGGAGGCGGGCACTGTAGCAATCTGAGCTCTGTCTCAGGCTGGCCAGGCCTAGAGAGAATCACTAACATCTCTTCTGGTCCTAATTGAAATGTAGAAGTCATGAGAGCATAATGAGAATGATTTCTTGATCTGTCTTAGACAAAATAGTTCTGGGGACTGCAAAGGTGCAGACAACAGAGATGAAATAAATGTGATCTTGTCAATGGTATCCAGAGTCCAGACAGCCCCTAGCCCTTTGGGAGAAAGGTTATGACAAAGGACCGGGGAAAAAAGATGAGAAGATAGCACATGAAAGTGGTTGGAAAAACAACCCAATAATGAGAAAAATATATCAATCTTGCAGAGTGGTTCTCTGCAACACGTCTATCTCTTGAAACGACAACAGAAAAGTTTCCATCAAACTGTTTCCCGTCAAATGCTGGCCCCTGACAGATTGTGGCATATGGAACGTGGTTTGTCTTTTAAGTCACTGGGGTTTTCTCATTCAACTTCACCAAATCATGGCTGTAATTATGGCAGTAAATGCCTCTCAAATAGCAGCTTTTTTCCTCTTTAAAAGAGTGAACATTTTAACAAGGATGTCGAGGACACCACAAAGAAATATGCACTGCAGGGCTTCTTGGAAGACAAGCTAGAGATGCGGTTCACTCCTCAGAAAGGAGGCTGATTTCCTAGAAAGAGCCAGGGTGAAAGGTGAAATAAGGCCAGAGTTCCAATCCAGGCTGACCCTTTGCTCGCTCTGTGGCCTTAATGAAGCAAGTTCCTCTATCTCTCTGAGCCTAAGCTTTCTCAGCTGTGAACTGGAGTTAATTTGTGAGGATGAAATGGGAGCATCTATACAAAAGAGTTTTCATAACTTCACCTCCATGTGCAGGGAATCTTATTATCCTCACCACCTCCACAATTCATGTCCCTGTATGAGTGATGACAGCCAAGAGACTGCATCTGCAGGACTCATGCTAAGCATTCATGCGCCCAGCAGTGGTCTTTAGATATCATGTTAATTTAAGTATGATCCTCTTGCCTAAAATTCCTCCATGTGCCTATTGTCCCATCTTTAACTCAGATGACAAAGACCTCCATGATTCAGCCCTTCCCAGAGCTCTAGTCTCAAGTCTTCTTGCTTTCTACATCACATCTAGACTCTAGCCATTTCAAAATACTTGCAGTTTGCTGCATGGACCACTTTTTCTCACTTCTAGGCCTTGATACATGGGTGCTTTGGAACACTAAATTCTGCTTTTTTTCGATGCCCCAGCTTAGAAGTCACTTCTCCTGTGTTTTTGGCTCAGTTGTGCACCCCCCTCCCCCGCCCAACCACAAAAAAAAAAAAAAAAGAAAAAAAAATCCATGTTGAAGTCCTCTCCCCCAGGACCTCAGAATGTGACTCTATTTGGAGACGGGGCCTTTAAAGAGGTAAGTAAGGTAAAATGAGGTCATATGTGTGGTCCCTAATCCCATGTGACTCATGTCCTGATAATAAGAGGAGATTTGGATGAACACAGACATTCACAGAGGGAAGACCACGTGAAGACACAGGGAGAAGATGGCCATCTGGAAGGCAAGGTAAGAGGCCTTAGGAGAAACCAGTCCTGCCAATGTCTTGATCTCCGACTTCTAGGCTCCAGAACTGTGAGAAAATCAATTTCTCTTGTTGAAGCCACCAGGTCTGCAGTACTTTGTTATGGCAGCCCAAGCATACTAACATGCTCTGGAAGTCTTCCATGAATTCCCCGAGACCAGCTGTGACACTCTCACACCATCGTTCATTTTTCTTTTCAAAACAGCTATCATATGGAATTGTCTCCTTTCTGGGTCTGTCTTCATCTTAGTGTGTGAGTTGGTGAGGTGGCTTGAGGGGTGAACAATGGAAGGTCCTGAAGTCAGGGACTGTGTGTCTCTCTGCACCATGAATATTTACCTGAATACCTGGGATATCAAAGGCAAATGTATGTTGCCCATAGATGAATGCATAGATATGAATGAAAAAATATTATGTCAGTCATCCAGATAATTCAGGCAAACAAAAACTCTCTCACTGAAGAAAAGACATGAATTTGGAGTCGCATTTTCCTAGTTTACCTGAACTCGCTAACTTCGAATAGAAGTATCTACACCTCATGAGACCTACGCAGTCACAGATTCCGAACATTTCCCATACTTGACCCTGGATTCATTAGCAGTCAGAGAAACATTTCTAGTGGGTTTCCCATTATTTCTCTTGCTTCTGTGGCTCACCATTTCTGGATCACATTTCCCAGGGGACTCAGGGTCAAGATTGGTGAGAGGGAAAGAGGGAAGAAAAAAAGGAAGAAGATTCTTTACATAAGGTAGCAGTCTGCAATCAGGAAAATTTCAGATATCTAACCTTGGCTCTCCTGCTACAGCCCAGATCCAGTTTATGCTGATTCCATGGGGAAAAAGTTGGTCACCACTTTTCAGGCAACCATCAGTCATAGAGCAAATTGACAGTTTCAAGAAACAAGTCCAAGATTAAAGAAGTTCTTTTTTTTTTTTTTTACAACAACAACCGAAAAATTGAATCCTTTTCTATCCTTTTGGTAATTGCAACCACCCAATAATATCTAGACTGAATCGGCTTATTTAATATATGGATAACAAACCATTAAAAGCTGTGACAGCCAGAGGGAACAATTAGGAGGGGAAAGAAAATGAAGAGCTCTTGAATACATTCAGTTTTGTAAACTCTGTCAGCTAAGTGTTCCCTTTAATTACATTTTTTTTTTGAGACAGAGTCTTGCTCTGTTGCCCAGGCTGGAGTGCAGTGGTATGATCTCAGCTCACTACAACCCCTGCCAACCAGGTTCAAGCAATTCTCCTGCCTCAGCCTCTCGAGTAGCTGGGATTACAGGTGTGTACCACCACATCCAGCTAATTTTTGTGTTTTTAGTAGAGACGGGGTTTCATCATGTTGGCCAGGCTGGTCTCGAACCCCTGACATTCAGTGATCCACCTGCCTCAGCCTCCCAAAGTGCTGGGATTACAGGCATGAGCCATCATCCCCAGATCCTTTAATTACTAGTAATTTTCATAATTGTGTATTAAGCCAATATGTCAATTAAAGTTTTGTCACACATTATTGTGCACATAGAATAATTCATTTTGCAATATTGTAGGGGAGGAAAGGCCAGGTGTATTGGGAATAGATGCATCCCCTTCACACATTCACATCTGACTTTTAAAACTGCTTTCCTTGAGCAGAACTTTATTTTAACGGAATTGATCAGTCATCTTGACAGTGTTTTGGCTCTGAACATTAGCTTCTGAAGCAGTATTTTTACCCACTGGCTGTTTGGAGTGGTGGTGAAATGGGGGACAGAACTGATTTGACAAATCAAGTCAATAAAGCCATCTGACAAGATTCATTATTAGGCTGGGTGTGGTGGCTCACACCTGTAATCCCAGCACTTTGGCATGCTGAGGCAGGCAGATCACCTGAGGTCAGGTGCTCGAGACCAGCCTGTCCAATATGGTGAAACCCCATTAAAAAATTAACCAGGTGTGGTGGCGCATGACTGTAATCCCAGCTACTTGGGAGGCTGAGGCATGAGAATCACTTGAGCCTGAGAGGCAGAGGTTGCAGTGAGCCCAGATTGCACCACTGCACTCCAGCCTGGGTGACAGAGCAAGACTGTCCCAAAAAAGAAAAAAAAAGATTCATTATTAGTATTTTATTAATGCAGCGCAGGTCTTTCTTAGAGTTGAGCGAATCAGGGCCAAGACCCATTTTTTCATCACTTACTACCCTTCTCAAGCCTCAGTTTCCTCATGTAGTTACAGTGGGGTGTCATGAAAGACAGCTGCCTAGTCCTACCTTTCAGGGTTGCCTGGGACCTGAATGAGATAGTGGCAGGGCTTTCCTTAGGGTTCAAAATGCACCAAAAGTTACTATAGGCTTTGCTGTTCACGGGAAGCTATCATTAGCTTACAAACACCAAAAGATCTATCAGGCTTTTCGAGTACATGCCTGGAACAAGTATCTCCCAAGATTTACTAATCTGGCTAATAAAATAGAAATTAAACAGCAATTACCACGGGAGGAAAATCAGATGAATGTAGTGGTGCTTTACCTGAATATTAATGATGAATTAGGAGGTTCCATTCCAAGAATGTGGCAGGACATGCTTTATTGGTTCATCAATAAGGCCCTCATGCTAATGGACTGGCATAAAACATCCTCTGAGGAATCAGCCCTGGCTTTCCCACAAGAGACCATAAACTCAACATAATTTACATGGCACAAAATCTATTTTCTTCCAGTCTGTAAAACAGTAATGAAAAACACCAGGCTTGGTGGGAAAATGAGGATTTAATAGGTCATGGATGAGTATATCACCCCTTTCTTCATTAGGGTTGAAATTCCATGTAATTGTCAGGCCTAGCATTCCCTAGAAGGAACAAATAACATTAAAACACTGGTTTGCACAGGGCCTTCAAGATAAGGCTTATGTACACTGTCCCAGTGTTTGCCGGCCTGTGGGTCAGAGGTTCACATCCCTCGCCTGCTGACCCAGCTCCTAAAGCAGGACACGGGCCCACCGTGTTGCCATGTGTTCTTGCATCATGGCCTCTTCTTGGAAGCCACTGCCTAGTAGCTATTTGATGAGGGCTCCCAGACTCTACATCCTCCCCATGCTTCTGTGGGCATGTGGCAATGCTGTCCCTGATGTGCTGATGTCCCTCAGCACCTCCCCCTGCATGCTGTCCCACAGTATGGGGGAAGGTCCCCTACGCTGTTGAACCTGGTCACTTGGATCCCAGTGCATCCTGCTTGTGTGCAGACTCTTAGCAGGCTTCAGGAACTTCTTGGGCTTTACTATATCTCCTCTCTTCTCTGAGACTCAAGACCAATTCCTTAAACAAGGTTGGGTGACAACACTCATGATTGTCCTCATATCTCCCTTCTTCCCTCTGCCCCTCTACAAACAAACAGATTAATAAATCCTATTTTCCTTCAGCCAATAAAACGAAAGCCACTTTGTATAACAATCTATGAACTCAATGCCTGCGTGAATAACCAGCCCATAACCAAAAAGAGGGACAATAGCAAGTGTTGGCGAGGCTATAGAGAAATTGGAACTCTCCTACACTGCTGCAAATGTAAAATGGTGCAGCCACTTCGGAAAACAGGTTGGCAGTTTCTCAAAATATTCAACATAGAGTTAATGTATGACCCAGCAATTCAATTCCTGCAGACATACCCAAGAAAATTCAAAACGTA
The DNA here is from genome assembly GCF_000001405.40 of Homo sapiens. NCBI lineage: Eukaryota > Metazoa > Chordata > Mammalia > Primates > Hominidae > Homo > Homo sapiens. The sequence continues at coordinate 135,239 of NW_012132916.1, read as the reverse complement.
ACATCCACACTAAAACTTGTACAACATGTTTATAACAGCGTTATTCATAATAGCCAAAAAATGAAAGAACCCAAATTTCCATCAGTTGATGAACAGGTAAATAAAATGGTGTATATGCATACAACGGAATATTATTAAGCTATAAAAAAGAATAATACATGCTACAACATAGATGAAACTTAAACATATTATGCTAAGTTAAAGAAGCCAGGCATAAAGGCCACATATTGTGCATCAAACAATATTGAAGCCTCAAAAAGGCTGCCGTACTCTCAAATACTTCCCACCTACTTTCTGATGCCTGAAATTCCACTGTGGAGTTGGATTTTTGGCTAAGTAGTTTAATAGTTTGCTCTCACCTTCCACATTCAAGGGGTACTCTCTGCAACCAATCTTGTCTCTAAATGAAGACTAGTATAACACAACGCATTCTCCCTTCAATAGGTGTCAGACTATAATGGTTTGATGGAAGAGTTGCAAAAACAAAAACAAAAACAGAAAGAAATTCTGCATTTGACCTGAAATCAGAGGTTGTTTACTCTCCTTTTCTGAATTTGAATAGAAAGTTTGAAAGACATCAGACATGTTGCACCACTGCACTCCAGCCTGGACAACAGAGCGAGACCCTGTCTCAAAAAAATTTTTTTAAATAAATGTTTAAAATGAAGGATACCAGATATGCATGTGGCATGTAGTAGAAAATGCAATGAAACTTGTAAGTGTGATGTAGTCATTTAATTGTTCAAAATTTTGTTGGAAGCCTCTATGTACAAGAGATAGGGCTCAGAGTCACCTGGAAAAAGGCATTATTGATAAGAAAAAATAAATGGATTTTGGAGCTGAAATGTCTAGATTTGAAGTCCACTTCTACACATGACTTTGAGCAAGTTATAGAAGCTTTATGTGTGATTTCTTCACTTGTAAAATGGGGATAACAATAGTACCTACCTCATAGTATAATTGTAGAAGTTAAGTGAATTAATGCATACAAAGCTTTGCTTTTTCCTTTTTTAATAGAGATGGAGTCTCACTGTGTTGCCTAGACTGGTCTGGAACTCTTGAGCTCAAGTGATCCTCTCACACTGGCCTTCCAAAGTGCTAGGATTACAGGCATGAGCCACTGCCCCCAGCCTGCAAGCAAAGCTTTTAGAACATTGCCTAGCATATATTAAGCATTAGTTGTTGTTTTTTCTTTTCTTCTCTTTTGAGACAGGGTCTCACTCTGTCACCTAAAATGGAGTGCAGTGGGGCCATCATGGCTCACTGAAGCCTCGACCTCCCAGGCCCAAGTGATCCTCCCACCTCAGCCTCCAAGCAGCTGGGGCGGCAGTTGTATGCCACCACACTTGGCTAATTTTTATTTATTTTTTGTGGAGATGGGGTCTCACTATGTTGTCCAGGCTGGTCTTGAACTCCTGAGCTCAAGAGACCTTCCTGTCTCAGCATCCCAAAGTGCTGGGATTACAGCTGTGAGCTACCATGCCCGGCCAGTTGTTGTTTCTGAGGATGGTGACGGAACTGCCCTGAAGTTAGTTGCATCCTTTCCATGGAAGCCTGTTGGGAAAAGTCTAAGAGGCCTAAAGTTGAAGTGAACAGGTGAGCTCTCTTCACCCACTACATTCCCTCTACTTTCCCCAAAGCCTGTGTTAGGCAGGCCCCAGCCCAATCAGAGGCAGGTGGATCTCGGAGTGTGGCATGTTCTGAGCCACTCAGAGCTTTTTTGATAGGTTCCAAAAAAAGAGTTACAAAGGGTGGCCCCAGAGCCTGGTTGTCTCTTCTCCAGTCCCAAGATAGATAGTTTGCCTCCAATTATCCCCTACATCATGACAAGCATAAGGAGAATTGCAAGGAACATTCTGGACTCTACTCTTATGCCCTTCTTTATAAGCAGAAGAACCAAATCTTGGCACTGTTTTTAGTACTTTTGGCCAGTATGACAGAACAGGACACTAAGTGGCAATCAAAATAACCCTTCCCACCCCTGGCCCTATCACCCTATATCATGTTGCTAATTTCTCCGCTTTGAAGAAAATCTTCTTCATTGGAGAAATGAAGCTCTGTTGCTCATATACTTGTTTGTTGGAATGTTGACTTGTTTGCATTGTAGAATAAGGGCTCCAGGAGGGCAGGATCCTTGTCATCTTCCTTGTTACTGCTGTAACCCCAGCATCTGGAACAGTGCCTGTTACACAGTAGGCACCCAGTGAACATTTCTGGAATAAATGAATGGTACCCCAGTGCTCAGCACTGTGCCCTTGCTGTTGATGGGCTTTTGCCAATGATCACCTCTCAGTCTCCAATCCTCCCTGTTGGAATTTGTATCCTGGCTTTCCCTCTGAGCCCCTGCTTCTGGAGCCCCTGAACAGTGAGGGGCAGATCAGAGGACCTCCCTATCTCCCCAACATCATCTACTTGTACCTGGAATTGACTCTTCCCCTATGCTAAGACATTCATCATTTTTTTAGAAATTTGGGTTTGGGACTCAGAGACTCTGGTTCCTAAGTCGAAGTCAGTGCTTAAAATGAGAGAGTGGAGTGGTCTGGTCTCATGTATGATCAAAGCAGAGGAGCCTGTATGCAACTGAAGAGAAGAATAAAACTAACTGCAGAGAGGATGTGAGGAGATGAGAGGAGAAGAGGGAAGTAGGGAGAGAGCGAGAGAGTCTGGGCAAGTGAACTTGCTGATTTGAGTGTGCTGGTTTTTCAGTTTTTCACCTAGTCCCTGGAGACCTGGCTGTACTCTTCCAGACATACTTCCAGACTTGGCTATTTCTTTCAATTCACATTAGTTTGGTTGGTTTCTATTTCTTGCAAACAAATAATGTCTAATGACAAAATCCTACCACATAGGAGCCATCCTCAAAATATTTGCTGACTTGAATGCATTTTTCTTTTTTCTTCCCTTTTCTTTCTTTCCTTTTTTTGGAGACAGGGTCTTGCTCAGTCGCCCAGGCTGGAGTGCAGTGGCACAATCACAGTGGCTCACTGTAGCCTCAACCTCCTGGGCTCAAGTGATCCTTCTGCCTCAGCCTCCTGAGTAGCTGGGACTACAGGCACACACCACCACATCTGGCTAATTTTTTTATTTTTTTATGTAGAGACAGGGTCTCACTACATTGCCCAGGCTAGTTTCGAACTCCCGGGCTCAAGTGATCCTCCTGCTTTGGCCTCCCAAAGTATTGGGATTACAGGCATGAGCCACCACGCCCGGCCACATATTTCACTCATTCATTTGTTAATTTAGCAAGTATTTATTGAGCTGGTCTCTGGGCTAAAAGGTAAAGGGACACAGATATGCAAAAACTAGACACTGTCCTGCCCTTGTGGAATTCTAGCAGGAATGACAGCTATTAATCAAATAAAGACAAGAAGAGACATAATGAATTTAACTTTGTAGCACATGCTGCCTACTATGTACCAGGAATGGTGTTGGGCTAAACAAAGACACCTAAGCCATAATTGAGATGATGGACAGCATGGTCTGCTCAGAATAGGGAATACTCATAATATTGTTTATTGAAGAGCTGATACATACTTTATCTGATTTTACCTTCAAAATGATTCCATGAGATTGGTTTTAGAATATGCCCATTTTATAGGCAAGCTAGTAAAACTAGGCCTCGCCAGGGTTAAGTGACTTATCCAAAGTAAACAAGGCCCGCCGGGCGCTGTGGCTTATGCCTGTAATCCCAGCACTTTGGGAGGCCGTGGCGGGTGGATCGCTTGAGCCAGCAGTTTGAGATGAGCCTGGGCAACATGATGAAACCCCATCTCTACTAAAAATAACAAAAATTAACTAGGCATGGTGTGGGTAGTTGAGGATGCAGTGAGCTGTGATGGCGTCACTGCACTCAGTCTGGGTGACAGAACAAGACTGTCACCAAAAAAAAAAAAAAAAAAGAAAAAAAGAAAACGAGGTTGGACAGAGGCAGAGCCAGAATTGAAAGGCAGTCTTCTGTCTCCAAAGCCCAGGGTTTTTCATTTTCCTCCTCCACAGAATATTGCCTCTTCCATGAGACAGTAAGTGTGGAAGAATAATACACATCGTACAACCCTGCAGAAATGAGGCAGAAGGCATCCAGGCAGGACTGGGCTGTGCTATTTTTAGGATAATCTCTGCCAAAACAATGCAAGCAGCAAAGGAAAGAGGAATTTAATCAGCTCCCTCTGCTGAAGCTACTACAGTGTGGGTCTCAGCGGGTCTATCTGCAGTGCTGTATAAATGCCCGGGGTCTCGCAGGGAGACAGGGTGGATGGCTGAAGTTTGTGAGATCTGCGGTCTCATACCCAAATTGCCCAGACAGCCAGGGTCTGGTGCCCGAGTTTTATATTCAGGCACTGCAGTGAAACGATAAACAGCCTGGTCACAGAGCTTCCCAGACGCTCAGACCAGAATCAACCAAGCTCATCACAGCTCACGATTACGTGAAAGGACTCGGCTAAACCACGCACTCCTGACGGAATCTTATTTTCCTCCCCTATCATCTCACATTACGGACAGAAAGGATAGAAATAACCTTCTCAGAGCTGTGAAAACGAATGTCAATAAAACCCCCAGAGCTCCCTCGGTGCTTTGGAAGCAGTAACACTGTCTTCAGACAAATCTTTCCTCGGAAGAAGACAAGATCGTGAACTAGCTGGGGTTTTCATTTGGCTTTACAAGACCAAGCCCAGCAAGGAGCAAGGGGAAGAGCTGCCAGGGCTTTAGCAGCCCGAAATATCTCCACACCCACTGCTGGTGCCTGAAATTCCACCAGGAGACTTGCATTCCTGGCTCAAGATGTTGCCTTTCGTGATGCTATTTCTGGACTTTGCCTGGGTTCACACCTGAAAGCACACATTAAAAGAAATTCTGCGCATTCTGCGGTTGTGTTTCTCAAAGCGCGGTCTGCAGAGCCACCTGCATCAGCAGCGACTTTATCAGATTAAACATCTAGATGACTGGACCCCACTCCAGGCTGGAAGAATCTATACTTCAGGGAGTCAAGCTTCAGGAAACTTCGTTTTAAACAGGCACTCCTGTTAATTCTTAAGGGCAATAAAGCTCGAAAACCATGGTTCTATACTGTGTGTTTTCCTATCAGTATGCCCGAATACATTGCACATAAATAACTGGTTCTAACATCTTGTCCCTCTAGATCAAGTGTTCTCAACCTCAATGCTATCAACATTTTAAGCCCAGTGATTCTTTGTGTAGGGGAAAAGAGATTTTTCTGTGCATTATGAGATGTTTAGCACCATTCCACTAGATATCAGTAGTAACACCAAAAGTTATCAGTAGTAATTTTTGGTCGTGACGACCAAAAATAGCTCCAAGCATTGCATTGATAAATGGCCCCTGGGGAACAGAAAATCCCCTCCTCTGGGGAGTGAGAAGTATGTTTTAGGTAAATGGCTCCTAGCCTTAACTACACATTAGAAACCCTCAAGGGTCTTTTAAAAACTTGGATCATTGGGGTCCTGCCCCAGGAAACTTATTTTACAAATCTAGACATCTATATTTGTAAAAATTTCCCAGGTAATTCTAAACGGCCAGAGTTGAGAACCACTGCCCTAGGTGGATGCTTGAAGGCAAGGGTCCATGTATGTGTTTGTGATTTCATGGAATGTACAAACACCCAAGGCACAAGATGGGATTACTTGAGCACCTGTGTACCATCAGGACCCAGCTAGGACAATATAAGCTACCACTTCTGAAGCTAGCAAATAGACAACGTCAGCCAAATAAATTACAAATTCCCTCCCACCCTACCCCAGATATAACCTAAGTTAGTCAAATTGTAGTTAAGACTAGACCTTTTCTTGACGGCTGGGGGAATAGATGATTTTATTTCCACTAGATGATACCATATGGAGATGTGACAGCTGGAAAAGCTGATATCATTTTGCCACCATCAAGGAAGTCAGCCAAAAAATGAAAAGGACACTCCAAGGAGGGCAGCACCAAGAGAATCACAGAGAAACAGAGCTGGAGACTTGGTGAAATTGTGTCTGAATTCCAATCTGTCACAGGCCTCTTCATTTGCAAAATAAATCACCCTTATTTTTTAAGTAAGTCATTTTGATCTGGGGTTTCCCTTACTTGCAACCAAAAGCATCCTCATTGATGTATTGCTCGAAGCTAATATCCTCTTGCAACTATGTTATATTGCTAAGAGTCTTGCTACTCAAAGTGTAGCCCTTGGGCCAGCAGCCTCAAAATCACATGGTAGCAGTTTAAAATGAAGAATCTCAGGCTCCTCTCCAGATCTACTGAATCAGAAGCTGCATTGTAACAAGATTTTCGAGGACTGGTACAAACATCAAAATTTTAGAAGTACCTGCTTAGATAACGGATCTCTCAAGCACTGGGCTAGGTGATAGGGAGACAATGATAAGCAAAAGCTGGACATCGTTATTGGCTTCCCTAATTTGATTAGATGCCCTGTTACATACTCAGTAACACCTCTATTTCATCCATCCATTCATTCTTTCACTCATTCTACAAAGATATATTTAGCACTACATTTATAAATTTAACAAAATTTAAAATATTTAAAAGTGAGCAAAAAAAGAGAGAGGGGAATAGTCCCTATTCTTAAAAAGCTCACTGTCTATTTGAGGAGACAGTTATCACTTATTCACATAAATAAATGTTAAGTGCCAATTATGTAACTACTACACTGGAGAGGTACATGAGGCCTGATCAGGGTGGTCAGGCACAGTTACCCCAGGAAGACCAGAAGGGTGTGTTGGAAGGATGGGGATGGTAAAGAGGAAAGTACCCAAGTCAGAAGGAGAGGATGATGTGTAAGTCCCTCCATGGAGAAAGGAGCAGGATTAACCCAGTGAGCTGCCACAAGAACAGAGAGCATGGGGTGCAGAGAGTTGGGCATGGAACTTCATGATGAGCTTAAAGGGGTGGCTAAGGGTCAGGCTGTGTAACACATTACAAGCCAAGTTAGAGTTATTTTTTTCCCTTGAACCGCAAACTAATAGAAAGCAAGTGATGCATTTAAATACATTGCTTGCTAGCATGGCCCAGCTCGTCTCTTGGTAGTGAGACACAACCTGAGCTGGGCTCCCAATGCCTTTTGTTCTTATCTCCCCCACTCCCTGCCCCCTGCTTCCCTCGTAACCTAGCAGAGTAGACCAGCTTTGCTTAGCATGCCCACAGCCCGCTTGTTATTGGAGGTGGTAGGCAGAATGGAGTAGTGGAGTAAGGCTGACTTGGCACATACCTTCTTTGCTATGAGTGCCACAATGGCAGGAACTACATGTAACATCGTCATCACTCTGCACTCAGCACTCCACAGCATTCCCTGGCCCAGAGAAGGATGTGAAAAAATATGTGTTGGGTGAATAGCCTAGCCTAGGTTCCTTAACTTTAGTGAGGCTCAGCTTCCTTGTCTGTAGAATAGCATAAGGACAGTACCTGCTTCCCGGTGTGGCATTAGAACGTGACTATGTAAGTACATAGCACAGTGCTAGGCACCTGCCCCATGTGTCCCCCATTCCATACAGGCACAGACACCCAAAAGGGACCCCAAAGGAAAGACAGTAGGAGCAGCTGGGTTCCCACTACCAGCCTCTGCAATCTAAAACAGAGGGTCTATCAAATATCCAATAAGTCCTGAAAAATCCAGATGATTTTGTGAATGGATGAAGAGATGTCTTCATTTACTACTTCTTATACTTCTAATGTCCAGCCAGTCCAGGGGACAAGCTACTTCATTTACTATTATCTCATAGCTTCTAATACAGCCCAAACTCATCCTGTTAATTACTGCTCCTCCAAGTGCCATGATATATATATATATATATATATATATATATATATATATATATATATATATATCTCATTACATATATATATCATGATATATATATTTTTATATATATCATTATATATATTTTATATATATATATATATATATCATTATATATATATATTTTTTTGTCTTGAGATAGAGTCTTGCTCTGTTGCCCAGGCTAGAGTGCACTGGGGTAATCTCAGCTCACTGCAACCTCCGCCTCCCAGGTTCAAGCCATTCTCATGCCTCAGCCTCCTGAGTAGCTGGGATTACAGGTGCCCACCAGCATGCCCAGCTAATTTTTGTATTTTTAGTAAAGACAGGATTTCATCATGTTGGCCAGGCTGGTCTTGAACTCCTGACCTCATGAGATCTGCCCTCCTTGGCCTCCCAAAGTACTGGGATTAAAGGTGTGTGCCACCATGCCCGGCCTATGTTATATATTTTTTAAAGTTAATACTTTTGTTGTTCTAGTGGCTCAATCACTACCTTTTAATAAAGTCACCTTTGTACCTTTAGATCTTCTGGTTTGGGAGCTTTGAGACAGGACTTTGACATGGCCAGAATTTCCATCTTCTGTGTCTTTGTATTGATCCATGCATTAGGAGCCTATGAACCTTGAAAAGCCCCACGTTTGGTCACAGAATAAACATAGGTTGGCCAAGCAGCACCTTCCCTAATCTTTCTCCTCCCCACCCATGGACTCTGTCATATGACCTTGGATAAATTACTTAACCTGTCCATATCTCAGTTTCCTCAACAGGAAAACAAGGATCACAAGAGTCATGGTGGAATGGTGAAGAGCTAAGTGACTTGCAGTGTGCCTCAGACAGTCCAAGACTGTGCCTGTTATCCTGGTGTCATTATCAAATTGCCCCAATCTAGAGGATAAATTATATAGTTATCTTATTAGGAGCACACATTTTACAGTTGAGCAAAGGTTTGATTTGAATGACAATTTAGTCCCTTAGTGTCATTACTTGACCTCTCTGTACCTCAGTTTGTTTACCTGGACAATGGCAATAATCATATGTTATTTTCTTCTAAGGGTTATTATAGGAATAAATGAAAACAAAACACGTAAGAGCACAATGAACTCTAACTGCTATTACCCTCAGCCTCCACATGGGAGGTTCTATTAGTCAGGACTGTCAGTTTCAATTGTGAGAAATATACCTCAAAGTAACATATGAGGCAAAGAAAATTTGTTGGCACATAAAACAGATGTCTGGGGTTTTGCTAGCTTCTGGCTGCTAGGGTCAGGTGCTTGAATTATGTCATCCCTAACCTGTGTTTTTCTTCCATCTTTCAGTTCTTTTTCCCTCCATGCTGGCAATATTCACCAAAAGGCTGTCCAGGGTGAAAAAGTTAGGCACTCCTAAGCTGCCTAACTCCAGCTCCTGAAAGCTCCAGACTTAACATAATCCTGACAGTTCCTGATAAATAAAGAGATACTTTATTTTCTAGAGTCCATGTCACTCCTTGGAAAAAAAACTCTGAGTGGCCCCAATGGGTCATGGACCCACTTATCCCCATGTCCACAGAGATGGGGCATGTTGTTTATCCAGCCTGAGTCACACCGCACCCCACAGCAAAGGAAGCAGGTGCTCTTGATTACATCCTACAGTGTTGGGGAGAGAAGGTTCCCCAGAAGGAATAAAGGATAGATTTTTAAAAACTAACAGATGGCTACCATGTCTGTCCTTGACAAATGATTGTTAAGATGCATTCAAACCCTAATGCTCCTATGTTGAGAAAGTGGTCTCTGGTAGACACGTAAAGTTTATTTTGTCCAGGCACAGTGGCTCATGCTTGTAATCCTAACACTTTGTGAGACTGACACAGGAAGATCACTTAAGCCCAGGAGTTCGAGACCAGCCTGGGCAACATCTCTACATTTTAGAAGATCAATTCTATAAAGAACCAGGAAGAAGAAAATGAAGGAATAAAAGGAAACTAATTCCTTTTTCAATATGGTAGAAAGGTATGAGAGGTAACTCACAGCTGAGAATGTATCTTCACAATGTGCTGTCAGCACAGCTTATTCTCCATTTATCCAACACATTCATTGTCCTTTGCTCTTCACCATGCCCAGTGAGTCAAGGCCAGCCTCTTAGGAGGGCCTAAGGCTTTCACTGGGTTGAGACTAGGAGGGAGAAAGGAAAGCTAGGGTGCTTCCCCTCTGTCCTCAGCCCTCCATCCTCGCCATGGTCCTGTCAGCCCCAAGCTTTCCCCAGGCTCTGGAAACATGTTCCCATTCCTTTTGCCTTTGTGTCTACGGGTGGTAACAGCTTCCCAGTTCCTAGCCCCTGGGTGCTTTATCATGCCCTGGTGGTTCCTTAACCCTGCTCACTTCTCTCCACAAATGTTAAATTCCATTTGACTCTCCTTTTTTAAAAATCTTGAGTGTCCCCATCAAAAAGTGGGCAAAGGAAATGAATAGACATTTCTCAAAAGAAGATATACAAATGAAGAACAAACATATGAAAAAATGCTCAACATCATTAATCATCAGAGAAATGGAAGTTAAAACCACAGTGACATACCACCTCAGTCCTGCAAGAATGGCCATAATTTAAAAGTCAAAAAACAGCCGGGCATGGTGGCTCACGCCTATAATCCCAACACTTTGGGAGGCTGAGGTGGGCGGATCACGAGGTCAGGAGTTCCAGACCAGCCTGGCCGACAGGGTGAAACCCCATCTCTACTAAAAATACAAAAATTAGCTGGGCATGGTGGTACACGCCTGTAATCCCAGCTACTGGGGAGGCTGAGGCAGGAAAATGGCTTGAACCCAGGAGGCGGAGGTTGCAGTGAACTGAGATCGTGCCACTGTACTCCAGCCTGGGTGACAGAGCAAGGCTCTGTCTCAAAAAAAAGAAAAAGTCAAAAAACAATAGATGTTAGTGTGTATGTGGTGCAAAGGGAAGGCTTTTACATTGCTGGTGGGAATGTAAATTAGTACAACCTCTGTGAAAAACAGTATGGAGATTCCTCAAAGAACTAAAAGTAGATCTATCATTCGATCCAGCAATCCCACTACTAGGTATCTACTCAAATGAAAAAGATATCATTATATTTAAAAGGACACATGCACACACATTTATAGCCGCACAGTCCACAAGTGCAAAGATATAAAACCAACCTGAGTGTCCATCAACCAACGAGTGAATAAAGAAAATGTGGGTTGAGCATGGTGCCTCACACCTGTAATCCCAGCACTTTGGGAGGCTGAGGTGAGTGGATCACTCGAAGCCAGGAGTTCGAGACCAGCCTGGCCAACATGGTAAAACCCCATCTCTACAAAAAATAAAAAATTATCTGGACGTGGTGGTGAGTGCCTGTAGTCCCAGCTACTTGGGAGGATGAGGCGGGAGGATCGCTTGAACCCAGGAGGTTGAGGTTGCAGTGAGCTGACATCATGCCACTGTACTCTAGCCTGGGAGACAGAGCAAGACTCTGTTCTGAAAAAAAGAAAAGAGAAAAGAAAAGAAAAGAGGGACGGGGAGGGCAGGGGAAGGGAGGGGAGGGGAGGGGAGGGGAGGGGAGGGGAGGGGAGGGGAGGGGAGGGAAGGGAAGGGGAGGGAAGGGAAGGGAAGGGAAGATACATCGTGGAATACTTCTCAGCCATAAAAGGGAATGAAACAATGTCATTTGCAGCAACTTGGATGGAGCTGGAAGCCATTATTCTAAGTGAAGTGACTCAGGAATGGAAAACCAAATACTGTATGTTCTCACTTATAAGTGGGAGCTAAGCTACTAGGCCGCAAAAGCATAAGACTGATGTAATGGACTATAGTGGGGAGAGTGGGAGGTGAGTGAGGGATAAAAGACTACATAGTGAGTACAATGTACACTGCTTGGGTGATGAGTGCATTAAAATCTCAGAATTCGCCACTACAAAATTCGTCCATGTAACCAAAAACCATTACAACCCCAAAGCTATTGAAATTTTTAAAAAAATCCTGAATGTGCCATCTGTTTATAGCCAAGACTTTGACCCATTAATTAGAACTAATGTAATTTATTAGAATTTGAATTAATGTCATTACAGTTACATTAGAAAACTAATGCTTTGCTTATATTAGTTTTCTCTTCCCCCCATATGTACAAATAATACATATTCATATAGAAAAAATATGAAAATATAAAAAAAGCAGAATCTTACCACCTAGATGTGATGATTACTCACATTTTGGGATATAACTTTCCATATTATATTCTTTGTGTGTAAATACATATACACACAGGTTTTTTTATATAGCAAAAGTGGAATAATTATTAGATTTTTATCTTTTTTTTTTTTTTGAGACTGAATCTCGCTCTGTCACCCAGGCTGGAGTGCAGTGGAGTGACCTTGGCTCACTGCAACCTCTGTCTCCCGGGTTCAAGCGATTCTCCTGCCTTAGCCTCCCAAGTAGCTGAGGTTACAGGTGCCTGCCACCACACCCGGCTAATTTTTGTATTTTTGGTAAAGACAGGGTTTCACTATTTTGGCCAGGCTGGTCTTGAACTCCTGACCTCAGGTGATCCACCAGCCTCAGCCTCCCAAAGTGCTGGGATTACAGGTGTGAGCCACTGCGCCCAGCCAATTATTAGATTTTTAAACGGAAAATTCTCAAAAATAAAATATGTGTAAAAACGGTCTACTTTCATGTTAAACAGGTAATAGAAAGTTAATGTTTTTAGATTAAACTTTAATCACACAAAAGTTAACTTTATGTTTGTAGAACGTTATTATTAGTTATTTGCTTTTTTTCAAAACAATTACAAAATAATTACTTTTAAAGTTTTCATTTGTAAACAAAACACTCTGAAATTTTACTCAGGCGAGGAAAAATAAATGTGAGGAATATTTTTGGATTTGACTAGTTTTCAGCGATTTTCTTTAACTGTCATAATAGTGGGGAAAAAAGAAAATTGAAATAAGATGGAACACCTTCTAATTTCTATTTCCATCTGTTTATTTAGCTTTAAATGAGAATACAAAATTTTTCCTAGGCACTTCACTTTTTATAACTTTAAAAAGTTGCCAATACTGATTAGTATTTAAAAAAAAACAAAAGTTATATATTGTACACTCTGAATCAAATGCTGATTCAGCAATGCTTTTTAAACAAAGCAGAAGGATTTGGGACCCTGTCCCCTATCAAGAATTATCTTGTAACTAGACTCCCTTGCATGGCTGAAACCAATCACAAATGCTATTCTCACCAGTTGGTACTTCCACAAATGCAATAAATTTGAAGGCCACTTTAGAACCTGATATGGTGTCCTTTGAAATAAGTATGACTGCCTTTATTGGCCCAAGTTATTCAGAGTGATCTAGGATAACAAAGTGTTTATCCACCAGAACGACTGGGAACATTCACTCATGCAAACCTTATGAGCCGTTCAGACTCCATGTAATCATTTATGTGATCTGGTGTCTTCACTTTCTCCTTTCACATGATATTCATTGCTCCTCTCTCATAGCTTCTAATATTGCTCAGAGAAGACAGGGGAAATATAGATTTTTTTTTCATTGTTAATAAACAGTCCCCAGCCCCATTAATTCAGTTTTCCAATCCATTGATTTTACAGTAATTCTTAAGGGATTTCTTCTGGCATGCATCATTTCTCTGACTCACCCACCACTCCCTCGTGGCTCTGAAAAAGTCTCAGCCTGGATGTAAACCTTACTTCTTTGGCGTGGCCTTCCTCAGTTGCAAAGAGAACTGCTAGGTCAGCCAGACATCTGACTCTTTCACCTATGCAGTTCTTGTAAATGTTGTCTAGAGTCATGATCTCCACATTTTCTCAGAACTTTATGATTATTAGAGTTTTGAAGTCATGCTTAAAGAAATAAAAAGACACTCAATGAGTTAGCAATGATTGCAATGCACTGTCTACTCCAGTCAGTCTAACATCTGGTGGGGTCCATGAACGTGTGCACAATGATCACTCTATTTTCTCAGCCTCGGTGCAACCTCCTTTACTTCCAGGACTTGGCTCTCAGAAACCTCACATTCTGCATACATCCCAGTAGACAATCTTTGGCATTATGGTATGCTTCTTACCACTCGTTAGTACCAAATTGTACTCCACACACACCACAACCAGCTAATCCTCAGCTCAGCATTCTGACAGATACTCTGTGTTCTCAGTTGATGCAAAATAAATTGTACCCAGTGGGCAAAATCTAGGCCCTAACTGAGAAGTGCTTGGGGAACACCAGTGTGCTATATCATGCTCACTGACAACCACGGGTCTAGAGTTTGATGTTACCAAGACTGATTTTCACTGTCTTTATTCCAAAAAAGAGGCCCAAATCTTCCTCCAGGATTGTGGTGTTAGAAACTGTACTTACACTCAGGCTAAAGATAACCCAGTTCCAGCCACAGTGACATTGTTTTGGTTCCTGAACTTGCAGGCTTGCAGTCTTGGCTCAGTCTCTTCCCTCTGCTTGGATACGCTGCCCAGAGATCTTGATACAGTTGGTTCCTTGTTATCATTCAGGTCTCAGCTTGAATATGAGCTTCTCATAGAGGCCTTTCCTAACTATTGAAAGTAGCTCACCCACTTATATTTGTTCTCTATCATATTACCCCACTTTGTGTATTCATGTGTGATTAACATCTGAAATTACTGTATTTTCTTATTGTCAGTGTTAGCTTCACAGGCCAACAAAGTGTGCAGTCTCTCAGGACACTGTGCCTACTTAGAAGGACTCCCCACTTGGTTTAAGGCTTTGCTGTTCTCATCTTAAAGTTATTAATTTTGTTTTTGAGACAGGGTCTTACTCTGTTGCCCAGGCTGGAGTGCACTGGCACGATCTCAGCTCACTGCAGCCTCTGCCTCCCAAGCTCAAGCAACCCTCCTATCTCAGCCTGAATAGCTGGGACTACAGGTGTGTACCACCACCCCCAGCTAATTTTTGTATTTTTTGTAGACATGAAGTTTTGCTATGTTGTCCAGACTGGTCTCGAACTCCTGGTCTCAAGCAATCTACCCACCTTGGCCTCCCAAAGTCCTGGGATTACAGGCGTGAACCACTGTTCCCAGCCAATAATTTTTTTTTTAAACGAGGGACCTCATTTGCATTTTGCATCACAAATTAGGTACCATTCCTGCTTATTGTTTATTGCCTTTCTCTTTGATATTAGAAATTAAGTTCCAGAAAAGGAGGGATCTGAACTTTTGGCTCAATAATTGTGTTGCCAGCACGTAGAGCACTACAGGGAACACTGCAGTTGCTCAGTAAGTATTTGTTAAGTTCAACAGAATTGTCACATGACCCAGCAATTTTGCTCATAGGTATATACCCAAAATAATTGGAAACAGGTGGTGAAAACCATACCTGTACACAAATGTTATACCAGCACTATTCACGATAGCCAAAAGGTAGAAACAACTTAAATGTCCATCAACAAATGAATAGATAGACAAATTGTGTTATGTTCATACAATGGATATAATGGATAATGGCAATTTTTTTTTTTTTATTATTCAGCCATGAAAGAAAATTGTAGGAGAGGAGAGATTTATTTTCTAACCCATTGCTAGGTTCATAGCTGAGGCGCTTGCAATAAAAGACAGCTTAGGCTGGGCACAGTGGCTCACATCTTAATCTCAGCACTTTGGGAGGCTGAGGCAGGAAGATCGCCTGAGGCCAGGAGTTCATGACTGGCCTGGTCAACATAGTGAGATCCCATCTCTACAAAAAATAAAAAGAAAGATTGGCCAGGCATAGTGGTGCTGCCTGTAATCCCAGCTACTCAGGAGGCTGAGGTGGGAGGACTGCTTGAGCCCAGGAATTTGGGGTTACAGCAAGCTAAGATCACACCACTGTACTCCAGCCTGGGTGACAGAGGCAGACCCTGTCTCAAAAAAAGAGAAAAAACAGCTTAACAAGAGAATAGCATACAAATTTTATGTGATATGGGAGACTTTTTAAATGAAAAACCAAAAAAACAGGGAAACCTATGCATTTTTGTGCTTAGGTTTGATGACAAATGGATAGTCAGGCAGCAGTACCATTGGACAAAAGGGGTGTAAACTGATAGTAATCAACTAGGGAGAATTTAGCAAGGCCTGTTTGTTCAGGTTCTTCTCCGAGTTCCTGTGTCCTTAGAGACAGGGCATTTTTCTCTGAGTATAGTGTGGCCATCTCTGGAATGAGGGCCTTATGCCCTACTTCAGGAGAAGATAAAAAAAAATTCTTTTATAGTCTACTTCAAAGGTGAAGGGTGGGAGGAAGGTCAGAGAGAACTTCCTGCTTCTGCAGTGTTCTCAAATGCCAAGGTGCCATATTTTAGGGTAGTGGGTCCTGAACACCATCAGAATGAAGTACTGATACTGATACATGCGATGGCCTGGATGAACCTCAAAAACATTACACTAAGTGAAAGAAGCCAGACACAAAAGATCATATCTTCCATGATTTTATTTACATGAAGTGTGCAGAATAGGTAAATCTAGAGAAGCAGAAAGCAGATTGGGAGTCACCCAGAGGCTGGAGTGGGGTTGGGGAGTAACTGCCAAATAGGTATGGGGTTTAATTTTGGAGTGATGAAAATGTTTCAGAATTGAAGACAGTGGCTGCACAATATTGTAAATGCACCAAATGCCACTGACTTGTTCACTTTGAAATGGTTAATTTGTGTTATGCAAGTTTCATCTCAATTTAAATAAAGGAAAGTGAAAATAAATAAATATTTGTTGAACTACATATTGATAGAACTTGTTTCAGAACTCTCTGCCATGACTAAATCTAAAGTATTCTTAATCCAGCCTAGGGCTTCAACAACTTCCATCCACAGCTTTGAGTCTGCAGGAAGAAAAGAATACATTCAAGACCGGCGCAGTGGCCCACGCCTGTAATCCAGTACTTTGGGAGGCCAAGGTAGGCAGATCAAGTTGAGGTCGGGAGTTCGAAACCAGCCTGGCCAACATGGTGAAACCCTGTCTCTAATAAAAAATACAAAAATCAGCTGGGTGTGGTGGCATATGCCTGTAATCCCAGCTACTCGGGTGGCTGACGTAGGAGAATCACTTGAACCCAGGAAGTGGAGGCTGCAGGGAGCCAAGATCATGCCACTGCACTGTAGCCTGGGTGACAGAATAAGACTCTGTCTCAAAAAAAAAAAAAAATTCACACTATTTCAAAGATTTGCTTTCATCAAGATGACACAGGACATCATTATCATCCTCATGACAATCCTATTTCTATTAGTTTTTTGTCTTATGCAATTATTTGAAAACTTTCTTTGGTAGGAGTTGAGTGTGGTGGTACATGGCTGTAGTCGCAGTTACTTGGGAGGCTGAGGCAGACATATTTCTTGAGCCCTCGAGGCCAGACCACATATGCAGCAAGACCCCAGCTCGAGAAAATTAGAAAAAAATATTTGGTAATTATTGAAGATGTACATGTAATTATAAAGAATTATACAGAGAGATCTCGTGTGCCCTTCACCCTGTTTCCCCCAATGCTAACAACTTGCAACACTATAGAATACTATGGCAACAAAGAAATTGACATAAATACAATCTGTCTACCTCATTTGGATTTCACTGTTTTACACGTGCTCATTTGCGTGTGTGTGTGTGTGTGTGTGTCCTGTTTCTATACTGAAGTGTAACAATAGCTCCTTTCAGTACTGTAGTCTGTTGACTAGTAAGAAATTTCAGAGAGCTGGTGGCACCACCACAGTAACCACAAGTAAGTGACCCAGAGCAGAAGTTAAAAGCAAGAAACATTTCTAAAGTCTTGCAAGGGACTTGGCAGTCCGGAACCTGTTAGTTCAATCATGCCTTTGACATTCACTTGACCCTTTTAGTACTGCAGTTGTTAAAAGGGCTGGCATGCATTTTGTTTAATTCAACAGATGGAGGGATGTGATACAGTAAGAATTCCTTCTGTCATCTGAGAAACTGGGAAATTTGAAAGTGTAAACATAGAGTGGTAGCATTAAAAAGACAGGTGCCGATAAGGTAGTTTTACTTATGAAGAATATTTGCTAGTCCTGCCTGCTAATAGATTTAACTTGGAACAGAAACCTCAGGTGAATGAACAGATTTACGGACATTTTCTAGTTTTTACCTCAGCGTGCATCCTGTATGTTAGTTGAATTCATTCGAAGGTTCTAGTGAATGATCCTTTCTGAAGTGCACTGGTTGAAGGATTAGAAATCCCATTTTGCCTACCTGGCTTCCACACCACCTTCCTGTGTTAGTAGCATGTGGATTTTTTCTTTGAGGAGCCACCCTCTCCTAGTCTAGCTGTCTTGGTGATGCTATCCACAAACTCCACCAACCCCTGCCCTAAACTCAGGGCTCACAGGATGAGCACATGACTCAACGGAATACACATTCCATTCTTCCACCTCTAATCATTGGTTCAGAAAAGGCGCATATCCAAAATTGGTCAAGAGATGTAATTCCTGATCTTTTGCTAGAATAACAAAGAACCTCTTTCCATTGTACTTGCAAGTGTTAATACATAGGCATGGAGCATCTGAACACCAGTAATGAGAGCATCCTGCAAATGAAGCCACCATGAAAGAGAACAGACCTGACAGCCATTCTGAGCACTAGAACCAGCCATACCTGAAGCTCTGATCTCTCAGTTCCATGAGCCAGTAAGTTAGTAAGTTAATTACCTTTCTTGATGTGCTTAAACGAATGAGGTTTTTGGGTTTTTTGTCACCTACAACACCTTGAGAAGGATCAATAGCAAATAACATCTATTAGGTTAAGCTTGGGGCCATAAATCCTTAAACTAATTTAGTGTTTATGCTCTCATCATTCAATAATTCCCTTATCTTTTCATCTAGTCTGCATTACTGCCTGCAATAATTTGCCTGACCCACGGCTTTAGCGCTTAGTGTGAAAGAAGTAACTCAAGTAGAGTAAACAAATGACACTGTGAGTACATTAATGCTTCTGACCCTATAATGTCATCTTTTAAATAGGTTATGCATGTGTAACACTGCAGCCGACCATCTGTACTGCTTATCTAAGTTCTGTAATGAAATGGCCAGGGCCCTGTTTATTTATGTGATACAGGCAGCCTCCCTCTAAATCTAATTCAATCTTCAGTCACTGTTTTGTAGGCTAGGAGCTCTAATGACCGCGAAAGAAATGTGTGCTGCTTCAGATGATGCTATTAAAAGAAACTTGTTCCCAAAGAAATTTTTATCTCCTGATAGGGGGGAGCTAAATCACTATAAATTATGGAAAAGGAAATTGCAAATGTATCTTGCTTTCTTTTTATTGGAGGCATTGTTTTCTCACAACTGTCAAGTAGAGCATACACCTATTTTGAAAAGCTTTTAACAACTTTGAATTAAGCAAAAATGGAGAAATAAGAGGCTGCAGAATTAGAGAAGCTAATGCAACCCTGCTTTGCAAAGCAAAGGCAGGGTTTCACCATTCCTTTTTTATTCACAAATGGCACTATCAAGGAGGTGGGCGGGGTGGCACAGAAGGTGAAACAGAGAAAAGCAACAGCAAAATACAGTAAAGAGAAGTGAGATCATCAGGAGAATCATAAGAATCTTGAAAGGAAAAGCTGAGAACTTTAGAATTTCATTCTCCTGGGGCAGAGGAAAAGAGGATGGGGAGGGGAGGAGGACAGGAGGGGTGGGGCAGCAATTTGAATTCGTTTCAACTGAATAAGTAATCAATCAATCTACTCCTGTTAGTGTGAACTTGGATCTTATAAAAAAGAATCTCAAAAAGAATGACTGTTTGTCTTTCCTGTTCATCACGGGGGATTTCAGTGGACTCAGGACCATTACTATTCACATTAATCACACAGTGGCTGTGCTCAGCAAAGCCAGCAGAGGGAGTACAAGATTAATGGGTGGCTTCCAAGCTTTGCCAAGGAACCGATGCCCGTATCCAGGACCTCCCAATACGGTTTGTGAAGAGGAACCTCTGGCTCTCTCCCATGCCTCCTTCCTTAACTGCTTCCCTTCATCTCCCTCTTCCCCTACCCCAATACATCCCTACCCCCCCTCCCCCTGCATCAATCCTCCCACCAAATTGTCTGATTTGTCATTTGGAAACATTTTACCAGAGAATTCACAGGTTGACATTCTGTTGGCCAACCCCATGACAGATGGGAAAGAAAGGCCCCAATGTAGGTCAAACAATAAAAATCATGCTGGATGGATTTTGAGTGCCAAGCAAAATCTAACCTTAGGAGAAAATAACAGGTTGCAAAATTGCATGTGTACTAGGATCTCAAGTGTATAATATTTTTAATTATAGAAAAAAAGAGAAATTTATCAAATTAAGAATGGTTGCCCTGGAGTGTGATGTGTCTGAAGGGGGGTGAGATTTGTGGGATGATTTTTTTCTTCCTTCATTGCATATTTCCATACTTCAGATGTATACATTGTATACGATGTATACATTGAACAGCTTTGATCACCATAGGAAAAATAAAACATTATAAATGCCCATGTTTATTTTACGTGTTCACATGCAATACTCTCTGTTTAATAATGCCATAGAAAATGTTCATGTGGGCCGATCATGGTGGCTCATGCCTGTAATCCCAGCACTTTGGGAGGCTGAGGCGGGTGGATCACTTGAGGTCAGGAGTTCGAGACCAACCTGGCCAACATAGTGAAACCCCGTCTCTACTAAAAATACAAAAATTAGCTGGGTGTGGTAATGCACGCCTGTAATCCCAGCTGCTCTGGAGGCTGAGGTGGGAGAATCGCTTGAACCTGGGAGGCAGAGGTGGCAGAGAGCCAAGATTGGGCTACTGCACTCCAGCCTGGGTGACAGAGCGACACTGTCTCAAAAAACAAAAAAAAGAAAAAAGAAAATGTTCATGTGACTATACTAACTAGCTTTGCAAAGGAAAGAAGAAAACAAGCTCTTATGGAGTCCTAGGTGCTAGGAACTGTATTAGGAGTTGGGGGATAACAAGATGAGTTAGACACACTCTGACCTCAGGAAGCTCACAGTCACACAGAGCATCTTATTCCCTTCTCACAATGACTCTATGAGTGTCTTAGGCCATTCCTGCTGGTCTCACAAAATACCACCAACTAGGTAATTCATAAACTATAGAATTTTTTTTCTCACAGTTCTGCAGGTTGGGATGTTCAAGATCATAGTGTGGGGCTGGGTGTGGTTGTTCATGCCTGTAATCCCAGCACTTTGGGAGGCCAAGGATGGTGGATCCCCTGTGGTCAGGAGTTTGAGACCATCTTGGCCAACATGGTGAAACCCTGTCTCTACTAAAAATACAAGAAATTACCCAGGCCTGGTGGCAGGCCCCTGTAATCCCAGCTACTCGGGAGGCTGAGGCAGAAGAATTGCTTGAACCTGGGAGGCAGAGGTTGCAGTGAGCAGAGTTTGAGATCGCGCCATTGCACTCCAGCTCGGGCGACAAGAGCAAAACTCCATCTCAAAAAAAAAAAAAAAAAAAAGAAAGAAAATCACAGCATAGGTAGATTTGGTGTTTGGTGAAGGTCTGTTCCATAGATGGTGATTTCTCATGGCATCCTCACATGGTGGAAAAGGTGGCAGGAAAGAGCTCACATCTATTAGTCAAGCTATTTAATTAATGATTTCCTTTATCTCAACTGATTTTTAACTGAACTTTATTTTAAAAGAAGCTTTGTGCTATTATCATAAATGCAAATCAGAATTATTTTCAATAAATAAGAGATAACCATAAAGTAAGCAAAATAAAAACAAAAATTTATATACTATTGTTGAGGAAGCTCCAACTCTCTTTGTTAAGCTCTCTCTTTGTTATGAAAGGGAGACTAGCAAGTATGAGAGGGACATAGCACCTCACTGAGGCTTTCTTCTTGAAATAAACAGAAGGTCTTAACAAGTCCTGAAAGGGAAAAGCTTTGTATACAATTTAATGCATACTGTAAATGACATGGAGGCTTTGAAAACACAGTACTACTTGATGCAAAGCCAAGAGAAATATCCCAGTCAAAGCAGAAGAGAGAAACCTAGCGGCTGAAAGCCAGAGCTTAGGTGAAAGAATGTATAAATCAAATTTCACTACCATGATTGTTTTGGAAATATAAGCATCAACTGGAACATGAAACTAAAAGCCATCTTTTAAAATACAAAAATGTTATTTCTTAGTGACGAGACAGTGCAATGAGTTAGAATACCATTTTAGAAATGAAATAGACATGGATTCAAATCCAGCTAAGCTATTTATTACATGCTCACCCTGTTTTTCTCCAAACTTCAATGTCTTCATCTATAGGCCAATGGAGAGTGATAAGTAGTTTTTAATTATAAACTGGCCATTTGTGTATCTTAGGTTAAAGGATAATTTTCCCAAAAAGGTAAAATCATGACTATCATATAGACATAAAATGAACATCTGGAATACATTTTATTTAACTCATTACTAATGAGTGAACCACCGAAATGTTATCATTCATTCAAAGGAGAAGTCCAACAGCAGATACATATATAGATGGGAACACTGAAATAAATTTGCAAGTAGACACAAAACTGTTTATTTCCACAATAAGAGAGGAAAATCAGTTGACTGTCCGCAGGACAGAATTTCCTTGCATGATTATGAACAAGAAATATTTGCATTACTATTAGTTTTATCATCAATTTCTGAATTGTTGTGATCAATACAGAAATCTATAGTAAAACACTTTTCAAGTTAACTTCTATCTCAACAGACTTGTAAAATAGCTTAGCCAAAGACCAAGATGTATATCCCTGTAGGATTACGTGGTCTCTAAAGACAGGTATTTCATTGAAAGAATATCCAATGTGAATATTCCAAAAGAATATCTCTTTTATTTATTCCAAAGTCTTAAATTTTGCCTTATACTTATGTTAAGACTGGATCTGTAAAACTTACCTTTTTACTTTATTTTTTTATTGAGACAGGGTTTTGCTCTGTTACCCAGGCTGGAGTGCAGTGGTGCCATCAGGGCTCACTGAAGCCTCAACCTCCCAGGCTCAAGAGAGATCCTCCCACTTTAGCCTCCCAAGTAGCTGAGATTACAAGTACATGCCACCATGCCCACCTAATTTTTTATTTTTGGTAAAGAATAGGTCTCACTTTGTTGCCCAGTCTGGTCTCAAACTCGTGAGCTCAAGCAATCTACCTGCCTTGGCCTCCCAAAGTGCTTAGAATACAGGCATGAGCCACTGTACCCAGCCAATTGTTCACAATTAACAATTGTTCACATTAAAATATTGCCAACATTAATGATTCTGTAATACTGTGATTAACTAATTGGAGAGATGGAATACATGAACTTTAAGGCCGCTTCAAATTCTACAACTGTAGGATTTGAGCATGTAACGTATTACAATGTTTATATTTTACTAAAGCTAAGTTTCAGAAAGATTAGGAGTAAATTGAAAATCGCCCTGAAACAAAGTTAAAAACATTTCTGAAATTCAAATGTAAGTTAATTAAAAGTTGATAATACAAAAACAAAATTAAAAACAATTTTCAGTAAAATTTGAACTTTATAAAACCAGGCTTTTCCTTATTTAAGAAATATTGACAGGCCGGGCATGGTGGCTCACTCCTGTAATCCCAGCTCTTTGCGAGGCCAAAGTGGCTGGATCACCTGGGGTCAGGAGTTCGAGACCAGCCTGACCAACATGGTGAAACCCCGTCTGTACTAAAAATACAAAAATTAGCCCGACATTGTGGTAGGTGCCTATAATCCCAGCTACTCGGGAGGCTGAGGCAGGAGAATCGCTTGAACCTGGGAGGCAGAAGTTGCAGTGAGTCGAGATCACGCCATTGCACTACAGCCTGGGTGACAAGAACAAAACTCCGTCTCAAAAAATAAAAAAAAAAATAAAGGAAAGAAAAGAAATATTGACAAAGGATGACAACTGTCAAAGAAGAAAAGTGACAAAATCTCCAACTCAGTGTCCTGATCAATATGGAAATTGATGGCAAAACATTTCCAAGACTTTTTCCAAAGACATGGACATGATTTTTAGTGATTTTTAAGTCATTCCTTTGCAAGTCCTTAAACGCTATTTCAATAACAAAAAGTACTGTTTTATAGTGAGAAAGGTAACTAAAGATACATTCTCTAAGCAATTAAGGTAACTTGAGGGTGTTTGGAAGTTGATTTCTTAATTTCATCGTGACTCAAACTCAGATTTCCAGTGAAGTTCTGCAAGTCTGTCAACATTTTCCCACTGGCCCCAGATTGGCTGGTTCTTATTTTTGGTGCGGGGGCACTTCTCTGTGACAAACACACAACTCAATGATTCTCTCTTCGCCATTTATACCACCCAAGCCCTCAGATAAACTTAGTGAACCCAGCAAAGGAATTCAAATAACATTTCCTTCTATTCACAAAAACTTCAACTTTTATGTTCAGTAATTAATGGTGCTGTGTAACCAGGGCTAACATTACAAAATAAGGGCAGTTATTATTTACTGCGGCCATGTAATAAAGTGTCAAAGGTTATCACAACAGGATATCTGTGTTTAAATGGAAAGAGATAAAAAAGACCAAGTCAAACTAGTTATCCCTGTTTTGTTTTTCCACTGGAGGGAAGTCTGTTAAAATAACTTCTAAATAGCTAAGTTGCAGTCTCAGCACAAATAGAAACTTTAATGTTCTAGCCCTTCTTTCCTTCCAATTGTGGGTGGCGCTGAGTATTAGAAATAAATCTAATTGAGTACCTGCAATGTGAAGATGCATTTTCTTTGCGTCTTTTCATGATCTGTATGTAGTACGCATTTTCATTCCATCTTATAGAACGAGGGTAGCTAAGTTCTAGAAGCAATCTGGAAACAGATGTGATGAGCCCGTGTTAATGGCTGGGCAACCATGAGCATGAACTTCATCAGGGCTCCACTCGAACCGCCTTCTCTCTGCTTTCAACTCATGGCCTTGCTTTCTCAGATCCCGCTACCATTTCTCAATATAATTCTAACTGCCATCATCTCAGCCCTTCATCCTTGTATTTATGGAAAGAGGTACAGCTTTTGGAAAACCACTGATTCCTCTCCCTGGGCTGATAGATGAAGACAGGGAAGCTCTGAGAGCTTCAGGTTACATATACAGTCATGTGTTGCTTAACCACCAGGATACTCTTCTGAGAAACGCATCATTAGGGGATTTCATCCTTGTGCAAGCAACATGGAGTGTAAGTTACACAAACCTAGCTAGTATAGCCAACTACACGCCCAAGCTATATGGTGTAGCCTATTGCTCCTAGCTACCAAACCTGTACAGCATGTGACCGTCCTGAATACTGTAGGCAACTGCAACATAGTGGTAAATATTTATGGATCTAAACATGAAAACAGAAAAGCTACAGTAAAAATATGGCATGAAAGCTCAAAACTGTCCACCTGTATAGGGTACTTACCATGAACAAAGCTTGCAGAACTAGAAGTTATTCTGAGTGAGTCAGCGAGTGAGTGGTGAGTGAATGTGAAGGCCTAGGATGTGACTGTACACTACTGTAGACTTTATAAACACTGTACACTTAGGCTACACTAAATTTACTTTAAAAGTTTTCAGGATGGACAGCAGGAAGAGAGTGAGGATCAAAAACCCACCTATCGGGTACTATGCTCATTATCTGAGTGACAAAATAAACTGTACACCAAAGTCCTGAGACATGCAATTTACCCATGTAACAAACCTGCACATATACCTTCTGAACTTAAAAGTTGGAAAGAAAAAAAAAAAGGAACTGAATAGATGTGAGTTTAAATCCAATTAACCATTTATTATACAGTCAGGCACCCCATAATGATGTTTTGGTCAATGATAGCATATAAAACAGTGGTCCCATAAAGATTATAAAGGAGTATAAAGAAAACCTATTCTGTTTTCTTTCTTCAATAATAAATTAACCTTAGCTTGCTGTAACATTTTTCCTTTTGAAACTTTTTAATTTTTTAAACTTTTGACTCTTTTGTAAAAACACAACTTAAAACACAAACACATTGTACAGCTGTACAATTTTTTTTCTTTATATCTTTACTCTGTATTTTTTTCTATTTTTGAAATGTTAAATTTTTTTTTTTTTGAATTTTGTTGAAAACTAAGACAAATACATACATTAGCCTAGGTCTACACAGTCAGGATCATCAGTATCACTGCCTTCCACCTTCACATCTTGTCCCAGTGGCAGATCTTCAGTGGCAACAATAAGCATGGAACTGTCACCTCCTACAGGGACAATGCCTTCCTCTGGAATACTTCCTGAAGGACCTGCCTGAGGCTGTTTTACAGTTGATTTTTTTTTTTTTTTTTTTTTTTTTTTTTGAGACGGAGTCTTGCTCTGTCGCCCAGGCTGGAGTGCAGTAGCAAAATCTAGGCTCACTGCAACCTCCGCCTCCTGGGTTCAAGTGATTCTCCTGCCTCAGCCTCCCGAGTTGCTGGGACTACAGGCATGAGCCACCATACCCGGCTAATTTTTTTTGTATTTTTAGTAAAGACGGGGTTTCACCATGTTAGCCAGGCTGGTCTCGAACTCCTGACCTCAAGTGATCCATCCGCCTCGGCCTCTCAGAGTGCTGGGATAACAGGCATGAGCCACTGCCCCAGACCAACTTATTTTTTATATATGTAAGTAGAAGAATGAAGCCAGGCACAGTGGCTCACGCCTGTAATCTCAGTAGTTTGGGAGGCCAAGGTGGGCAGAGCACTCGAGGTGAGGATTTTGAGACCAGCCTGGCCCACATGGTGAAACCCCATCTCTATTAAAAATACAAAAATTAGCCAGGAGTGTTGGTGCACACTTCTAATCCCAGCTACTTGGGAGGCTGAGGCAGGAGGATTGCCTGAACCCGGGAGGCGGAGTTGCAGTGAGCCGAGATCTCACCACTGCATTCCAGCCTCGGTGACAGAGCAAGACTCCGTCTCAAAAAATAAAAAATTATCATATCCTGTAAATATCTAAACCAGTAATGTAGTCGTTTATTATCAACTATTATGTACTTTACATAATTGTATGTGCTGAAGTTTTATACAACTAACAGTGCGGTAGGTTTGTTTACACCAGCATTACCATAAACTTGGGAGTAATGCATTGTGCCATTGATGTTAAAGGCTAGTCAATAGGCAATAGGAATTTTTCATCTCCTTTATAATCTTTATGGAACCACCGTTTTATA
The DNA here is from genome assembly GCF_000001405.40 of Homo sapiens. Taxonomy (NCBI): domain Eukaryota; kingdom Metazoa; phylum Chordata; class Mammalia; order Primates; family Hominidae; genus Homo; species Homo sapiens. The sequence continues at coordinate 108,333 of NW_012132916.1, read as the reverse complement.
CACTATCTTTCGTTTACCAAAACATCATTATGAGGTTCATGACCGTATAATCAATGCTTAATTGGATTTAAACCCACATCTATTCAGTTTCTAAGTTGATGCCTTCTCCCTTATGCATTACCTCCTTATTGAAAAATAAGCTTGTATTCTTTTTAAAATTGACTTTACGGACAGGTGTGGTGGCTCACGCCTGTAATCTCAGCACTTTGGGAGACCGAGACAGGCAGATCACCTGAGGTCAGGAGTTTGAGACCAGCCTGGCCAACATGGCAAAACCCTGTCTTTACTAAAAAATACAAAAATTAGCCGGGTATGGTGGTGCATGCCTGTAATCCCAGCTACTCAGGAGGCTGAGGTGGGAGAATCGCTTGAACCCAGGAGGTGGAGGTTGCAGTGAGCCAAGATCACACCACTGTACTCCAGCCTGGGCGACAGAGCAAGACGTTCTCAAAAAAAAAAAAAAAAAAAAAAAAATTGGCTTTACATGTTTATTTTAAAAATAATTCCAGCTATGGCCGGGCGCGGTGGCTGAAGCCTGTAATCCCAGCACTTTGGGAGGCTGAGGCGGGTGGATCACGAGGTCAGGAGATCGAGACCACGGTGAAACCTCGTCTCTACTAAAAATAGAAAAAATTGGCTGGGCATGGCGGTGGGCGCCTGTAGTCCCAGCTACTCGGGTGGCTGAGGCAGGAGAATGGCGTGAACCCGGGAGGCGGAGCTTGCAGTGAGCCGAGATCGCGCCACTGCACTCCAGCCTGGGAGACAGAGCGAAACTCCGTCTCAAAAATAATAATAATAATAATAATAATAATAATAATAATAACAATAATTCCAGCTATGTAAGAAAACACAATAAGAAAGTAAAAACTACTCAAATTCCCACCATGCAGTGGTTAATACTTGGATATATTATTTTCAAGGTTGTTTTGATTGCTGTTGTTTTTGTTTTTGAGATGGGTTCTCACTCTGTCACCCAGGCTGGAGTACAGTGGCGCAGTCACAGCTCACTGCACCCTCAAGCTCGTGGCTTCAAACAATTCTCTCACCTCAGCCTCCCAAGTAGCTAGGACTACAGGCACATGCCGCCATGCTTGGCTGTTTTCCAGTTTTTAAAATACATCTTACAAAACTGAAATCATCTAGTAATAACATTCTATAACCTCCTTATTTTCACTCAACAGGATATCAGTACCATTTTTTCATTAAATATTTTAAGAACATGGTTGCTTATCACTGCAAATAACTCCTTCATATTAATGTACTAATTTATTTAAATGATTCCAGTAACATTTTAAACCAATTTTGGTTATCAAAATCTTTCATCTTAGATGTTTATTCTATAAGTGGAGTTATTGCGTGAATAACTCATAGAAATCAGAAATTAAGACTATAAGGTTTCCAGCCTGGGCAACATGGCCAAACCCCGCCTCTACAAAAAAATATAAAACTTTGTTGGGCATGGTGGTGCACGCCTGTAGTCCCAGCTACACAAGAGGCTCAGGTGGGAGGATTGCTTGAGCCTGGGAGGTTGAGGCTGCACTGAGCAGAGATTGTACCACTGCACTCCAGCCTAGGCAACAGAGTAAGACCCTGTCTCAAAAAAAAAAAAAAAAAAAAAAAAAAAAAAAAAGACTATGTGTTTTATCAACAGTTGCCTGTGCAATGGGCTAAAGAGCAGGGACTTCCAAACAAAGAAAAAAAGAGTTATGTATAATAAAGTATAATAAAGATATTAACGTGTCTGAATGCTTTATAACACACATTTCTTTTTTTTTTTTTTTTTTTTGAGGTGGAGTCTCACTCTCTTGCCCAGGCTGGAGTGCAGTGGCGCGATCTCGGTTCACTGCAAGCTCCGCCTCCCGGGTTCACACCATTCTCCTGCCTCAGTCTCCCGAGTAGCTGGGACTACAGGCACCCGCCACCACACCCGGCTAATTTTTTTGTATTTTTAGTAGAGACGGGGTTTCACCATGTTAGCCAGGATGGTCTCGATCTCCTGACCTTGTGATCCGCCTGCCTCGGCCTCCCAAAGTGCTGGGATTACAGGTGTAAGCCACTGCGCCCGGCCTATAACACACATTTCTTAAAACTAAAAAGAAAAACTTTTCATTTAGGCAGCACTTACACAATACCAAAAGATTCAGGTCAAGAATGAAAAATGATGAAGATGGAAAATTATCAGGCAGTTTTGTCTAAGTGCTGAATCATCTGTATGATTTTGGTAATATCTGGGATGAAAGTGTACTTAGTCTTTAAAGTACAGGGGGAAAAACAATACAACCACGCTGCAATCTAGAAATGAAATGCAATGAGATATGTTTTGAACATTTCTATATGAAGCATAAAAAGTCACTGGGAAATGTGAAGTAAGGTGGTATTACAACCACAATGTTCACTGACATTTTTCCACCCTTCACCCTGTCGAGTCTCTTGCAAGCAGACTTGAACACACCTGCTGAGTTGGGTCTAGCCAGAATTTTATAGGAGCTATAGTTCTCAACACACAAAAAGGGGTTTGCTTGCATGTGTAGCATATATTAGATAAAGGATAACTATAGCATAAAAATATTGGGAGAAAAGAGCTGGCAGCAAGAAACCATACAGCAACAGCCTCAAGAAGAAATAGGTTCAGTAACATTTAAATTGCTTATCGTGACTAGCCAGCCTTGCAGATGTAAAAAGCACCTTTCTCCATAACAACTGACTTACTAACATGAGCATGTGAGAGCCCTTCTAAGGCTATGTGGATTAGAATGTGGCATACCAAGAGTTTCACCCAATGCCACAGAGATCTTCTTCTTTGATAGACTGGCTAATAGGTTAAACAGAATTTTCCTAGAATTATTCCCTCTCTTATAAGTTGCCCATATCTCACTTATTTCCCTGAAAAAAAAATTTTTTTCTGGCATTAAGCTTTTTTTTTTTGAGATGGGGTCTCGCTTTGTCGCCCAGGCTGGAGTGCGGTGGCACGATCTTGGCTTACTGCAGCCTCCACCTCTTGCCTCCCAGGTTCAAGACATTCTCCTGCCTCAGCCTCCTGAGTAACTGGAATTACAAGCGTGAGCCACCACGCCCAGCTAATTTTTCTAGTGTTAGTAGAGATGGGGTTTCACCATGTTGGCCAGGCTGGTCTCAAACTCCTGGCTGCAAGTGATCTGCCCACCCCGGCCTCCCAAAGTGCTGGGATTACAGGTGTGAGCCACCTTGCCCCAGCCACATTAAGCATTGTTAGGCTTTAAAAAACAACAAGGCCGGGTGTGGTGGCTCACGCCTGTAATACCAGCACTTTGGGAGGCCAAGGTGGGTGGATCACCTGAGGTCGGGAGTTCAAGATCAGCCTGGCCAACATGGAGAAACACTGTCTCTACTAAAAATACAAAATTAGCTGGGCGTGATGGCGCATGCCTATAATCCCAGCTACTCAGGAGGTTGAGGCAGGAGAGTTGCTTGAACCTGGGAGGTGGAGTTTGAGATGAGCCGACATCGTACCATTGCACTCCAGCCTGGGCAACAAGAGCGAAACTCTATCTCAAAAGCAAACAAACAAACAAACAAAAACAACAACAAGCAAAAACTCCCTCTCATGCTCCATTCCGTGATCATTTACCATTATTGTCAAGGAACCACCTTAATTTTTGCTATCTGTGAGAGAGAGGAGGGAGGGAAGGGAAGGGGAGAGAGAAGCACCAGAAGGAGAAAAAAACCTCATCACAGCTCTGAGAGAATGTTTAGGAAAAATAAGGATGATTTATCCCACATCTTGAAGGCTGGATTTTAAAGAATTAGGTAGACATAGTTATATGCTTTCTTGACTGGGATTACATTATAACCAACAAAGGATTGGTAAAATCACAGTTGATCTTGGCAAAGTCGCCTCTGCCTCATCATTCAGAATTCAGCTCCGATGTCACTTCCTTGGAGAGCTGCTCCTTTGACTCCCAGGTATAATATAGAACCTGAGTCAACTTCTAACTCCCCCTTATTATTAAGGACCCTGCACAGCACTTGTGGCTATTACATTTGGAATTTTTTACAAGTTGGTGTGTGTTTGCTTCCTTGTTTTCTGTTTGCCTGCACTATAGTGACAGCTTCAAGAGAACATGGTTATTAGTCTTATGGACGGTATTGCTAGTCACCTACCCAAGATGCATTTAATTGTACCCTACTTCCCAAGTTTGTTTACAGAAAACAAGGAGCCCATCAAAGAAAACAAAAGCAAACAAATGCTACATTTCTTAGCTCCCCTGCTGCTAGGGGTAGCCACAAGATGTGCAAAGAGATACGACCAGAAATTGTTGTGTAGAGCTTTTCGGGAAAGCATCCTGGAGGGAGGAATCCTCTGGAACATACCTTCTCCCCTTCCATTTCCCCTTCCTTAATGGAATACAGACACTGCTGGAGGGAGAGCAGCAAGCTGGGACGACATAGAGAAGGTAGAGGCAGGCATGGTCCCCAGTGGCCCCTTGGAGCCACTGCGCAGGCACTGGACTGTCTGTGTCTAGACTTCTAATTACAGGAGAAAAATAAAACCCTTATTTGGTATAAGCCATTGCTGTCGGTGTTTCTGTCATTCCCTGACAAAAGTCATTCCCAGTTGATATATCGCAGTATTCCTAGTACTTTGAACAGTGTCTGGCACATGGTAGATGTTCAACATTTGTGGAGGGGGGTGAGATTGAAGGTTATTCACCATCAGGCCCTAATATAAAATAATAGATATATATTGGAGTTCGAAGATGCCAATTAACCATATTCCTCATTCCTAAGGATTCCAAGTCAATTGACAATAGACGCAGAAAATAAGAGTTTCTAAATGACCTTTCACTCATTCATTCATTCGATATTTATCGAACTCCTATTATGCAGCACACACCATACCAAGCAATGCGGATAAAGCAGCAGATGTAACAGACCAAAATGCCTGCCCACGTGGTGCCTTTATTTAGTGGTAGAAGAAAGACCATAAACAAGATATATGTGTGTTCTAGGAGTTGGGGGACGATTTGAAGAAGAGAATCACAAAAGTCCTCCCTGAAGAGTCATTTGAATATAGTTCTAAGGGAGCAATATGGGACTATGCGAGGGAAGAATATTCTAGGCAGACAGTAGAGCAAATCTGTGGGCCTGTCGTGGACATTTTCAAGGTCTTGACCGTATGCCTCAAGTTTTCCCATTTTAGTGCCAGCCTGATGTCAAATGACCAGCATCATCACCCCTTATGCCTGAAGGCCTTCTCTGGGCACTGGACCCTGCCTTACCCCAGGCCTGAGACAGTCCCCTCAGGAGGGCTAAGATTGTTCACCCCCGAAGTGCAAGCTCTACACCGGCTCCCAAACCTTGCCAGTGGAATTGAGATCAGTTGCCCACAGGGGTAGTTGGCTGAGGGGCACGCCCTTTCCTTTCCATCTCCTTTCCCAATTTCCTTCACTTTCCAAAAAAACAATTTATATTCAAATCCTTGTCTCCAACTCTGTTCCTGGTGGAGGACACAAAGTGAGAAAGACCCTGAGTTTGGATATGTAAGGAGGCCGGGATTGCTGTACCTGAGGGAGGGAATGGAGAGAGTGACATAGAGTCATGGCACAAGGTCTTGTAGGACCCCACACACTCCAGCTTTTATGCCAAGATAGGAAGCCTTTGGAGGGTTTGGGGTATGGCCTTGACTTACGTTTTAAATGTTCACGCCAGGCGCCATGGCTCACACCTGGAATTCTAGCACTTTGGGAGGCCAAGGTGGGTGGATTGCTTCAGCCTAGGAGTTTGAGGCCAGGCTGGGAAATATGACAAAACCCTGTCTCTACTAAAAACACAGAAATTAGCCCAGTGTAGTGGCACACACCTGTTGTCCCAGCTACTTGGGGGACTGAGGCAGGAAGATCGCTTGAACCTGGGAGGTCAAGGCTGCAGTGAGCCGAGATGGTGTCGTGACACTTCATCCTGGGTGACAAAGTGCAACCCTGTCTCAATCAATCAATCAATCAGTCAATCAATCAATCAATAAATGCTCACTCTAGCTGCTGTGCTCAGAATGGGTGATAGGAGACAATGTCGGAAGCAGGGAAACTTTTTTTTTTTTAAATAGAGATAGGGTCTCACTATGTTGCCCAGGCTGATCTTGAACTCCTGAGCTCAAGTGATCCTCCTGCCTCAGCCCCACAAAGTGCTAGGATTAGAGGCAAGAGCCACCACACCCGGCCTGGAAGCAGGGAAACTTCTAATAAGGAAACTATTACAACTAGTGCAGGTAATAAATGATCGGAACTAGGGTCAGAGTGGTAGCTTTATGACTGTCAAAGCTGGAGTGAAGAACACTGCCTAGACACAATGCCAGCATGATCTTCCCGTCCCTGGTCACCTCAGTTGAATTCATCCTCCAGTAGAGCAGCTGGAAAACCTCAGACCTCCAGGTGCTGAGCAGAGTCAGCATTCACAAAGTCACACACTAGGGTCTGAGTCCTGGCTTCATCACTTACTACCAATGTATCTTTGCCCAAGGTGCCTAATGTCTCTAAGGCTAAAATATATTACCTACCATATAGGACTGCTGTGAAGAATTAAATTAAACGAGAGAATGTTTGTAAATTGCTGAGCACAATGCTTGGACCAATAAATTACAGCTTTAATATGATCATTCTGATTATCATACTTCATCAATTATAAGACATCATAGCTACTAAATGCCTTGTTATTTATCTACCTCCAAGGAAGAATAAAAATGAGGCCACTTAAATATGACGCAAGGTCTTAATGACAGTCCTGCATTACACATGAATGAGACACATCAGCTCTTCCCTGCTTTGAAGTATCTTTTTTTTGAGACGGAGTCTTGCTCTGTCACCAAGGCTGGAGTGCCGTGCCACGATCTCAGTTCACTGCAACCTTTGCCTCCTGGGTTCAAGCCATTCTACTGCCTCAACCTCCCCAATATCTGGGATTACAGGTATGCACAACAACGCCCAGCTAATTTTTATATGTTTAGTAGAAATGGGGTTTCACCATGTTGGCCAGGCTGGTCTCAAACTCCTGACCTCATGATCTGCCCATCTTGGCCTCCCAAAATGCTGGCTTTACAGGCATGAGCCACTGCACCCGGCTGAAGTATCTTTCATCTGTTCCAAGGAATTTGGCCATTTCTCCTGCCTTCAGTTGCATGATGTGTGATGGGAAATGCTTTTGCATATATCTGAGAAACAGCATGAACTCAGTATAACTGGCAGCTTCATCTCCTTGAGGTTGTCTGTCTTCTTAGATTCCTTCCACAAAACACTTAGAGGAATTGATGTCATTCCTCCTTTGACAAATATTTGTTTCAATAACATCATTTGCACCCTGCTACTTTACTTCTGTAGCCACGAAAACTGTGAAAACCGTGGATATAATAACTTTTCTTTTTAGTGCTGAATCACTGTGTATTCTTTCATAAAGTATATAAATGTCCATGAAACTGAACATGTATGGTTCCAACCATGGGCAAAATGTCATTGAAGCAACACTTTTGGATGTATCTGACTAAGTTAACAGATTCATAAGCAAGAAAAACTACATCATGACCCAACAGAAATGGATACTCATGTGTGCTAAAACTCACATACTATGTTTTTAGCAGCAGTAGGGGAGAAAAAGTAAGATCTTTTCCTCACCCATCACAAGGTTCATGGCTGAGGCCCCTGTAACAAAAGGTGACCTAACAAGAGAAAAGCATACAGATTTATTTCATGTAAGTTTTATGTGACATGGGAGCCTTCACAAAAGAAGACCTGAAGAAACAGATACAAGTGTGTACTTTTATGAAGAATCATGTCAAAGTATAATTGGAGGACAAAAGGGTATGATCTAATGGGAATAAGCTGGGGGGAATTTACAAGGTCTATTTCTTCAGATTCTTCTTGGCATCTCTGTGTCTTCATTCCTTTCCTCCAGGTATAGGGAGGACCTCTCTGGAAGGAGAGTCTAATCACCTACTCTCAGGGGAAGGTCAGCTAGTTTTCATGGACTACATTAGGGGAGAAGGGTGAGACAGATCAGAGAGACCTTCTTGCTTCTGTGGTTTTCTCAAATGCCAAGGTGCCATATTTTGGACGTAGCATGTCCTGAACCCCATTCACAACCCTATTCATAAAAGCCTCAGACTGGAAACCTCCCAAATATCCATCAATGGCGGAATAGAGAAATGTTGGTATATGCGTACTATGAAATACGCAGCAATGAGAATGAATAAAAAAGTACTAGCAACAACATATGTAAACCTGACAGATGTAATATGGAGAAAAAGAAACCAGATAACAAAATACAATTCCCTTTCTATGAAGTTCAAAAACAATCAAAACTCATCTATGCTGTCAGAAGTCAGGAGAGTTGCTACTTGCGGTGGGGGTGGAGTTGAATAATGACTGCTTTTGAATAAGAGAGGAGCATCTAAGAGGCTGATAATGTTCTCTTTCTGGAGTTAGGTGCTGACAACATGGGTGTGAACGGCTTATGAAAATTACAATTCACTGAGTTGTGCACTTATGACTTTTTCTGAAGTTATTTTCATTTTTTTTGAGACAGGGTCTCACTCTGTCACTGGCACTGGAGTGCAGTGGTATAACCATAGCTCACTGTAGCCTCGGATTCCTGCGCTCAAGCAATCCTCAACCCTCAGCTTTCTCAGTAGCTGGGACTGCAGGCACGTGACACCACACCTGGCTAATTTTTATTTTGTAGAGATGGGGGTCTTGCTATGTTGTCCAGTCTGATCTCAAACTCCGTGCCCCAAGCAGTTCTCCTGCCTCAGCCTTCCAAAGTGCTAGTATTACAGGTGTGAGCCATTGCACCCGGCCATTTTTCTCTAAGTATACTATAGATCAAAAAAGTTAAAAATACTGAAGACCCAGAGTGTGTTTACATATTTATATGTGTATATATATAGATATATACACACATACATACACATACATGTACATAGCTATGTGTACATGAGTGTATATAACTATAAAACTGATCTTTATTGGGATGAAAAAGTGACACTTGAGTGAGGGATGACTTGTCACATCTTATAAAATTTTACTGATTGAAATTTTATGTAAAACATACTCAGAAGGCTGAAGCAGGAAGATTACTCGAGGCCAGGAGTTCAAGACCATCCTGGGCAAAATAGCAACACTGTGTCTCTAAAAAATATATATTTTTTTTATTGAGACAGAGTCTCACTCTGTGGCCCAGACTGGAGTGCAGTGGCGTGATCTCGGCTCCACTTCCCAAGTTAAAGTGATTCTCCTGCCTCAGCCTCCCAAGCAGCTGGGACAACAGGGGCACACTATCACACTCAGTTAGTTTTTAATTTTTTCGTAGAGAAAAGGTCTCACTATATTGAAAAATATTTTTTTTAAACTTTTCTGCAAAACAAAACAATCAACACTTACTTCATTCTTTGCCTCTTGCATGTAGTTGCAATCAGAAACATTTTATTGAATAAGTAAAATAACTTTCTTTTTATAATTTTATTTTTGTTTTCTTTCAAGAAAAATTCCCATTGAACCTGCATGCACCCCAAACACTCACCTATGCTATGTACTGAAGTTTGCTCTTCGTTTAAAGTGTTTTTATCTAGTGGTAGTTTTCCTCAGATAATTAGGACTTCCTGTGAGTGGAAACCGCTGCAGAAACACAGCAGAAGAAACAAAAATTTCTTCCTTGGAAAAGCTTGGAAAGTATTCCTGCAGAAATGTGTAAAACTGTGGCTTCTGACACAAGAATCCTCAGCTCAGAAGGTCAAGGCTCAATCATTAGATGAGATGAGACTGATGAACTAGAGGAATGCCCAGGATTCAATGGCATTGTTTTCTCTGCACACTAGAAAATTGTCTCTTGTTATTTAGGCTGCAATTTACCAAACTTCCAGTCATTTCCCTTCACTTCTGTAATAGCCAAGGAGGTGAAGAAGACTGAAATATTCTCCCCAGGAATACCCAACCTTCTTTTCCTACACACTATAGTGTAATTACTTTTCATATGTTCTTACATGCTTGGCTGCACGATTCAGTTTACATTCCTACTCCATGAGTAGATTAATTTATCAACCAGTTGAAAACTATCAACAGACTTCCAGATACTCCAACTAGATTAGAAGAATCACCCAGCCCAGCCCAGCCCAGCCCCGTCTCTGCATCTGCGAAATCATGACATATAAGAAAACGGGGGCCGGGCACGGTGGCTCACACCTACAATCCTAGCACTTTGGGAGGCCTAGGTGGGTGGATCACCTGAGGTCAGGAGTTCAAGACCAGCCTGGCCAAAAATATTAAAAATACAAAAATTAGCCAGGCATGGCGGAGGGCACCTGTAATCCCAGTTACTTGAAAGGCTGATGCAAGAGGATCACTTGAACTCTGGAGGTGGAGGTTGGAGTGAGCTGAGATTGTGCCACTTCACTGCAGCCTGGGCGAAAGAGCAAAACTCCATCTCAAAAAAAAAAAAAAAAAAAAAGAAAAGAAAAGAAAATGGTTGATGCTTTAAGTCACCGGGTTTTGGTGAAGTGTGTTATGCATCAATACATAACTGGAACAGCAGCAATTTGTTTCCAATGATGGGTAACTATAAGGAAATACACTAATTTTTGTAGATTTGGGAAAAGACTGAGAAACTTATTAACCCCAAGAGAATTGCAAAATAAGATAACTGAAATAAATCTTAGAGACCCATTGGTACCAATGGGTCTTTTATTTTATCAATTTTTTTTTTTTTTTGAGACAGAATCTTGCCCTGTTGCCCAGGCTGGAGGGCAGTGGCCCAATCTTGGCTCACTGCAACCTCTGCCTCCTAGGTTCAAGCGATTTTCCTGCCTCAGCCTCCCGAGTAGCCGGGATTACAGGTACATGCCACCACACCTGGCTTTTTTTTTTTTTTTTTTTGTAGCGATGGGGTTTCACCCTGTTGCCCACGCTAGTCTTGAACTCCTGAGCTCAAGCGATCCGCCCGCCTCAGCCTCCCAAAGTGCTGAGATTAGAGGCGTGAGCCACCACACTAGCCTCTGATTCCTTTTTGTTTATCTATTTTTTTTGTAAGAGACAGGGTCTCACTCTGTTGACCAGGCCGGAGGGCAGTGTTAAGATAATAGCTCAGTGCAGCCACAAACCCCTGGGCTCAAGCAACTTTCCCACCTCATCCTCCCAAAGTGTTGGGATTACAAGCATGAGCCACCACGTCCAGCCCCAACCTTTACCTTTAAAGTTTCAAGGTCAGCCCGTGTTCCTCTGCTCTTTTCAAATACACTCAATCCTTTGGTAATTTCTTTCAGTCTCATGGCTTTAAACATCATCCATATATCCTTAACTCCCAAATTATATCTGGCCCAGACCTTTCACCTGAACTCCAGACTCGCTTATTAAACTACTTACTCAATTTCTCCTCTTGGATGTCTAATACATATGTTGAAATTCGCCTGGCCAAAACTTGACTCCTGTCCTTCCACCCCACCCCTAACTTGTTCCTCATGCAGTCTTCCATATTGCAGCAAATTTCAACTCCATTTATCCAGTTGCTCTGGCCTAAAACCTTGAATTTCATCCTTGCATGCTCTCTTTTTCTCACTTTCTGTAGCCTATCCACCAGAAAATCCTGTCGGCTCCATCATCACAATGTATCCAGAATCCAACCGCTTCTATCACTTCTGCTAACAATAAACACCCTGGTCTAAGTCATCATCATCTCTCCCCTGGATGAAGCCACAGCTCACAGCAGCTGGAGGATGGATGCCCCTCTAAGTAAAGGGGATTTGAGCAGGGCACTGACAGCATCCACTCCAGTGACAGCACACAGAGCTGCACCTACCACCCATGTCATCAGGCTCTCCATGTTAAAGCTCTTTGCCTTGCAGCACAGATACTTACTCACTCATTTGACAGACATATTGTAAACCAAAAAGTATCTGAGACAAGTCTCAATCACTTTAGAAGTTTATTTTGCCAAAGTTGAGGACACACCTGGTAGACAAGTCTGTACCTTTCTCCAAAGATGACTTTGAAGGCTTCAATATTTGAAGGGGAAAAGCAGGCTGTGGGAGAAACAGGGAGGGTACGGTCACATTCCTGAATCCACACGTTGCAAGAGAAAAGGAGCAGGTAAGGGAAAAGCTTACTATGTGTCCTTCTTGTTCTCAATAAATTGTCACTTTCCACAAGATAAGGTGAACACAGAGTGGAGACATTTAACCTTTAATCTGCTGCTATCCGCTTAGGAACAAAATGAAAGGCAGTTGCTTGCATCATGACTCAGCTTTCAGCTGAATTTTTTCCTTTTGGCTTAGTGAATGAGGGTCCCAGAGTTTTTATTTTCCTTTCACAATATCCTGAGCACTTACTCCACGCCATGCGCGTTTCTTTTTTTTTTTAGACGGAGTCTCACTCTGTCGCCCAAGGCTGGAGTGCAGTGGCGTGATCTCGGCTCACTGCAACCTCCGCCTCCCGGGTTCACGCCATTCTTCTGCCTCAGCGTCCAAGTAGCTGGGACTACAGGCACCTGCCACCACGCCTGGCTAATTTTTTGTATTTTTAGTAGAGATGGGGTTTCACCGTGTTAGCTAGGATGGTCTTCATCTCCTGACCTCGTGATCCGCTTGCCTCGGCCTCCCAAAGTGCTGGGATTACAGGCATGAGCCACTGAGCAAGGCACGTGAGATTCTTGGAGCTCATACATTTGCCCCCTAATATTCTAGAGGGGACAATGACAAGCCTGGACTCAGCAGTGACCAGATTGATTCTTTTGCATTGTCCCTATAAGATCCAGAATTATTTTAGTTTCTTCCTTCTTACTCTGTATATAAATTGGTCTTCAATTAAATAGGAAAAATAGGCTGGGCACAGTGGCTCATGCCTGTTAATTCCAGCACTTTGGGATGCTGAGGTGGGCGGATTGCTTGAGTTCAGGAATTTGAGATCAGCCTGGGTATTATGGCGAAACCCCATCTCTACCAAAAAATACAAAAATTAGCTGGGTGTGGTGGCATGCGCCCATAGTCCCAGCTACTCGGGAGGCTGAGGCAGGAGGATCACCTGAGCCCAGTTGAGGCTGCAGTGAGCTGTGATCAGGCCACTGCACTCCAGCGTCGGTGACAGAGTGAGACTTTGTCTAAAAAATATACATATATATATATGAGAAAAATAAACATGTACACATATAACATACACACGTGTATATATTAATATGTATTTGTGTATATATACATATATATGTTTGTATAAATATAGGGAGAAAACCAAAAAAGTTTTATACGTACATATACATTTTTCTAGTTTCTGGGATATGTGTGTATACATATGTATGTATGTATACACATACACACTTACCTTTAAAAGTTAGAAGGCCTCAGGGTAGACCCTGGCCTAAGCCACCAGCTTTTCTTCTTTCTTCATCTTCTGATTTCTCTAGTTGATGTCACCCAGTCCCACGGCTTTAAAATCCACCTACTTATTTGTGGATGACTCCTGGTTAAAAGAGAGGAAGGGAAGTGCTTAGTGCGATGCACTGGCAATGAAGGACCACCCGTTCAGGCTTCATTTGAAGACACAACCTTAAAAGTGAAATTGCCGGGTTGGCTGGCTCACGTCTGTAATCCCAGCACTTTGGGAGGCCAAGGCAGGCAGATCACAAGGTCAGGAGTTTCAGATCAGCCTGACCAACATGGGGAAATCCCTGTCTCTACTAAAAATACAAAAATTAGCCAGGCGTGGTGGTGCACACCTGTAATCCCAGGTACTCAGGAGGCTGAGGCAGGAGCTTCAGCCTTGAACCTGGGAGGTGGAGGTTGCAGTCAGCCGAGATCGTACCACTGCACTCCAGCCTGGGCGACAGAGCGAGATCCATCTCACGGAAAAAAAAAAAAAAAGTCAAGTTGGGGAACTTACAGCAAAACTAAAAAAGCTTTTTCCAAAGTGAAGAGTCCACATAAAACATGTGGACCAGAGTGTGAAATTGAGTATCCTACCTTCTTCATTTCCCACTGGGAGAATTTAAGAATATAAACATGCTGCCTGGACCCACATGTGAGACAGCTGGGCTTCTGTGTAGTTATAGATATACTCTAAACATCACTAAGGCTAGGGCTATGTTCTCAACCGGGGAGTGGTTTTGCCTCCATGGAACATTTGGCAACTGACTGGAGATTTTTTTCAGTTGTCAAAATTGGAGGGGAGGCCGGGTATTGTGGCTCACGCCTGTAATCTCAGCACTTTGGGAGGTGGGCAGATCACCTGAGGTCAGGAGTTAAAGACCAGCCTGGCCAACATGGCAAAACCCTGTCTCTACTAAAAATACAAAAATTAGCTGAGTGTGGTGGTGCCTGCATGTAGTCCCAGCTACCCAGGAGGCTGAGGCAGGAGAATCAATTGAACCCAGGAGATAAAGCTTGCAGTGAGCTAAGATCAAGCCATTGCACTCAAGCCTGGATGACAAAGCGAGACACTGACTCAAAAAAATAAAATAAAAAATAAAAATTGGACGGGAGATGCTAATGGCATCCAGGTAGAGGCCAGGAATACTGCTAAACATTCTACAATTCACAGGACAGCCATCCAGACATTATCTGGCCCCAAATGTCAACACTCCTGAGATTTAAAAACCCTGGGCTGAGGATAAGTCCTTTCTCTTGCCTGTCCCCTCCACCCTCCCATTCTATCCCGCTTTGGAGCTCTCATCCCTTCAATGATGTTCTAATTTAAATACTTATGACTCTATCAGTTTAGACAACTACTTTTCACAGTCTAAGTCTCAGTTTCTGTAGTAGCTAACCTGCAAAGATTGCCTCCCATAAAACACACCTCTTGTATTTATGCCCTCAGATAGTCCTCTATCCTTGAACCTGACTCATTTTAACCAAAGGGATGCCGCAGATGTTACACAAAGCTGGATCTGGGCCTAAGCCTTAGGAAGGCCTGGTGGCTTCTGCTTTTGGGGGCGTGAAGGTGCCATGTACGAAGTCAACATGGAGAGGCCATGTAGACAGAGAGAAGCTCTGAAACTGCATGAGGAGAGAGAAAGGACCTGTGTCCCAGCCGAGCCCAGCCTTCTGACTATTCCTGTCAAGGCATTAGACAAGCCCATTGAGCCTCATGGTAACTGTAGGCAATGCAGACATCCCAAGGAACAGAGGAACTGCCCAGCTGAACCCAGTCAGCTCACAGAATTCTAAGAGGTAACAAAACAGCTATTGTTTTAAGCCAGGGAGTTTTGAGATAGTTTGTAATGCAGCAACAGACAACTGAAACTGTTACCTTATCTCTCTACAATGAAAAGATGGTATGAGATCAGATTTCAAATTATTTTTAGACTCAGAATCCTAAACAAAATCTTATCTGGAAGCACAATATATGTATATCTGTGAGGAATGCTTTTTGAGACGCAAGGACAGAAAACTCTGCACTGGTTTAGACAATAGTGGCTTCTTCCTCACATGGCAAGAAGTCTGGAGCCAGGTGGTTGCCGGAATTGGTTCAGTGACTCACGGAGGTCAGAGCCAATGTTTCTGAGATTCCAGGCATTCCTGTGCTTACAGCCACATGGTCACAAGATTGCTGTTGTAGTGGCAGACATGATGTTAGCATGGAAGGGAGGAGGAAGACAGGAAAGGACCATATCAGCCACATATGTCCCTTTTTAGTAAGAAAATAAAAGCTTCCTAAAAACTTTAGCAGCAACTGCTAAAGTGGCTTATTCTCACATTTCATGGGCTAAAACTGGGTCATATGCCAATCCATAGCTTCCAGGGAGACTGAGAAACTGAGGAAGAGGATTGTCATGAATGACCTTGACCACACTCCATAGCTTGAAGTTGAGCCCATTTCCCTGCACACAAAAATCAGGGTCAGGAAGAAAGAGTGAGGGAAGGGTTCTGAGCAATAAATAACTAGCTTCTGAAACAATGTAAAAAAAAAAAAAAAAGCATAAAATGCAGTTAATCTGATTGAATTAGGGGAGATGGGGCATGTATTTCTATCAGCTCAGCTCCTCCTCTTTCCTGGCTATTTCCCGCTATATCCTGGATCCCAGGGGACTCCAACAAAACCCCAGTACTCCAGAGACCCACGTCTAAAAATCACTCAACTATATCTTAACAAATCTTCCTGCTCTAACATTCTGGAATCTGTACAGTCAATTGATGTAATTTCTTGTCGTTATCAATTTACATACTTTCTATATGGTGGGATAAGCATCTTAAATTTTACCACCTGTCTCAGATTGTGAGAGCTCCCCTTTCAGTATCATGATATTTCATTGTCATTCTTTCATTTATCAAGGTCCTTTAGGAAACCCTCATATCTCTCCCAAGTGTAAAACCAGTAACAGAATAAAAAATATTTTATCGGCCAGGCGTGGTGGCTCACGCCTGCAATCCTAGCACTTTGGGAGGCTGAGGCAAGTGGATTGCTTGAGCCCAAGAGTTTGAGACCAGCAAGCTGTGATCAAGCCATTGCACTCCAACCTGGGCTACAGAGGAAGACCCTGTCTCAAAAAATATATGTATATATTTTTTTCTTGATCATTGTTCCAGTGATCTTCACAAGTACTCTGTGAGGTAGGTATTATTACTCCCATTTTACGGATGAGGGAATGAAACTCAGGAAGACAAGAAACTGGACCACATTTACACAGTTCTGGAACTGCCACCCAAATCATCTGAGCCCATATCAAGAACTCTTTGTACTTACTAAATTCTACAATCTCAGACAAGCATCACGCCTGTAATCTCAGCACTTTGGGAAGCCGAGGCAGGTGGATTGCTTGAGCTCAGGAGTTCAACACCAGCCTGGGCAACATCAGAAAACCCTGTCTCTACCAAAAATACAAAGCAATAGCCCAGCATGGTGGTGCATGCCTGTAGTCCCAGCTATTTGGGAGGCTGAGGTGGGAGGATCGCTTGAGCCTGGGAGGCGGAGGTTGCAGTGAGCCGAGATTGTGCCACTGCCCTCCAGGCTGGGCGATGGAGGGGGGACCCTGTCTCAGAAAAAAGAAAGAAAGAAAAAGGGCTTAAGTTAATATTTAAAAATGTAAAAATATATTAAAAACAGAGGAAAAAAATTCTAGAATTCCTTCCAGTACCTGGGAGTAGAGTAGAGAAAAAGTCAAATGAGGTTTTTGCTCTCATGGTATTTATTTTCTAGATGAGAAAAACACTAAAAAGCACAAACTGGGGCAAGTAAATAAAGCCATGACTCTAGCTAGTACATTAAGGAAAAGATACAACAGGGCAAAGTGTTGAAAGAGTACTGTCAGGATAGGGTGGGAGCTCCTCTCAGCCGGGTTATTGGGGAAGCTTCTCCGAGAAAGTGGTCATTTGTGCTGAGAAAGTCTCAGCCATGAGACTGGGGAAAGAGCTCCAGGTCATCATGAAGAACTTGCGTATCTGAGGCATTTTAAGGAGACCACTGTGGTTGGACTGGTGGAAGGTAGGGAGGAACTGAGGCCAGAGGAGAGGTGAGAGAGGAGAGTGGGAGCCAGCTTGTTCATTTGTACACAACTGGTTACTTCACAAAGCCCACCTTCCCCAGGATGCTATTCAGAAGATGCACTCTGCTTTCACTTTTATCTCCTTTGAGGATCAAGAACTAGAAAGTTCAGACCCCATGATGCAGATTCTGGAACCTAGTGGTTTTCTAAAAGTAGGCTTGGAAGAGAAATGGAGACAGAGAGTCAAAGGATGAATCTTCCTAATCATCTTTCTTTCTTTTTTCTCATTTAGAAGCTGGCACTGACTAGATGAATCATTGTCTTTGCAGCTAAGAATTGCTGCGTCAAGAAGATATGACACTTTATTTTATGGGGCATACACTCCATCTGTAATATATCTCTCCTGGGGTTAGGGAGCCAGTGCAATGATACATGCTCCAAAATAGGCAGGAAGAGTCCTAATGTTCCTAGTTCCACAGCTTCAGAATTTATGGGATAAGCCCTGGCTTTCTATTAGAAACCAACAAATAGAATTGATAACTTTAAAATCCCTCTAGGGTAAGGCAAACAAATGGATTGATGTGTCTGCCAGCAATTAGCAATACCACAGCATTATTGCCCTAATAAACTTCACATAAGGCGTTTGGGTGTTTTTTTTTTTTTAAATTAAGATAAAGACTGGAATTAGAAAGTTAGATGTGCTCCTTTTAAGCTAGAGCACCAGAAAGCTTCCACAGACAAGGAGAATATTTTAGTGTGCAGGTGAGACCTGGAACCTCCACAGGGATTCCAACAAACCCCGAACATCATTTACAAGTTTTCTTTTTTTTGGGATGGAGACTCGCTCTGTTGCCCAGACTGGAGTGCAGTGGTGCAATCTCAGCTCACTGCAACCCCTGCCTCCTGTGTTCAAGCGATTCTCCTGCCTCAGCCTCCCAAGTTGCTGGGATTACAGGCACCTGGCACCACACCTGGCTAATTTTTGTATTTTCAGTAGAGACGGGGTTTCATCGTGTTGGCCAGGCTGGTCTCGAACTCCTGACTTCAGGTGATCTGCCCGCCTTGGCCTTCCAAAGTGCTGGGATTACAGGCGTGAGCCACCGTGCCCAGCACAAGTTTTCATAACAAGACACTGGGAAAGAAACTGGAGGTAAGCACCTTTGCCCTTTGATCAGAGGGCTAAGATACTTTTTTAAAAAGTTCAACATGATGGTGGTATAACCTGAAACAAACCAATGACTGAGGGGTTGATACTGTGCAAGCACCATCCTCACGTGCCTGCATACCTGACGATAATTGCTAGTGTCCCTTTACTGAGATGAAAGGTCACTAAAGACCCTCAAATGTTAAATACCTTGACCAGTGTCAATATTTTATTCTGCAGTCCTCAATGGAACAATAGTAAGCCATACAATAAGATGATGATGATGATGATGATGATGACGACTACTATGAAAACAATAGCTTCTGCCATTCACTGAGCATGTATTATGTGCCAGGAGCCTGACATGTTTTATCTCATTTAGCCCTTACAATACCCATGTAAGGTGGATAGTAGTATAACAGATATTATTATTATTATTATTTTTGAGATGCAGTTTCACTTTTGTTGCCCAGGCTGGAGTGCAATGGCATGATCTCAGCTCACTACAACCTCTGCCTGCCTCCCGAGTTCAAGTGATTCTCCTGCCTCAGCCTCCCAAGTAGCTGGGATTACAGGCACACGCCACCAGGCCTGGCTAATTTTGTGTAACAGATACTATTATAATACTGCGTGGTGTTACAATGCCCATTAAACTGCAAATAAAGCTGAGTCTAAGTGTTCAGTAACATTCCCAAGTTCACTGAGATACTTAGAGGAAGATTTAGAATTTTATGCTTTTGAATCTAGAGGATGTGAACTTAGTCACTACGCATTCAGACTCTCAAACAGCAGTTGTGCCAATATGATCAATTTTCTGTTTTTAAAGGTCACTGGAGAGCAGCCAGATGCTTCCACTGAAGCCGCTTCTCATTTTCAGTGAAGGGTCTTTTGCTTATCTGTTGCCCAGTGGCATAATCACAACTCACTGCAGCCTCTACCTTCTACCTTCCTGGATTCAAACACTCCTCCCATCTCAGCCTCTCAAATAGCTGGGGGCTACAGGCACATCCCACCATGCCCGGCTTTTAAATTTTTTTGTAGAGACGTAGTCTCATTTTGTCTTCCAGGCTGATTTTGAACTCCTGGCCTCAAGATATCCTCTCACCTAGGCCTCCCAATGTGCTGGGATTACAGGTGTGAGCACCATGCCCAACCTAATTCAGTTGCATTTCCAAGTTCACAGGTTCACAGTAAAGAAATATGTCAGGCCCAGACAGAGGCAGCCTAAAGTATATTCTAACTTGGTTGGCTAGTAGTCCATATTCCATGCCATATGGAAAGGCCAGTTTGCACATTGCTTGTTTTCTAGGAAAAATGCCATGAAAGAGTTCAAGCTTCTTAACAAAACAAAGGTAATCGCAGTAAAATTTCCCGTTTGGAAGGAAGGAAAGAAGGAACGGGAGAGGAAAGGGAAGAGGAAGAAAAAATGAAGAAAGGAAGGGAGGGAGAGAACACTTTCTACAGCATCCTAATGCACATCCATGGGTTGTCCTAAACCTCATTTAGGTTTCTGCAATGTCTAACAAAAACATTCCTAGGCTAGAAGAATTCTTGGCCGAAGATCAAGGGAGACGCCCTTCTACCTATCAGCCTCTGATCAATTAGTTCTTTTTGCAAGGTACTGAGAAACCAACTCAGGACTCCAAAAGATGGACATCAGTTAGAAAAGTTTTCATCAAAGCCCTTTTTATTTTCCACTCAAAATGCCATTAAGTAATATATTGGAACACAGACCCAGTAAACCTTCTCAGGTGCTTCCCCTCTCCTGGTCCATGCCCCCCATTCATGTGGGTCACCGTTCCATTCCCAGGGTGTGGGATCTGCTTCCTGAACTGTTGCCAAGGGGATGGGTTACACAACAGGAAGAGAGGAGGTGTTGCTCCTTATGGGCGTAAGCCTCGGCCAGTGGGAACAAACCAACGGGAAATGCAAGATAGGAGGGTGAGGAGCAGATGGATCTCCCCTGTTTTTCCTCTCCCAGGGACTATTTCCAGTCATAGTTCCCCTCTGCAACCCTTGCAGAAAGAACTGTGTGCAAACCAAACAAGCCTGCTGAGCGGCCCACGTGCCTCCTCATGACTGGCTTGAGATAGAAAGCATCACCTTGCTTCACATATTTCCTTGCCTGGCTTGTCTTTTGCCCTCACCATCTCGCTGGGTTTGAAACTCCCAGATCAAAATTGTAGTGCCTTCCTCATGACTGCACAGATACAGAACAAACTCTTTGAGCTGAACGGCTATTTGACCAAGTTCTTGCTTGTGGGATGTGAGCAGATGTGATATATGCAAATTCCAGAAAATGCCCCTAAAAACAAGCAAGTTTATACCTCTCCCTCAACACCCCTTCTCTCTCTATCATCCTCCTCCTCCCTTTCCTTTCTCTTTCTCTCTCTTCATCTATCGCCACCCCACACAATGGCTGAGAATTGGCAAGAGTTGGAACAATCTTGGATGCTATATATCAGTGGCATAATGAACCAGTCAATACTGTGTTTTTAAGTGAAAGAGACACAAACTTTTATATTTAAAATAAAATTGGACTGGGTGCAGTAGTTCATGCCTGTAATCCCAGCAGTTTGGGAGGCTGAGGCAGGAGAATTGCTTGAACCTAGGAGTTCAAGACTAGCCTGGGCAACACAGCAAGAAGACTCCATCTCTACAGAAACACAAAACAAAATGAACAATAATAATAATAATAATAATAATAATAATAATAAAATTGCATTAGGCACCTTAAGCTTTGCCTCAGGCTCTACTTTCTAAAGAACTCAAGCCAAAGCCAGTCTTAATTTGTATTTTGTTTGCCAGCTCTCTTCTGGTGAGGACCCTTTTTGTTTTTTGTTTTTTGGTTTTTGTTGAGATGGGGTCTTCCTCTGTTGCCCAGGCTGGAGTGCAGTGGCACAATCATGGCTCACTGCAGCCTCAATGCCGTGGGCTCAAGTGATCCTCCCACCTCAGCCTCCCAAGTAGCTGGGACTACAGGTGTGTACCACTGCACCCGGCTAATTTTTGTTTTAATTTACTTTTTGGTAGGGACAGGGTCTCACTATGTTGCCCAGGCGGGTCTCAAACTCCTGGGCTCAAGTGATCCACTCTCCTTGGTTTCTCAAAGTGCTGGGATTATAGGCATGAACCAACACACTCAACTGAGGACACTTTTTTGAATTCTACTAGAAGTCCCAGCTAAACTAGAAGTGCTGCTCTGATTTAGGAGGGCAAGTACATCTGAAAATAAATTCTTCCATGGTCGAGCATAAAGACATAACTTGGACCCAGCTTTTCCCTCTGCTGGATGACTTTCTTTCATGACTGAGATGATCGGCAGATGACATCTGAATGCAACTTCTTTCCTTCTCTTTGGAGTATTAGGCAGTTGGTTGCCTCTATTCTCAAATAGAAATATGACAAAGACAGAAAGTATGCTCAAATTCTCATGATGTAGAGAAAGACAGAAGTCTTAAGAACTTCCCAGGCTTTTATTCTCTTCCTGGTAAAAATTTTTAAATTAACTCTTAGGAATGAGCTAGCCCAGGCCTGGCAGTGCTATCTTTAGTGTTCAACTCTTGCAACATTAAAGAAAGACCCCTACAGAGCAAATGGCCAAGGCCTTGGCCAGCTGAGGCAGGATCAACCAGAAGTCCCCTGGCAAAATATCTAAATCTAAGGGCAATATATCTGGAAGTAGAAATTAGGTGGATTACGAAGACGATATGAGAAAAAAAAAAAGCCCCAAACATTTCCCTCTGATCCAGCAATTCTTTTAAGAATTTGCCTTAAGGAAATTATTAAACAGTTAGGATTACTATAAAATGATACTTACGATAGAGTTGTTCATGTTAATATAATAATACAAAAAAACCCCACAAATTAACAGAATATGCTGTTAGAAACAGTTATATAAATTCTAGTATATCCACGTGATGCAATACTAGGTTGTCATTCAAAATGATGATAGAGATTTCTATTTTTTGACCAGGCGCAGTGGCTCATGCCTGTAATCCTAGCACTTTGGGAGGCTGAGGTGGGCAGATCACCTGAGGTCAGGAGTTCAAGACCAGCCTGGCCAGGATGGTGAAACCCCATCTCTACTAAAAATACAAAAATTAGCTGGGTATGGTAGTGCATGCTTGAGTACCAGCTACTCAGGAGGCTGAGGCAGGAGAATCGCTTGAACCCAGGAGGCAGAGATTGCAGTGAGCCGAGATCGCACCACTGCACTCCAGCCTAGATGACACGGCAAGACTCTGTCTCAAAAAAAAAAAAAAAAATTATATTTCTCAAGCTGAAAAAGAAGCCCATGATATATATTATTTGACTTTTTTTAAAAAATGTTACTAAATGCAGTAAGATGGTGTCTGTATTCTAGAATAATCATTCTTGAAGTGTGGTCCCTTGACCAGCAGCCTCAGAGTCACTTAGGAACTTGATAAAAATGCAAATTCTTGACCTCATCTCAAACCCACTTAATCAGAAACTCTGACAGTCAAGTCCAGCAAGCTGTTTTAATCAACTCTCCAGGTGATTTTGAGGCATGCTAAAGATTGAAAACCACTGGTTTAGAACAAAGAGGAGGTTGCTAAAACATATTTGCAGGGGATAAGTAAGAGCCTTGTCTCCCCTTTGTTATTCTATGTTATTCTAACAAAGCCCAGTACCAGGGGTATTAGGTGGAATGGTCAGTAATAGAAAATACCAGCTCAAATGGTCTTAAACAATTGGTCAATTTGTTACTTCACATAAACTTGGAATATGGCAGGTTCCAGATCCTGTATTTAAGACTCCACCTCCATTTGTTCTGATTCTTTCATGGATTTGCTTCATTTTCGGCTGGCAGCCAGATGGCTGTTGCAGTTCCAGGCATCACATCCAGACATACCACATCCGGAGGCAAAAAGGGGCCGTCTCTGCTGGAGTCTCTTTAGCACTAAAAAACCATTCCCAGGAGCCCTCCACTACAGAGCTATGCCAGTGTTCCTCATATCTCATATTTTATTAGCCAGCCTGGGTCACATGCTCATCCCTAAGCTAATTGCTGGTGAGAGGAATAAGAAAGCCCTGATTAGGGCTGGGCACCATGGCTCACACCTGTAATCCCAGCACTTTGGGAGGTTGCGGCTGGAGGATCACTTGAGGTCAGGAGTTTGAGACTAGCCTGGCCAATATGGTGAAATCTCATCTCTACTAAAAAATACAAAAATTAGCCAGGTATGGTGGCTCGTGCCTGTAATCCCAGCTCCTCAGGAGGCTGAGGCAGGAGAATTACTTGAGCCCAGGAGGTGGAGGCTGCAGTGAGCCAAGATCGCACCACTGCAGTCCAGCCTGGGGCGACAGAGAAAGACTGTCTCAAAAAAAAAGAGAAAGCCCTGATTAGCTTAGATGAAACAAGATTCGCCCCTAAGCTAGGGATAAGATCACCTTCCCTGCTGAACATGCTGAACAAAACTGAGGTCCTGCTAGAAAGACAGAAAGGGAGAAAATGGCTTTTTTTTTGACAGAGCTTCGCTCTCGTTGCCCAGGCTGGAGTGCAGTGGCGCAATCTTGGCTCACAGCAACCTCTGCCGCCCGGGTTCAAGCGATTCTCCTGCCTCGGCCTCCCAAGTAGCGGGAATTACAGGCATGTGCCACCACGCCTGGCTAATTTTTCTATTTTTAGTAGAGACAGGGTTTCACCATGATGGTCAGGCTAGTCTCGAACTCCTGACCTCAGGTAATCCACCCACCTTGACCTCCCAAAGTGCTGGGATTACAGTTGTGAGCCACTGTGCCCAGCCTGAAAACAGCTTTGGGGTAAAAAACAAACTGCCTGCTACATTTGATCTAGGCTCAAAACAGCTTTTCTGTATTTTTCTATAAAACCCATGACTGCCACAAGTAACTTGTTAGGTGTGTTTTAAAAAATGGAGGTTGCTGGGTTTGTTTTGTTTTGTTTCTAGCCATTTCCTGTTTTGGAAATGACTCTTGAGTTTCAAGAGGAAGAAGAATTATGTCATACAAGGTTTTCTTTCTTCTTTTCTTTTAAGGCAGCTTCAAAGACTGACAATACTCCCGGCCCCTCCACTGTCTGGGCCGCTGTGCAACCTTCCAAGTGTGAAGTGACAGCCTTGTGTGTGATCTTTCTGCCTTCCCCAAGTTTGCATTTTTGACATTAAAGTTTACTTTTTAATTAAAAAAAAAAAAAGACTGACAATACTATGTGCTAGCAAATTGGTACAAACACTTTGAAAAACTCTTTGGTATTATCTACCAAAGCTAAATATTCATTTATCCTATGCCCAAGCAATTTCACTCCTAGGAATTCTGAGAGACATGTGTGCATTGGTGTGCCAAAAAAAAAAAAAAAAAAAAAAAGTTCATAACAGCTTTCTTCACAACAGCACCCAACTGGAAACAATTTACATATGTATAAACAAAATACGGATCGATCAGTTGTGGTAGAGACATACAAAGAAATAGGACACAATACTGAAAACGAACAAGGTGCGGCTACTTCCAACAGCATGAATGTATCTCACAGATACCAGATCAAATGAAAGAAGTCAGACATAAAATAACAGATACCATATGATTCTATTACATGAAGTTCAAAAACAGGCAAATTCAATCTAAGGTGATGGAAGTCAGGAAGAGTTGTTACCTACACTGAAAAAGAAAAATTTCAAAGGTGGTCTTGCCTCACCAGACCAATAGATTTTATAATCAAAGCAGTGCAACGGGTGCAAAAAAAAAAAAAAAAAAAAAAAAAAAAAAGACAAATAGACTTGTGGAATAAAATGCCCAAATATAGATTCAAATTGAAATGAACACTTTTAGCGTATGATAAAGATGGCACTTCAAATCACTGGGGCAAAGACAGATTTTTACTAAATAGGGCTGAGAAAAATGAATAGCCACTTGTAAAAGATAAAATTAAATGCATATTTCCCATCACGCACAAGAATAAACTCCAAATGGACCAGGAAGCTAAATGAAAAAGGAAAAAATAAGTAAAACTATACATATACTAAAAGAAAACATGGGTGAATTCCTCATTAACCTTAATGTAGGGAAAGACTTTATAATGACTCAAAAATCCTGAGGCAGTAAAAGAGGGATAAATTTGACCGCATAATGTGTATTTTGTCACACACATTAACAATTATGTATGACAAAAAGACAACTGGACAAACCTAAAGAAAATATTTGCAATATGTATATATAAAAAAAAGACTAATATCTCTAGCTGGGTGTGGTGGCTCACACCTGTAATCCTAGCACTTTGGGAGGCTGAGGTGGACAGATTGCCTGAGCTCAGGAGTTCAAGAACAGCCTGGGCAACAGGGTGAAACACCGTGTCTACGAAAATAAAATAATAAAAAATATTAGTCGGGCATGGTGGTGCACGCCTGTACTCCCAGCTACTCAGGAGGTTGAGGCACGAGAATCACTTGAACCCAGAAGGCGGAGGTTGTAGTGAGCAGAGATCACGCCACTGCACTCCAGCCTGGGCAACAGAGCAAGACTCTGTTTCCAAAAAGAGAGAGAGAACATTTTGAAATTAGATTAAAACTAATAAAAGAAGGGGAAAGACACATGGACAGACAATTCAGCACAAAAAATACATATGTACAGATGGTCCTTAAAAATACATATGTACAGATGTACAGTTGACAAGATGTGCAAACTGCCCCCCAATTAGATAAATGTAAATTAAAACTATATTGAAATACCATTCCCCACCTGCTAGATTTGTAAAAATCAAAAGGTATGACACCCTGGGCGTGGTGGCTCACTCCTGTAATCCCAGCACTTTAGGAGGCCAGGGTGAGCAGATCACTTGAGCCCAAGAGTTTGAGACCAGCCTAGGCAACATGGTGAAACCCCAATCTCTTTAAACAATATAAAAATCAGCCAGGCATGGTGGCGTTCACCTGTGGTCCCAGCTACTCAGGAGGCTGAGGTGGGAGGATCACTTGGGCCTGGGTGGTCGAGGCTGCAGTGAGTCATGATCAAGCCACTGCACTCCAGCAGGGGTGACAGAGCGAGACCCTGTCTCAAAAAAAAAGTATGACAAATCATTCTGATAGCAAGATCATAGGGAAATAGACACTGTCATACACTGCTGATGGAAATACATGATAGTACAATCCCTACAGAGGGGAATTTGGAACTACCTGACAAAACTACCCACTAACATGTTGAGCCAGCAATTCCCTTTCTAGCAATTCATAGTGGAGACACATTTCCAACAATATAAAAATACACACAAATAATTACAGCATTGTTTGTCATTGTAAAATATTGGAAACCACCTACATGCCCACAGATGGGATACTGGATGAATAAACTGAAGCACACTCACACAATGGAGTATTGTGTTGCTGTAAAAAGAGAATGAGGAAGCTCTCAATGAACTGGTATAAAGTAATTTCCAATAGCATGTTTCAAGTGAAAAAACAGAGTATCTGTAGTAGGCTACCTCTGTGTAAGAAAGAAGGAGATGAAAGGAAATATACAAGGGATGGACACCATGGAAACTAATGAGACTGATTAACAACAGAAAAGTGGAAATGGGGTGGAAAGAATGGGGAAATGGGAGTGGGGTGGAACATATGAAAGGAGAATGACATACTTCTGAGTATAGTTCTAGATTCCAGAATCATGGTAATGTTTTACATCCTAAGGAAATAAATACATAATTGAAATCAACCAGAATGTAGGGAGAAAACAAACAGAATACAAACATTAACAAATAAAACTGAGACACCACTAACAATAATCACTGGGTGTAGGGGTTGAGCAAACTAACCTAAGTAAATTTAGAACACAATATTTTTTTTTTGCTACGTATTACAAGACTAAAAAAATGTACACAAATATTGTATTCTAGTTAAATTTTATCTTCAGAGGGGTATGGATTACCAACTCTGAAGCTATGCTATGTGTGTTCATGTGCCACCACACCCAGCTAATTATTAAATTTTTTGTAGAGACAAGATCTCACCATGCTGCCCATGATGATCTTGAACTTCTGAGCTCAAGTGATCCTCCCGCCTCATCCTCCCAAAGTGCTAGGATTACAGTCATAAGCCACCACGCCCAGCCAGAACCACAGTTTTATAGACATAGCTACACAGCTATACAGATAGATGTAGAAATAGAAGTAGATGCGTGTGTATGTTAGTATACACATGTATGTGTCCAAGTGCTTTCTGCTCAAAGGACCTAGAAGCAACAAAAGAAATGACACCTCACAAGCAATGAGCCCAGGTCTGTCTCTATGCCATTCCCCAGTGAAAATAATAAGGGTGTCTTGGCTGCTCACAGTGGCTCATGCCTGCAATCCCAGTACTTTGGGAGGCCGAGATGGGAGAATCACTTGAGGCCATAAGTTTGAGACCAGCCTGGTCAATGTAGCGAGACCCCATCTCTAGTTTTTTATTATTAAAAAGAATAAGAGCTTCTTAAAGAAATGATTGATTCCAGCACTGGGGCAGGAAAAGCACAAGACGAGTCTGGAACATCTTATGGTTGCAGAAAGTAGACACAGGAGCAAGCATGAAGGCAATCCCAATGACCAAAGCTGGGACAATGTGAGCAACAAACACTGGCAGTGATGGGTTATAACACAAAAAATAAAAGAAAATAACCGTGAGTACAGGCTGACACTAAATGAATAGTTGGTAAATAAATATATAACATATATAATTATAAAACAATTTTAAATGTACTTATTAAATTATATTTAGTATATAAAATTTAAGTAACACATTTAAATATTAAGTATATAATTGAATAAAGAAGTAAATGGGGGCTGGGCGCGGTGGGTCACGTCTGTAATCCCAGCACTCTAGGATGTCAAGGCGAGCAGATCATTTGAGGCCAGGAGCTGAAGACCAGCCTGACCAACATGGCAAAACCCCATCCTAAAAATACAAAAAATTAACCAGGCGTGGTGGCGCATACCTGTAGTCCCAGCTACTCAGGAGGGTGAGGGACGAGAATCACTTGAACCTGGAAGGTGAAGGTTGCAGTGAGCTGAGATCGCGCCACTGCACTCCAGCCTGGGTGAAAGAGCAAGACTGCCTCGGAAAAAAAAAAGTAGGCCGGGTGCTCACGCCTGTAATCCCAGCACCTTGGGAGGCTGAGGCGGATGGATCACTTGAGGTTCAACACCAGCCTGGCCAACATGGTGAAACCCCGTCTCCACTAAAAACACAAAAATTACCCAGGTGTGGTGGCGGGTGCCTGTAATCCCAGCTACTCGGGAGGCTGAGGCAGGAGAATTATTTGAACCTGGGAGGCAAAGGTTGCAGTGAGCTGAGATCACGTCACTGAACTCCAGCCTGGGCAATAAGCAAGACTCAGTCTTTAAAAAAAAAAAAAAAAATTAAATGGGGAGAAGGGATACCTCTTTCTTACAATAGAATTCCAATTCATAAATGTAGAAGGAATGATCAAAGTAGAGAACCACTATTTGGCAAACAGCAATAATGGGTGCTAAAATTAGTAGGTAAATGTATGATGAGTAACAAGATATTTGCATCATTTCAAAATATCTCCCAACAAGATATTTATTAATTAGAAAGGCAGAAATAATAACTTTAAAGTTGAGAGATCTGGAAGATATCGCCTTTATCATGTGATCAAGGCTAACATCACTACCAGTGAGACATCATCATGTACCTCCAGATAGTAAGCACTAAGAAGGGCGTAAGATCTCTGTCACAGCATTGCCAAAAATGCATAGCCTGAATTTAATCATGAGGAAACATCACACAAACTTAAATTGAGGGATATTATATAAAATAACTGACCAGCCTCTTAAACTGTCATAAAAGACAGGAAGGACAGAGGAACTGTTCCAGATTGCATTAGGCTAAAGAAACATAACAACAGGATACAATGTGTGAACCTGGCATTGATCCTGGACCAGAAAAAAAGATATTCGTGGAAAAATTGGTGAAAGGTCTACAAGGTCTATAGAATTCTATTGACGTTAATTTCCTGGTTTTTATAAGTATTTCATGACTTGGGAAAGGTGAGTGAAGAGTAGGCAGGGATACTTTATACTACTTGGCAATTTTTTTGTAAGGCTGAAATTATTTCAAAATGAAAAGTTAAAAAAAATTTAAATATTAGTTATCCTTGGAGGAAGTACCAATTAGGAAGAGTATGAGAAAACCTCGGTGCTGGAAATATTCTCCATCTTGATCTGGGTTGGAGGTATGTGGTTGTATACTTTATTTACTTACTGATATTTTTATTTTTATTTTTTGAGACAGAGTCTCATTCTGTCGTCCAGGCTAGAGTGCAATGGTGCCATTATGGATCCCTGCAGCCTACACCTCCCAGGCTCAAGCGATCCTCCCACCTCAGCCTCCTAAGTAGCTGGGAATACAGGTACATGCCACTATGCCCAACTAATTTTTTTTTTTTTTTTTTTTTTGGAGAAACAAAGTCTCTCTATGTTGCCCAGGTGGTCTCAAACTCTTGAGCTCAAGCAATCCTCCCTCCTCAGCCTCCCAGTGTTGGGATTATAGGCATGAGCCACTGCATGCTGCATGTGTACATGTTTAAATTATGCAGAGCACTGAACACTTAAGATTTATGCACTTTGCTATAGGTACGTTATTCCTGAATTTTTCTAAGTGTTGATAAAAACCTACACAGATTTACTTCAGCCAAGTAAAGTTAAAGAGTAAGGCTGGGCGCAATGGCTGATGCCTGTAATCCCAGCACTTTGGGGGGCCAAGGCTGGTGGATCACCTAAGGTCAGGAGTTGGAGACCAGCCTGGCCAACATGGTGAAACCCTGTCTCAACCAAAAATAGAAAAATTAGCTGGGCATTGTGGTGGGTGCCTGTAATTCCAGCTACTCAGTAGGTTGAGGCAGGAGAATCTTTGAACCCGGGAGACAGAGGTTGCAGTGAGCCGAGATAGCGCCACTGTACTCCAGCCTGGGTGACAAAGTGAGACTTCATCTCAAAAAAAAAAAAAAGTTGAGGAGTAAGCTCAGTGATTTACATTGAGCTAGGCTCCATAAAAGTCCAGAAAACTGGATGCAGCGGCTCATGTCTGTAATCCCAGCATGTTGGGAGGTCAAGGTGGGCAGATCACTTGAGGTCAGGAGTTCGAGACCAGCCTGGCCAACATGGTGAAACCTTGTTTCCACTAAACATACAAAATTAGCCGGGTGTGGTGGCATTGATCCTTCATGACCTAATAGCAGAGGAAATTATAGTACCATTCTAATTTTTTTTAAAAGATAAGGAAACCAAGTCTCAGGGAAATGAGAAGACATTGGCCCCCCAGCCAGAAACTGGCAAAGCAAGCATTGCCAAGCTGGCTGTGTCTAACTTCCAAGTCCAGAACGTTTCCTGCATCCCACATTGCCTCAAACAGGAAGATTTTGACTTTTATTTTTTAAAAAATGAATTCTGAGTTATTTTCTATAGCTGTAATTGTTAAAACCTGAACTCTGGTCACATTTAGCTGCATGCTATTTTTAAAAAACCACAAAAAGGAACAAGATAATGTCCTTTGCAAGGACATGGATAGAGCTGGATGCCATGATCCTCAGCAAACTAACGCAGGAAAAGAAACTGAAATACCCCATGTTCTCACTTGTAAGTGGGAGCTGAACAATGAGAACACATGGACACATGAGGGGAAACAACACACACTGAGGCCTGTCAGGGGGCTGTGGGGATGGAGAGCATGAGGAAGAATAGCTAATGGATGCTGGGCTTAATACCTAGGTGATGGGTTGATCTGTGCAGCAAATCACCATGGCACATGTTTACCTATGTAACAAACCCGCACATCCTGCCCATGTACCCGAGAAATTAAAATAAAAGTTGAGGGAAAATATGCCTAATTAAAGAAAATTTTGGACACTTAGTTCTTTTTTATTTAAAAAAGAAAATGAGACTTCAAATATTGGAAGAAAAACCTCAAGTCCAGCTTTTATCAACTAGACTTTTTTTTCTCCTTTGGCTAACTTTTGGGTTTCACTTCATTAACTTTCCCTTTAATTTAAGTTGATCTATCACTAATCATAACAAGATAATAGAACAAGTTCAGATAGACTCACTGCCAAGTCAATGGACAATGACTAATTTCTTAGCAAAGTGCTTCTTTGTATTACTTTGCCACACATATTAGAAACTGGTCTATTGCACCTCAAACATCTTTTATTGCAATTAGTCCAGGAATCCGGAAATCACCTCAATGGATTCATGGATTCACATAGTTTAGCTGTGTCCTCTGTGGGCTGCCTATTGTTTAAGACCACCAGCCTTAAAATCTGATATACCTAGTGCAAGTCCTGGGTCTGTTGAGTTGTTGTTGTTGTTTTGTTTTTTTTCCAATGGTATACCTTGGGCAGTGTATTTAACTTCCCTGAAATCTAATTTTCTTATCATTAAGGTGAGATAACTATTACTCCTTACTGTCCTTGGGTTGCTGGAGGAATAAATGAGATAAAGCCTGTAAAACACTTCGCATATTCCTTGGCACGTAATCATTGTTAACTATTATTATTATCTGACACTAATCTAAGCTGACTGGTATTATATTCATTGTTCAATTGCTCATTCCAGGCGGCTTCACTGAGGACCTACTATGCACAAAACACTTTGAAGGATATCCTTTTATTATGTCAAAGCAAAATAATTTTACTCTGGAATTCATTCTAAAGACGGTGAATGTCACAGAAACAGAAAACCAAATACTGAATGTTCTCACCTGTAAGTGGGAGCTAAACATTGGGTACTTATGGACATAAAGATGGCAACAATAGACACTGGGGACTACTGGCTGGTGGAGGGAGGGAGTAGGGGCAAGGGCTGAAAGACTGTTGGATACTATGCTTAGTACCTGAGTGACAGGATCATTCATAACCCAAACTTCAGGATCACATCATATACCCAAGTAACAAACCGGCACTTGTACCCCCTGAATCTAAAATAAAAGCAGAGAGAAGGGAAGGGAAGGGGAGGGGAGAGGAGGAAGGAAAGAAGGAAAGTTGTTGAGTGTGTGTCTACAAAGTACCAGCCATGGTATCAGGTGTGGGGAAAACAGTGGCAAATAAGACAAAGTCCCTGAGCTCCTGATGCTTATGTTCTACTGAGAAGAAATAGACAATAAACAAGTAAACAAAAACACAAGATGATTGCAGTCAGTGGAGAAGGTAAAACAGGTTTACGTGATGGAGAGTGCCTGAGGGAGCCACTGGTTGTCTATGGAAGCCTCTCGTTTTCTGCCCTTTCTGCCCTGACCTCTCTGATTGCTTAACTGCTCGAGGAGCTCGAGCAGACACATTGGAATGGAAGTAGGAGACACAGATGGAAGGGGCTTTGATACTGGGCACCATTCTTTCTACACCAGCTTCTCTTGTCTAAGCCACTGTTATTTTGTGGTTTTGGCCCTCATCATCTAGCTTAATAATAACCAAAACAGTTACTTTCTTCTGAGGACATTTCAGCTCCCAAAATAAACAAATATGAAAGTCTGGAAGAAATTGAGAGTTTGATTCATAAAAGTAGAATGTCAGAAATTACAAAGTACAGTAGTAACAATTTAGGTATATTTTGTGAGTATCTTTAATTAGCATTTATTGATTACTAATTTGTAAAGCATCATTCATATTCTTTTAAACATCACAGTAACTTTGTAAATTACCTACCTTGAGCCTCATTTGAAAGACAGACAAACATAATCCGAGCAAACAAAAAACTTCTTAAATAAGTGACTCAGCCAAGATTTGAACCCAGGTATGAGTGAGCTTTGGGTCCAAATGCCTAACTCCTTCCTCATACCATCTCTAGAGTTAACAGGAAAGTAGAAATGAACTGAAAAGATAGAGGCACGTGACAGAGATAAAGGAAGTATCAAATAAATGACATGCATAAAAGGAGGTGAGAGCAAGAAGGACGATGGAAATGAAGAAATGGTGAAGGCCACGTACATGGTCCTCTCGCTGGTGACTTGTTCTAAAATTGTGTGGCTGGAGACAATCATACACATTACAAATGAAAGCACTGTCTTATAATCTAAGGGTACTACCCAGTGCAGGATTTCCTACCTAGGAAAGAAAGCACTCAAGCTTTGTTCTATGGCAAGGTATGGCTTTTGGGCCAAGATGTGCCTGAAGTCTGTTTTTATAAATAAAGTTGTATTGACACAAAGCCATACCCATTCATTTATGTGTTGTCTCTGACTCTTTCACACTATAACGGCAGAGATGAATAACTGCAACAAAGACCTTATGAACCTCAAAGCCTTAAATATTTACTATCAGGCCTGATACAGGAAAAGTTTGCCAACCCCTGATCGATGATATAGCTGACAATCCAAAGATCTCCCTGGTTATACTATTGCAAGCTCTCCTAACACATCAAGCTGAAGCATTGGGAACAACAATCTATTTCCTCTACTTTTTCCACTTTTGAACATATACTATTCAGGGGAAATGCTGAACTTCTATATCCTAATGAAAACTTAAATTAAATTCTCAGCAAAACCAAATCCATTCTGACTCCCCTCCTATGTGTGAGTGATCCATTTAATTCCCAGTATCTCTGAGACCGTACCAGGAGACACTTCCTGAATCTTGTCAGCATACGTTTTCATATACACCTGCTACCTTGCTTAAAAACATGACAGTAGCTTTAATTAAGCTTAAATCCACTGATTCAATTTTTATTAAATCATAATAAACTAAAGCAAAAGAAAATAGGGAAACTTGCTACAGGGAAGATGGCTTGTAGAATGTCATTGGTAAATACAGTGAAAAAGGGCATCTTGGCTATATTTTTGAACTGGCAGAAAACTGCAGTGGTTACATTATTCAGGAGTAATATAATACTCTCACACATTCCCGGAGGGCAGAACCTGGGGTTTTAATCATTTAGTAGTGCACTTGCATCGAATCTTGCAGATTTGTCAAATGCCATAAATGAACCACGATTTCATCTATTTTGCTCTTTTGGGGCCCGCTCAATTTTTTATCCACAGCATGAGCATAGAAAGTTGGGAAGAGAAAGCATCTTTCCCAAGAACTCCCAAATCTCCAGGTTCTGGCCAAGCTGTTTGAGAAAGAAGTTGGCGATGGACTTCAGATACCTCCTATAATCCAGGTTTCCCAGAAGCCTATGAAACCGCCTTTGTGAAGATTATGACAGTGAGAAAGTCTAGCATGGCTGACTCCTTCTTGCTTCTAGCCTCACAGGCTGGCTGTCCTCGCTTATTCCCAGGCACAAGCCAAGCTAACCATGGGAGGAATTTACTTTATGGTTTAACATTAAAGAAAGGATGATAATAGTCCTTCCCTAAAACTGACACTCTCCTTGTTCAGGGACTGAAACTGCCTTTGTAAGACTAATGAAAAGCCACAGGCTGGGCAAAGTGGCTCATGCCTGTAATCCCAGCATTTTGAGAGGCCAAGGCAGGAAGATTGCTTGAGCTCAGGAGTTCAAGACCAGCCTGGACAACAAAGCAAGACTCCATCCCTACAAAAAATTTAAAAATTAGCTGGGCATGGTAGTAAGTGCCTGTAGTCCTGACTACTCAGGAGGCTGAGGCAGGAGGATCACTTGTGCCCAGGAGTTTGAGATTGCAGTGAGCTATGATCGCATTACTGCATTCCAGCCTGGGTGACACAGCAAGTCTCTGCCTCAAACAAAACAAAACAAAACAAAACAAAACAAAACAAAACAAAGGCCTCAAGATTAGAATTATAGGAGTGGCTTGAATTTTGCTAAAAATGTAAGTGTAGCTTGCCCCTCTATAATTGGTTACTGTGCTGGAGGTCCTACTTCCCCAATTGCTTCTATAGATAACATCACTATTGTAGAACCTAAGGTTGGTCTTTTGAGATGTTTTTCAAACTTCTGCATTCTAGTGACCAACTGACTTCACTTGGACCCATGGCTCATGATAGCTGGTCCTGTGGTCCCCACCCAGAGGCTGATTCTGTGCAAGAGGATCATTTTCCACATTCCTATAATTTCATCCCCAATAAATCAGCAGCACACATTCCCTATCCCCCGCTAGCCAAAGTGTCCATGAAAACCCCAGCCTTTGAATTCTGACAGACTAAATTTGAGTAATAAACTTCCCATCCTTCCATTTGGCTAGCTCTAAGTTAATTAAACTCTTTCTCTATTATAATACCACTGTCTCAGTGAATTGGTTTTTTCTGCACAGTGGGCAAGATGAGCTCATTCGGTGATTACACCTCCTTTAAGGCAGGAGAAGCAGAAATAACTGCAACATTGAAATTTTTTCTGGGCCTCTAATGGGAACCACTTTTGGTGATGTTTGATTTACATGCTTGGTTCACAGTGGCCATGTGCATCTTATGACGCTTGCCTCGATGTGATCCTTTTCCTGTGTAATTTCAGCCATGTGTCATTTCTGTTTCTTCTTGGCTTTAGTCACACTATCATAAGGCTTTCCGGGGTAGGGGGAAGTGTACAATCAATCTCCCTGGGGATTATTCACTGGGTGGATTATACATGGTGTGTTTCTTATCCCAGCTGGAGTCTCACATACCACCAAACATGAGCTCAGCAACACACTCCTCCATCATCTTGTGTGTTTGGGAAACAAAAACCAGTTTGAATGAGTTAACTCTGGCATCCACCTAAGAAAAACAGTAAAGCTGGGCAATTAAGAGGACAGAATTTAGCAGTAAGACCAACTTGATTCCAGACATCAGTTTTGCCTCTGCCTGGCTGTATGGCCTGAAGTCACTTAACTATTCTGAACCTCTGTTTCCTCATTTTAAAAATAGTCTGGCAATACTCAGTTCCCAGGCTTGCTGAGGGTTAAACAAGTACACACATACAGAGAATTTAGCTTAGACTAGAGAGGTGAAGGAGAAGGATTGCTTGAGCCCAGGAGTGTGAGTTCAGCCTAGGCAACATAGCAAGATACATCTCACAAAAAAAAAAAAAAAAAAAAAAAAAAGAAAGAAAGAAAGAAAGAAAGAAAAAAGATCTTTAGAATAAATGTTCATGAAGAAGACTAAATTTTCCTCTGAGAAATTTTGAAAAAAAATCAACAAAGCAATAGCAATATGACCAAAAGACATTGACAGGTCACAAAAAAAAAATATAAGGGTCTCTTAACCATATAAAAAGACATTTAATCTCATTTTTGTTTTGTTTTTGAGACAGGGTCTCACTCTGTTCCCCAGGCTGGAGTGCAGTGGTGCGATCATGGCTCACTGCAGCCTCAACCTCCCTGGGCTCATGTGATCCTCCCACCTTAGCCTCCTGAGTTTCTGGGACAACAGGCACATACCACCACAGCTGGTTACTTTTTCTATTTTTTGTAGAGACAGGGTTTCACCACGTTGTCTAGGTTGGTCTCAAACTCCTTGGCTCAAGCAGTGCACCCACCCCAGCCTTTCAGTGCTAAGATTACAGGCGTGAGCCAACACACCTGGCCTAACCTCACTTTTAATTAGAAAAATCCACATCAAAGCTATGCAGGGATATCATTTTTTTCCCTATCAAGTTGGCAAAAATCCAATCCAAAAGTTTTACAACATATCTTATAATCAATAGGAGAATTAAGCACTCTCATCCATTGCTGGTGAGAGTCCAAAATGGTGCAACGCTTTGGGGAGCTGATTGGCAATCCCTATCAAAATTACAAATGCATTTATTTTTTTACTCAGCAATTTCACTCCTGGGAATTTGTTTTACAGCTAAACCTAAACCAGCACTATATGAAGTTTCAGATACACCCTTGTATCGATTGTAGAGTTGTGTGTGAGCCAGAGGCTGGGAATACCCAAACACTCATCTAGAGATGAGTGGGTGAATAAGCCACAGTACTTCCATACAATATTCACAGCTATGAAAAAGAGAATGAAGTTCCCTATGCCCTGTGAAATGTCACAGGAAAACAATTAAGTGAAAAAGGTAGCATGCAAAACAGTAATATAGTATGCGAACTTCTACGTAAAAGGAGGGAAAATAAGAATATATTTATATCTGCACAAAAATAAATACCAGAAGGCTCTGCAGAAAATTAATAAGAGTGGTTACATACAGGAGGCCGAAGGGTAGTAAATTAGGTAGGTTGGGTCAGGAATTAGAGTAAGACTTTTGATTCCACTTTTATTTTTGAACCATGTGACTAAATTATCAACTCAAAAAATTAAATCAAGCTAAAGAAAATGATTAATGTCTTCTAAAATGAAAAAAGACTTCCAAAATCAGTTGGAACTCATATTTGAATTACCTGTCATTTTGGATATACTGTATTTATGGCCCCTTGCTGGGTTGTAAACCTTGAAGATGGAGCATGCCTTATATAAACATCACTATAACCTGGGTGGCCAGCCATATGTCTTCCTCTCCATCAGAGTTAAGTGAATACTTTTTACTAAACCAATGAATACATGAATGAACTTGCGGCTTTCAGGTGCAGAGACAATGATCATTAGCTGACTATCAGAAAACTATCAAACAGTCAAGAAATGACATGAAAACAATGAAATTTTTCTTTCTTTCTTTCTTTCTTTCCTTTTTTTTTTTTTTTTTGACAAAAGACAGAGTCTTGCTCTGTCACCCAGGCTGAAGTGTAGTGGCACAATCACTGCTCACTGCAGCCTCCATTCCCAAACCCAAGCAATCCTCCTACCTCAGCCTCCTGAGTAGCTGGGACCACAGGTGTGTACCACCACATCCAGCTACTTTTTATATTTTTCATAGAGACAGGATCTCCCTATGTTTCCCAGGCTGGTCTCAAACTCCTGGGCTCAAGCAATCCACCTACCTCGGCCTCCTGAGTAGCTGGGACTACAGATGGTGCACCACCATACCTGGCTAATATTGTTTATTTTTTTGTAGAGAAGGGGTCTTGCTATGTTGCCGGGGCTGGTCTCAAACTCCTAGTATCAAGTGATCCTCCCTCCTCGGCCTCCCAAACTGCTTCAGTTAGAGACATGAACCACCATGCCCCGCCAAAATGTTCATTTTTATAATGGGAAGTAGAAAGTAGACCCACTGAAGAGCTCGACAGAAAAGGAAAAAACCCAACAACTATAAATGTATTCCGTCTCTGAACTCTACAAACTACTCTAATCCAGTTTCCTCTGGGGGACTACATTTGAAACTGAAACCCAAACGCAACAGCAGCGCTTTCTTGACAAAGCTGGAAAAGTCCACAATTCTGCCGCTGTTCCTGTCAAACCTGAGGAGTGCCTTGTTAGGTCAGAGAACAAATTTCTAGACAGAACTTTCGACTCTTTCCTCATCACCAATTCCCTTAATAAGCATCGGGGGGAAGATCGTCCCAAACAGATGACTGATAAGATGTTTCCTATGCCCAGAAGACAATAAAAATTTGTTCATCCACACTTTTACTTCCTGGATCCACAATAATTTATTTTAAAATGTCATCTCCCTTACTGCAGGGTGGCTGATTTATAGATTAGGCATCTGTTTCATATAAAGGTCCCCAAATGGAACAACAATCTTATGTTTTAACAAAACAGAGAACTCGTTTCATAAATCACTTCCAGCCTATCTGGTATCTCACACTGAATATCTTTTAAATCCAAGCAGATTTCCTTCTCTTCAGAGCTTGTCCTGCAAGTTGCTATCAAGAACAGGAAAGCACACATATACTTCAAGCTGTTGCAAGACTCCAAAGAAGTGTGGTGGCTCATGCCTGTAATGCCAGCACTTTTGGAGGCCAAGACAGGCAGCTTGCTTGAGCCCAGGAGTTCAAGACCAGTCTGGGCAACATGGTGAAACCCCATCTCTACAAAAAATACAAAAATCAGCCGGACATGGTGGTGCGCACCTATGTAGTTCAGCTACTCGGGAGGCTGAGGTGGGAGGATTCTTTGAGCCAGGGAGGTGGGAGCTGCAGTGAGCTGTGATCACGCCACTGCACACCAGCCTGGGTGAGAGTGAGACCCTGACTCAAAACAAAAACAATAACAAAAACAAAGAAGCAATAATAAATCTAGAAATCAGTCTCTCTCTCTTTATTTTTATCCTATAATAAAACCATTTTAAAATATTTTCAGGATGAAAACATTTAAGATAGTCAATGTCCTCAGAAAGCTCCTAACCCAGAAATTTGCAAACAAATGGAATTAGTTGGTCACTCCCTATTGCCTCGCCCACAGCAGACATGCCTAATTCATTGATCCTTTCCCACTGAGCTTGCTGAGGCCCTGCTGTACTTCTCAACCCAAAGTTCCAGGCAGCCTCTATCAGGAACAGCAATTAATATGCAGGATGGAATAATCCAATTCAATCACTTTTATGGTAGCAGAACTGAGAAATAGAAGAGGTAAAAGACATTGCCAACATCACACAGTGAATCAGCGATGCACCTGAAATATATTCTTAAGTACTGGCTCTAGCATTCTTCTTTGCCTACACCACCACATGACTTACATTACCGAGGTCAAATTTGAGTTTGTTCTATGTCTGTGTGTGATCTTTGTTTTACAACAGAGCAATTCTCCTTTCTAAAAAAAAAAAAAAAAAAAAAAAAAAAAAAAAAAAATCCTTACACATCAAAAAAAACATATGCTGCTTTCCAAATAAAGAATTTACTTGGCTGGGCACGGTGGCTCATGCCTATAATTCCAGCACTTTCGGAGGCCAAGATGGGTGGATCACCTGAGGTCAGAAGTTCGAGACCAGCCTGGCCAACATGGCAGAACCCTGTCTCTACTAAAAATACAAAAAAATTAGCTGGCCATGGTGGTGGTCGCCTGTAATCACAGCTACTTGGGAGGCTGAGGTAGGAGAATTGCCTGAACCCGGGAGGTAGAGGTTGCAGTGAGCCAAGATGGCACCATTGCACTCTAGCCTGGGCAACAGAGCAAGACTCTGTCTCAAAAAAAAAAAAAAAGAATTTACTAATCATTCCAATACAAATGATTTGGTAGCTGCTGGCAGCCCGCCACTCTAAATATCATTTTGTTTTAGCAATAATCTTCTTTTCTTATCAAATATGCTTCTTCCTCAATACAGGAGGGATAATTGTTATTAAACAGGAAAAGACTTTTCATTTGGGCTAACAAACGACGAAGTGATGAGCAGGGATGCATGGACAATACCCTCCATCACAGTTGCACAGCAACACGGTGAAGCTGTAGTGGCTCTTTCATCAAATTGTTACCAGGTTTATTAAATTTTTTAACCGGGCTTTATTTTTTCTTTCGCTTCAACCAAAATTTCTTAGAATTACACAATGTCAGAGCCAGATGAGACCTTATAATTCATCTGATTAAACAACTACAAAAATGTTGGAGAATCCAAGAAATGATTCAACCAGCATAACACAGGTAGGGCTCAGATCTCATGATTCTGAGCTCCTTCCATTTCAGGGTCCCACAATACTGAGGTCAAAGTGAGGATTTTCCTGTCTAGGAGAAAATGTAAAACATACTTAGTTCTCAAATCAATGCTTTTCAAACTCTAATGTGCATATGGATCACCTGGGGGATCTTGTTAAGCTACTGATGACGTAAGTCTGGGATAGGGCCTGGGAGTCTGCATTTCTAGCAGCTCCCAGGTGATACTGATGCTGCAGACCCATGTACCAGTGTTCTGTTTAGTCCAAAGAGAACCACCTGGTTCTAGCAAAGAATCTTCATTAGATTTCTAACTAATGAGTCACACACAATCACTGTCAATCAGGTTATCTCATGTTGCATATAACTGAAATACAGTTTACATGGTAATGGGGGTTTATAGGGAGAAACTGGCTAATTAAATGAGTTGGGTTTGATAAGGTACAGAAGGAAGTAAATTCATCTCCCCCATTGCTATCTTCAAATTTTCTCTGTTGTGTTTTCCTTCCCTACCCCAACTGAACATCCAGGGCAGATTGCCTGGCATCTCCAAAAACATTCAAGTAGTAACAATCATTTTCAGGACTACAAATGTCCAATGTAGCATAATAGCAAAACTTCAGTTTCTCATCCAAGTAAAGCTTTTCTCTCCAGCAGCTCAGACCTAACCCCAGATGAGAAAGCAAGAGGGATTTGTTGTTTCTTTCCTTGTTCTGCCTTCTCTCTCTCTCTCTCTCTCTTTTAGCCAGAGCCTTGCTCCATCTCCGAGGCTGGAGTACAGTGGTGCGATGTCAAGTCACCGCAACCTTCGCCTCCCAGATTCAAGCAATTCTCCTGCCTCAGCCTTCCAAGTAGCTGGGATTACAAGTGTGCGCCACCACACCCGGCTAATTTTTGTAATTTTAGTAGAGATGGAGTTTCGCCATGTTGGCCAGGCTGGTCTCAAACTCCTGACCTCAGTGATCCGCCTGCCTCAGCCTCCCAAAGTGCTGGGATTACAGGTGTGAACCACTGTGCCTGGCCTTTTTACCTTCTTTTTTAACCACTCTCTGATACTCCTATACCCCATAGGATTGGGATTGGGAGTGGGAGAGGAGCTTATGGAAGGGAACAATATGTTCTCACTGAACTGGTGATATATCTCAAACATTGCCTCTTTTCCTACTGGGGCAGTTTTATCAGTCTTTCGAGACTCACCATCCCCCACACCCCCAAACTAGGGACTTCTTTTTTTTTTTTGAGACAGAGTCTTGCTGTGTCATCCAGGCTGGAGTGCAGTGACACGATCTCGGCTCACTGCAACCTCTGCCTCCCGGGTTCAAGCAATTCTCCTGCCTCAGCCTCCCAAGTAGCTGGGATTACAGGCATGTACCACTG
Organism: Homo sapiens; assembly: GCF_000001405.40. Classification (NCBI taxonomy): domain Eukaryota; kingdom Metazoa; phylum Chordata; class Mammalia; order Primates; family Hominidae; genus Homo; species Homo sapiens. The sequence goes on along the minus strand of NW_012132916.1, from coordinate 66,074 downwards.
TGTCTGGCTAATTTTTGTATTTTTAGTAGAGATGGTATTTCACTATGTTGGCCAGACTGGTCTTGAACTCCTGGCCTCAAGTGATCAACCTGCCTCAGCCTCCCAAGTAGCTGGGATTACAGGCATGCACCACTGTGCTTGGCTAATTTTTGTATTTTTAGTAGAGATGGTGTTTCACTATGTTGGCCAGACTGGTCTTGAACTCCTGGCCTCAAGTGATCAGCCTGCCTCAGCCTCCCAAAGTGCTGGGATTACAGGCGTGAGCCACTGTGCCCAGCCCAAACTAGGGACTTCTTATGGTGGCCAATTTCCTTAGTAAATGCATTATTTTGCTGACTTCTTATGTGGCCCTTCCTGGCCTACTCTAGTGGTACAGCCCATACTGCCACATTCTGCTACACTCTTCTGCAGAGTGGGGTTCTTTCAACAGATTAAAACAAGGCTACCATGCCAACAGGGCATCCACCCTCTTGGTTCAAAGCTCACCCTATAGGCTTTGCCACCACAATGTTCCCATCAGCCTCTCACCTTCAGGCTTTTCCATATAAGTCAGGTTTCCTCCAAAGTCTGGGAAACTATTCAAGCCCTTCTAAGAACATTTCCATTGTGCCCTAGTGGATGCCATGTTGCCAGTTTAAAAAAAAAAAGTATCGACCAGGCACGGTGGCTTACACCTGTAATCCCAGCATTTTGGGATGCTGAGGCAGGCAGATCACTTAAGGTCAGGAGTTTGAGACCAGCCTGGCCAACATGGTGAGACCCCCATTTCTACTAAAAAAAAAAATACAAAAATTACCTGGGCATGGTGGTGGGCACCTGCAATCTCAGCTACTTGGGAGGTAGAGGCAGGAGAATCATTTGAACCCAGGAGGCAGAAGTTGCAGTGAGTGGAGATGGAGCCACTGCACTCCAGCCTGGTGACAGAGCGAGACTGCCTCAAAAAAAAAAAAAAAAAACATGAAAAACTGTACAGAATGTTAACCTATGGGGTTTTAATTTCTAGAGCTATATATCTGTCATCCAAGAAAAGGTTTCCAGAGTACAGAATAGCTTTATATTTTCAATAAACTGACACATTCTACTAGCATAATAATTGGGTACATGGCATTCATTTCAGTTAATTAGAGCAATTGAGCATATACTAATTTCCAGGCACTCCTTGAAGTGGTAACACAGTAAGATTGCTATGAATTGATGATAAAAGTATTATTAGAACTCTGGTAGCTGACATTTTCATTTTTCCCCATGGAAAAAATATATCATAAAGACCATTAATCTTGTGGTTTTGAATCCTAGAATTGTTCAAATGGTAGGACTGAAGCACATTTCTAGAATGTGATATGACTAGCTATCTTACATGATGGTTCCTGATCCTACCAGTGCTAGGGCTAGTTCACTTTTTTTTTTTTTTTGGAGACAGGGTCTCACTGTGTCTCCCAGGCTGGAGCGCAGTGGCACAATCTCTGCCCACTGCAACCTCTGCCTCTGGGGTTCAAGCCATCCCCCAACCTCAGCCTCCTGAGTAGCTGGGACTGAAGGCGCGAGTAATCACCCCTGGTTAATTTTTTGTATTTTGTGTAGAGCTGGGGTTTCACCATGTTGCCCAGGCTGGTCTCAACCTCCTGACCTCAAAGGGATCCTTCCGCCTCAGGCTCCCAAAGTGCTGGAACTGTAGGCGTGAGCCACTGCGCCTGGCTAGTTGATATTTAGTATTTCTTCATAGTCAATTCAACATAATAACATTTCTAGAGTAGACACCAAGCCCCAAGCACTTGGCAAGGAGGTTGAAACTATCTGTGTTGCAATGAGATTTCTCTTACACCAAACATTTATTAACATTCACAGATTCATCCACAGTGAAAATGATCATGGTACTCCATTAATAATTTGCTTTATATGGTCCTAATCAAAGGGACTTAACCAAACAAGCTAGTGTCAGTGCTTGCCTTGCCCACAGCCCCCTTCTAAGGCTTCTTTACACTTAGGTTGCACTCTTTTTTCTTTGAGATGAAGTCTTGCTCTGTCACCCAGGCTGGAGTGCAGTGGCGCAATCTCGGCTCACTGCAACCTCCGCCTCCCAGGTTCAAGCAATTATCCTGCCTCGGTCTCCCGAGTAGCTGGGATTATAGGCACCCACCACCACACCCAGCTAATTTTTATATTTTTAGTAGAGACAGGGTTTCACCATGTTGGCCGAGCTGGTCTCGAACTCTTGACCTCAGGTGATCCGCCCACCTCAGCCTCCCAAAGTGCTGGGATTACAGGCATGAGCCACTGCGCCTGGCCATAGGTTGCACTCTTGAGCCATGTGGGACTCCACCACTTAGCTCAAAACTGACTGAAACTGACAGCAGCACTTGAGCCTACAGCAGCCACCTGTAAGCTGGACAGTGCCCTAGGAGATGGTTCAGGACCAAGAATTTAAAAAGTCCATGGTCATTTCAATTACATTCTTCCCTAAGGATACCAACCAACTTCTTTTCTAAAGAATCAAAACCTGGGCCAGGCGCAGCGGCTCACGCCTGTAATCACAACACTTTGGGAGGCCGAGGCGGGCAGATCATGTGAGGTCGCGAGTTCGAGACCAGCCTGACCAACATGGAGAAACCCCATCTCTACTAAAAATACAAAATGAGCTAGGCATGGTGGTGCATGCCTGTAATCCTAGCCACTCGGGAGGCTGAAGCAGAATTGCTTGAACCCGGGAAGTGGAAGTTGTGGTGAGCCGAAATCGCGCCATTGCACTCCAGCCTGGGAAACTCTGTCTCAAAAAAAAAAAAAAAAAAAAAAAGAATCAAAACCTGAACCATCTTTTAGTCTCAACTTGTTCAAAAGCTGAAAAGGGTATGGAAGTGGGGAGTGAGAGGGGAACCTATAAGAGATGATCCCTGCCCACAACCATGCAGGGTACAATACACCAAAAATAAATGGTCCCTAAGCCTGAGAGCTTACTGTTAAGAGTAAAACACAAACTAACAAGGCACTGTAGGAATCTAAAATTTGTCATCTCTGTTTTTTGACCCAAGAATGCTACTTTTAGGAATGGATCCTAAGGAAATAACTAAACAAGTACCAAAAGATGTATGCATGGGATCATCAGTAGCAATGGCAGTTTTCATAAGAAAGAAAAAACTCAACCTAAATCAATAAGAGATTGGGTAAATAAATACATTTACATAGTGAACTATCTACCTACATATTATTATAGAAAGAACTCCATGATAGATTTAGCCAAAATAATGTTTATATAATGAATCATATACAGTATGTAGTTATATATATATTTTATAAGAATATAGGCTATAATGTTAATTAAAATGATTCAGCTTAAAGGAGAGCTTTTGCTTTCTAATGTATGCTTTTCTGTGTTTCCAATAGTTTTTACTATGTTATGATACATTTGTAATCAGAAAAAAGATAATTAAAAAAATAAGTAATGAGGCCGGGCATGGAAGCTCATGCCTATAATCCCAGCATTTTGGGAGGCTGAGACGGGAGGATCGCTTGAGCTCAGCAGTTTGAGACCAACTGGGCAACATGGTGAAACCCTGACTCTACAAAAAACACAAAAATTAGCCTGGTGTGGTGGCTTACATCTGTAGTTCCAGCTATATCGGGACCTAAGGTGAGAGGATTGCTTGAGACTAGGGAGTTGAGGCTGCAGTGAGCCATGTTGGCACCACTGCACTCCTGCCTGGGTGACAAAGCAGGACTCTGCCTCAAAAACAAACAAACAAAAACATCAACAATAAACAAACAAATAATGGGCTAGGCCCAGGGGTTCACACCTGTAATCCTTTGGAGGAGGAGGAGAAGGGAGGATGGCTTGAGCCCTGGAGTTTGAAGTGACAGTGAGCTATGACTGTGCCACTGTACTCCAGCCTAGGTGACATAGGGAGAGTCTATCTCTTAAAACAACAATAAACAAAACCAAACTAATAATGATGCTATAAAATGAAAGCCCTAGGCCACCACAGTGTCTCATGCCTGTAATCCCAGCACTTTGGGAGGCTAAGATGGGCGGATCACCTGAGGTCAGGAGTTCGAGACCAGCGTGGCCAACATGGTGAAACCCCATCTCTACTAAAAATACAAAATTAGCTGGGCATGGTGGTGCATACCTGTAATCCAAGCTACTCAGGAGGCTGAGGCAGGAGAATTGCTTCAACCCGGGAGGCGAAGGTTGCAGCGAGGCAAGATGACGCCATTGCACTCCAGCCTGGGCAACAAGAGCAAAACTCCATCTCAAAAAAAAAAAAAAAAATTTAAGCCCTAGTTTTTTTACTTTGTATATGTCTTTTGTGAAGAACCTACAATATACTAGATTAATGCATCCAAAAGGAAATGTAATGAGTCACAGATGAAATTTTGTATTTTCTAGTTCCTAATAATATATCTTATGCAGCCCAACGTCTAAAAATTATGATTTCAACATATAACCAATATAATGACACTGAAATATTTACATTCTTTTTTTCCTAAGTATTTGAAATCCTCTGTGTATTTACATAGAACATTTCAATTCAGACCATCTTTCAAGTGGTCAATATCTACACTTGGCTACTGTATGGGATAGTGCAGTTTTTTGTTTTTGTGGGGTTTTTTGTTTGTTTGTTTTTTGAGATGGAGTTCGCTCTTGTTGCCCAGACTGGAGTGCAATGGTGCCATCTCGGCTCACCGCAACCTCTGGGTTCAAGCAATTCTCCTGCCTCAGCCTCCCGAGTAGCTGGGATTACAGGAATGTACCACCACGCCTGGCTAATTTTGTATTTTTAGTAGAGACGGGGTTTCTCCATGTTAGTCAGGCTAGTCTCGAACTCCCAACTTCAGGTGATCTGCCTGCCTCGGCCTCCCAAACTGCTGGGATTACAGGCATGAGCCACTGCGCCCGGCAGTAGTTGTTATTTTTAAGGAGGATAATTTTTAAACTTTTAGGTGCATAATTTCTGAAGTTGTTTGATTCTGTTTAAATGATTGTTAATTAATATTATTTTGGTAATCTTTGAAAGACTGTTGCTAGGTTTTTGGTTTGTTGCATTTTTTTAAAGAAAATGCTGGTGTAATAAATACTTTTTCCTGAACAAACACACCTTGGGTGAACTCTTACCTCTCTATTTCTCCTTTCCTTCTCAGTTGTTGACAGGCAGGGTCAAAAGTCAGAATCTTTAGTAGATATATTTGTTGCCGGTCCCTGGAAGGAGGAGGGGCGATGGACAGCAATAAAAGGTCACATTTATCAGAGGTCCCTTACTGCACCACTAGAAAATGACTGCAATTATTATCAGGGCTCCCTGAATAATCAAAACGACATATATCAAAGGTCTGACTCATTCTGAAGAGTTACTCCCCTCCCCTTTTTTGTTTTTTTAGTGTTTTACAAAGAGTAGCACCACCAAGGGGATAGTTATATTATCTGACCATCAACAAGAGGGGTAGGCTACAATAGAGACCACAGAGCACAGTGAAATCAGGCAGATCTGGGCTTGGGTGTCTCTGGGCTTCCATATCCTCAACTGTAGAGCAGAGATTATAACACACAACCTATTTCAAAAGATTCATTTTTAAACAACTTTGTATCAAGTGTATAATACATAGAGAAAAGTGTACACATCTTAAGTGTAAAATACAAACTTCACAAATTAAATATACTCGTGTGACCATCACCTAGATCAAGAAACAGAACACTCTCAATACCCAGTAGCCTCCTTCTCATCCCTACCCTCTGTGTTACGTTTCTACTGCAATGTAACCTGCTACTACAAATTGAGTAGCTTAAAACAACACAGATTTATTATCTCAGTGTTCATGGGTCAGGAGTGCGGGCACAGCTTAGATAGATCTCAGGTCTCACGAGTTAGCAATCAAGGTGTCAGCCAAGGCTTGGGTTCTCATTCAGGACTTGAGCTCGTTGCAGTTGCTGGCAGAATCAGTTCCTTATGGCTGTATAACAGAGGTCCAGCTCCCTTGCTAGCTGTTGGCAGGGGCCCACTCTCAGCTCCTACAGGCTGCCCAGTTCCTTGCTGTGTGGTTCCTGCCCCCATATACAGGTCACAACTGTGGGTCCCTTCCAGGCCAGAAGCACCTTGTTTGTCACTGTGACTTCTGTCTCTGACCTCTAACTGCTCATTTTAAGAGCTTGCCTGATTAGGACAGGTCAACCCATGATAGTCTCCTCAGTGATTAGGGACCTTAATAACAGGAGGGATACCCCACTAAGTCACAGGTTGCACCTGTACTCAAGGGACAGGGATTATATGAGGGAGCAACCTAGGGGGCAGGTATCATGTCCCCCACCTTAGAATTCTGCCTGCCTCACCATCCCCTAAGACTAACCACTACCCAGTGTCTAACAGTATTTTTCAAACTTCATAAAAATGGAATGTTTGTGAAATATACTCATCTTTTGTATGTAATTGCAGATGATTCATTTGCATTGCTGCAGAGTGTTCCACTGTGTGAATATACCACAATACCATAATTTATTTACCCTTTTAAAGGTTGATAGTTAAACTAGTTATAATGTATAGATTTTTTTAATGAGTAGGAAAGACAAGGAAACAACTACCTCTCAATTAGGAGTTGCAGAATAAAAATCATTTTAAGCATATGCAAAGAATTTGAGACATGAAAGAGTTTTACATATCATCTTAGAGAAAAAGGTGGTGTTTGGTAAGTTTTTAGTTTTTTTGTTTTGAGACAGAGTCTCGCTTTGTCACCCAGGCTGGAGTGCAACGGCATGATCTTGGCTCACTGCAATCACCACCTCCCAGGTTCAAGCAATTCTCCTCCCTAAGCCTCCCAAATAGCTGGGATTATAGGCACCTGCCACCATGCCTGGTTTGGCTAATTTTTTTTTTTTTTTTTTTTTTTTGAGACAGACTCTTACTCTGTCACCCAGGCTGGAGTGCAGTAGCATGATCTTGGCTCACTGCAACCTCTGCCTCCCAGGTTCAAACAATTCTCCTGCCTCAGCCTCCTGAGTAGCTGGAATTACAGCCGTCCGCCACTACGCCCTGCTAATTTTTGTATTTTTAGTAGAGACAGGGTTTCACCATAATGGCCAGGCTGGTCTCAAACTCCTGACCTCAGGTGATCTGCCCACTTCAGCCTCCCAAAGTGCTGGGATTACAAGTGTAAGCCACCGTGCCTGGCCTAATTTTTTCCATTTTTTTAATTTTATTTTTTCGTAGAGACAGGGTTTTGCCATGTTCCTCTGGCTGGTCTCGAACTCCTGACTTTAGGTGATCCACCCACCTCAGCCTCCCAAAGTGCTGGGATTACAGGTGTGAGCCACTATATCCAGCCAACATTAATTTATCGTCTCAGTTTTTGCAGGTCTGAAGTCTGGGCATGGCTTACCTGGATTCTTTGCTCAGGGTTCTCATAAGGCTGAATTCAAGGGGTCAGCCAGGCTGCATCCTCATGTGGGGCTTGGGGTCTTCTTCCAAGCTTATATAGATGCTTGCAGAATTTGATTCCTTGTGTTCCTAAGACTGAGTTTCCCACTTCTTTGCTGACTGTCAGCTAATGTCTGTGCTCGGCTGCTAAAGGGCCCCACGGTTCCTTGCTGAGCGCTCCTCTCCGTAGGCGGTTTGCATCACCACTTCAGAGGAGCAGGGAAATCCCTCCACGTGAAGTTACTGGCCCTTTCGAAAGGGGCTCCAGCATGATGAATTTAGGCCCACTCAGAATACTCAGAATAATGTGCCTTTTAATTAACTCACAATCAACTAAGAAATCAGTCAATTGGCTGGGTGCAGTGGCTCATGCCTGTAATCCCAGCACTTTGGGAGGCCAAGGCGGGTGGGTCACAAGTTCAGGAGATCAAGACCATCCTAGCCGACGTGGTGAAACCCAGTATCTACTAAAAATATAAATGTTAGCTGGGCATGGTGGTGTGGGCTTGTAATCCCAATTATTTGGGAGGCTGAGGCAGGAGAATCCCTTGAGTCCAGGAGGCAGAGTTGGCAGTGAACCAAGACTGCACCACTGCACTCCAGCCTGGCGACAGAACGAGACTCCATCTCAAAAAAAAAAAAAAAAAAAAAAAAAAAAATATATATATATATATATATATATATATACACATATATATCAATCGATTAATCAATCAAGGTTGATGGGCATTTGGGTGGGTCCTATTTTGGGGCTGTTACTAGCAGTGCTGCTACGAACATTCTAGAACATGTCTTTTGGTGAACACATGTATTCATTTCTGCTCAGTATATACGGAAGAATAGAATTGCTGGGTCATAGGGTTTGCATACACTCAGTGTGGAAGATACTGCCAAACAGTTTTCCAAAGTGGCATTACCAAGCTGTGTACCCACCAGCAGCGTTAGAGCAGCCCACAAGACTGTTTGGACAGTTAAAAGATGAAATCATGATAAATAACTTAGGACAGAACCTGGGATATAGTAATGACTAAATAAAAGGATTTTCAATAGAAATTAATACTAACTGTTATTTTCTGCTACTCTGTTAAAGTCTATGGGGTGTGTATGCCCAGCTTATTCATATATCCCTAGTGGGTCGCCGAAATTTATTAAATAGCCAAAGGAACATGTCAATGTTGGCCTCTTGTCCAAAAACAGTTTCTTCAGACTTTCATTTACTTTCCTTTTCCTTGGCTCTTGCACCAAGGCACACAATAAGGGGGTACTGAGGGATCTCCAATGTTAATACCTGAAATTAGTCTTCATAATAGGCCTCACAGAGAAGGTGGTTTCTTTGGGCCTAGGAGCAACAGGCTATTAGGCTATACCATCCAGCCTACGTGTGTAGCAGACTACACAATCCAAGTTTGTATAAGTGCTCTCTATGATGTTTGAACAATGAGGAAATACTCTAATGCATTTCTCAGAAGGTATCTCCATTATAAAGCGATGTTTGACTTTATTTACATAGCATTTACATTGGATAGGTATTATAAGTAATATAAAGATAATTTAAAGTACACAGGAGGATGTGGCTGGGTGTGGTGGCTCACGCCTGTAATCCCAACACTTTGCTGGGGCTGAGGCAAGAGGATTGCTTGAGCCCAAGAGTTCATGCCCAGCCTGGGCAACATAGTGAGATTCCATCTCATTAAAAAATAAAAAATAAAGAAAAAAGTATACAGGAGGATGTGTATAAGTTATATGCAAATAATACTCCATTTAATTAAAGGGACTGAGCATCCTTGCATTTTACTCCCCACCAGGGTCCTAGAACCAATCCCCCTTGAATACTGAATGATGACTGGCCCTTGCTTTGAAACCTCATCTAGGGAAAGATTCTGTGTCCTTTTGCAGGGAATTAAGTGAAACTCAGGCCACATAGCAACAATGAAATGTTAATCTTCTATACTTAGCTATTTTTTTATCCAAGGGCTCAGACATGTTAATCAATTCTTCCTAATTGCTTATTAGCCATTATTCCTAATAGAGGGAATGAGTCACAAGCTTCAGCTGCTTGATTCAAACTCTTTGAAGGCCAACTCAAATCAAGAGAAGTAGTAATCAAGAACTAGGAACTCTGCAGACTAATTCTCAGATAAATCAAAGTTCTTGCCTAGGCCCAAAGATCTTTAGCAGTTGGCCTGGTTTCAAAAAAAAAAAAAGAAGAAAAAGAAGAAGATAGACTGATTTTAATCAGATGGTCACTGAGCCTAACTTCCGATTCCTCATTTGTAAAATAGGGCAACGGAGAGCATCTACATTATAGGGTGTCAATCATTCATTGATTTAACAAATATTTAATTTCTACTTTATACCAGGCTCTGTGCCAGGCAATTAATAAGTATTTCTTAGATGTTAATCATGTATCAGCTATTATCACTGTAAACACTTATTTGCATATCGACTATCAACCTTGTGGGACAATAACTGAAAAATGTGGTCTTAAGCTGGCTTTACACTCCCCTTCAGACTCACCCTATTCACATACATAATTTTCTTTTTCATTTCAAATACATAATTATATGCCCACTGTCTACCACTGGTGTGGAGCCAACTCCTCAAGCCTGAATCCTCAATTACTGTGGTCAGAGAATGCAAACTAATTTTATTATCAGCCTAAGTGCCTCAAAATTTAAAAGGCAAACATGCCACACTTCAAAGTTACAGGGGAAAGTTTTGGGGATTAACTGTCATTTTGATTATCTGCCCCACATTTCCCCTTCCATTAGCTAAGAAACATTAGGAGGCAGATCACTAGACACATCTGAAAGTGGACAGGTTCACTTTTACAGGAGAGATTCCATTTCCTCCTATACCCCCAGGCCCCCGCACCCCAGCTCCCAGGACTCTACGTGAAACTATCAGTGGGAAAACATTTCCAAAATGCTCTTTATCCCCATCCTCATAGAGAAGACCTCAAATTTGCTTTCAGCCTTATTCATATGGTTCAGGAACAAATATTAAATTAACATCAGCAGAGGAACAAAAGAAGGTTGCAGAAGCAAAAGAACAGTATTGAATAGAATATTCATCTCTGAATATTCATCTCTGAAGCCAAAATACTTGGGTTCAAATCCTGGCTGAGGATTGCCTGGCTTAGGGTTGCCAGATAAAATATAGGACACCCACTTAAATTTGAATTTCAGATAAACAACAAATAGTTTTTTAGTATAAATATATCCCATATGCAGATTTAAGACATATTTCTGCTAAAAATTTATTTGTTGTTTATCTGAAATTCAAATTTAACTGAGTGTCTTGTATTTTGATTTGCTAAGCCTGGTAACCTGACTCTGTTTACTAGTTTTGTGATCTAGGATAAGTTACACAAACTGTCTGTGTTTGTTTTCTCATCTGTAAAATAGGAACAGCAAAAGCATATTCTTCATAAAATGGTTTCAGTAGTCATTTTTGCTGTTCAACAAATGTGTCTGGTTCTCTTCCTTCCAGAAACATGGCAGGATAGCACTTCCCCATCTTCAAAGTTAAAGGAAGCCTGTGACTTGCTTTAGCCAAAGAAAAGTGAGCACAAGGGAAGTGTCATTTCCAGGTAAAAGGGTCCCCTATCCTACCTTCTCCTACCAGATCCAAGGAAGAGACAACTGTGAGGGAGAAATATACACATGAGGTTCTAAACATTGAAATCCAGGAGTTGTCACTGCAGCATAACTTAGCTCATCCTGACTGAGTGTGTTGTGAAGATTGCAAGAGTTAATAATTGTTAAGGATTTAGAACATGCCTGGCACATAGTAGGCACTATATACTTATTTATTAGGTTAATAAGAAATCTGCAACCTTTTCCTGGTACTAAAAAAGATTGAGATAGGCCTTGCTTGCTAGCTATCATTCAGCTCAGGCTGCCATAGCAAAACACTGTAGACCGGGTGGCTTAAACAACAGACCTGAATTTTCTCACAGTCCTAGAGGCTGGAAGCCTGAGATGAGGTTCTAGTGAGGGCTCTCTCCCAGGCTTGCAGATGGCCACCTCACTATGTGCTGGTCTTTCCTCAGGTGCATGCATTGCACATGTGGAAAAGGAGCAAGATCTTTCTCTTTTCCTGTTCTTAGAAGGCCACCAATTTTATTGCATTAGGACCCCACCCTTATGACCTCCTATGACCTTAATTGCCTCTTCAAAGCCTTCCCTCCAAGTACAATCATATTAGGGGTTAGTGCTTCAATATATGCATTTGAGGAGGAAACAATTCAGCCGACAGCATCATACAAGGTTTGGTAATACACACTTATTGTCCAGCTTTCCTTCTCCAGGCTTAAGAAATCAAATCTATCCCTTTTCCATAGTGATTGGTAATAAACTCTCTAAAGAGCAGCATTTAGCTTAGGGAGTCCCTTTAATCATTAGACAGAATGTTTATGCCTAAAACACTTCTGATATGGGTCCACTCAAATTGCAGCATGGGTTATAACAGAGCAGTGGACTCAATTGCAGATGACCAGGGCTGAGCAATCTGCGGAAGCCAGCCATGTGCACAGTAATTCAGAAAAGGCAGAGAAACCGGATCCAGGGGGAAAATCACAGGCAGTTAATGAGAATCAGATGCAATGTAATTCAGACCGCAGTGCACATCCTGATCTCTGGGCACAGGGAATTACATCCATAAACAGACCAGACTTGATTTTATGCAGCACTTTCATTCCCCAAAGAATCCCAAAAGCCTTCCAAAAGCACACTCTTGTTACTGGTAGCTCAGTGGTGTGGAAGACAAACAGAAAAATGTTGTGTTCATAACTCAGGCACAGAAACTTTGTTAGAATCCAGGCCATCCACGTGGGCTAGCTTGACTGGAATGCCAGGTGACCCTTTACTGGTATGAAAAATGTACTTTTTTTTTTTCCTTTTAGATGAAAACATCCTTATAAAGGAAATCCAAGTATGCACGAAAGAAGCTTTTAAGCTTAGCCAGGGAACCACAGTTAAAAAGTACGGCATACATATCAGACTCACTCCATGGATATCTACATGTATGTGCATATATATTTATGTTTATATACCATGGAAACAAACTTTATAAAATATTACTTATCCTTATTATATGTGATGTATTCTGCACTAGATCTTAGCCAAAAGGCCAAGAAGTGATATGTGATGTGTTCTGATGCTATGGATCCTATTTTACTTCTTTTTTAAGTTGATCATTATTTGGTAATTGATATGTTGATTTTAAAACCACTTCTGTGTACAATATTAGATTTTGAAACCCATTTCACTAAAGATAATGAAAGAGAGTAGAAGGCTCTGATACCATGACACTTCAATCATAATACAACATTTGGCCCTGGGACAGTTACTTTACCTTTTTAGGTCACGAGTCACTGGGATTCTTTCACTTTTAACTTGTCAAGTTTTTATTTATCTATTTATTAGAGACAAGGTCTCCCTCTGTCACCCAAGCTGGAGTGCAGTGTCACCATCATAGCCCACTGCAGCCTTAAACTCCCGGGCTCAGGTGATCCTCCCACCTCAGCCTCCTGAGGAGCTAGGACTAAGAGGCACACCCCACCATGCCTGGCTAATTTTTTTTTATTTGATTGTAGAGATGGGGTCTCGCTGTGTTGCCTGGGCTGATCTCAAACTCCTGGGCTCAAGCGATCCTCTTGTCTTGACCTCCCAAAGCACTAGGATTATAGATGTGAGCTGTTGTGCCTGGCTACCTGCTGAGATTTTTATGTATGGCACCTATATATAGGTAAAGCAAAAACATCCTGAAACCAACTTCATGTGATGAGATTATTTTGGAATTCCTATGTTGATTCAAAGTTGTGGGTTACAGCAGGCGGAGGTGGCAGTGAGCCGAGATCCCGTCACTGCACTCTGGACTGGGCAACAGAGTGAGACTCCGTCCCAAAAAAACAAAAACAAACAAACAAACAAAAACAAAGTTGGGGGTTAAAAATAGGGAGAAAATCCATTTTCTTCTGGCACTACACTGAGCTTTGGGTGGCCCCTAAATTTGTCAGAATTTTTTTGGTTGCATGTAGCAGAACTTCCTCCCATCCAAACAACACAGAAAAAATTACTGGCTTAAAGTCAAATGGTCCAAGGTCTGTATAGGTGTCAGCATAGCTGGCTCCTGATTCTGAGATGATGCCACTATTCTTCTCCATCTCTGGGTCCTGCTTTCCTCTCTGTTTGCTTTATTCTCTCCTGTTACAGACAGGGCACCCCCTTGCACCAGAGAAGATGTTTAGTAGCAGCCTGACAACCGACAGGAAAGAGGGTACCTCTCCTGACTCTTTCAGCAAAAGCTCAGGCTTCTCATGATCCCAGCTTGGGCTACATGCCCATTTCTGAGCCAATCACTGTGAACAGGGACATGCCTTTCTCCAGTTACTCAGGTCTGCGTCATGTGCCTACCCACGGTGCATAGTAGTGGAGTCAGATCAACCAAATCAAACAAATTTGAGAATGTCATTATTACACAAAGGAAAACCAACTGGCCATTTCTAAAAGACAGGGGCAAGAATTTTAAGCGGATGATGAAAACAATGGCCACTACTGTCCTCTAAGCAGATGTCTTTGTCTGTTTTGTGTTGCTATAAAGGAATACCTGAGGTTGGGTAATTTATAAAGATGAGGTTTATTTAGCTCACAGTTCTGCAGGCTGCATAAGCAGCACAGGGCTGGTGTCTCCCTAGTTTCTGGTAAGGGCTTTTGTTTTGGTTTGTTCGTCTTTTGAGATGGAGTCTCTTTCGCCCAGGCTGGAGTGCAATGGTGTGATCTCACTCACTGCAACCTCCGCCTCCCAGGTTCAAGTGATTCTCCCGCCGGAGCCTCCCGAGTAGCTGGGATTACAGGCACCCACCACCAATCCTGGCTAACTTTTTTGTATTTTTAGTAGAGCCAGCGTTTCACCATGTTGGCCAGGCTGTTCTCGAACTCCTAACCTTAGGTGATCCATCCGCCTCAGCCTCCCAAAGTGCTGGGATTACAGGCATGAGCCACTGCTCCTGGTCTAGTAAGGGCTTTTGAGTTGCATCAAAACATGGTGGAGAAAGTCAAATGGGCACCAGACACGTGTGAAGATGGATCAAACCTGGAATCATCCTGGCTTTATAACAACCAATCTGGTGAGAATGAATCCATTCCTGAGAGAGCAAGAACTGTTATATCTGTCTCCATGATCCAAACACCTCCCACAAGGCCCCACCTCCCCACACTACCTCACTGGGGATCCAATTTCAACATGAAATTTGTTGGAGACAAACACGCCACATCCAAACCATAGCCCCAGATATACCACCAATCCCTCCCTGTTATTTATTTATTTATTGAGTATCTTTTTTGAGATGGAGTCTTGCTCTCTTGCCCAGGTTGGAGTGCAGTGGCGTGATCCCAGCTCACTGCAACCTCTGCTTCCTGGGTTCAAGGCATTCTCCTGCCTCAGCCTCCTGAGTAGCTGGGATTACAGGCGCCCACCACCACCCCCAACTAATTTTTGTATTTTTGTAGAGACGGGGTTTCACCATGTTGGCCAGGCTGGTCTCCAACTCCTGATCTCAGGTGATTCACCTCGGCCTCCCAAAGTGCTGGGATTACAGGCATGAGCCACTGCGCCTGGCCTCCCTCCCTCTTATTTAATCTTAAAAGTACAGAGAAGAAGCTGGAATTTTATCACTATACTTGGAGAATACTTTTCATCCAGAGAAATCCTGACATTTTCTCTCTGCAATGTCTTAGAAGTTAGAAGGTGTGACAAGGGATTCTCCTAGCTTTCAGATGGAAAACTTAATGTGCCATGAATTTCTGGTCATAAGCCTAAGAAGTAAAAACTCTTTGGGGCCTTTTAGAAGTTATCTCTCTAGCTTTACACTCATGGCTTATAATGTCGTAATTGCCTGGTGGTTGTACTGCAGCTGCCTTTGCAAACGGAGTTTCAACCCGCAGGTCACCTTGGATTAACCAATGTATTGTGTACTCAACCGACGGGCTGAACTGCCAGAGTCATGAATACTTGCTCTGTCTCACACTGAAAAGCACATAGAAAGGGAAAACACATACATACATACAAAACCTTAACACAATTTGACAAAAAGGGGGAAAGCATATTGGAAAAACATGGCTTGAGTGTGATTATTTTCCTCCATTTCACCGAACACCATTATTCTGGGAAGCAATGCAAACAGAGCTGAGGCTTTCAGACTGCAAATATTATTGCTCTGCATTGACGTGATAAACTTGCTGAAACAGAAGAAGACAGAATAGAAGGAATAGTCATGGACATTTTAGCATACAACCCTCTATGTAAGACTAACAGGGCCAGAGTTTGGGGTTTTGCTCGTTTGCTTGCTTTGTCTTGTTTTTTTTTTTTTAATTAGTTTGGATTTTGTTTTTGTAACAATTTCTCATAGAATATTTCAGTTCACATTGGGGAAAGGCTACCTGGCTGTGATGTAGGCACATTTATCATCATAAGAAATGGACAGATTTCCTTTGATAACACTATTTTGCGTGGGGTTTTAGACACAAAATACAATAATTATTTCTTTGTAGATACCACATACGAAACACAGAAACTAGTGGTTTTCTCACTGCATAGAACATTTTCCCTTCCTTTACCCTTGTATTTTCTCAGCCTTCAGATCTTGGCTTAAATGTCAGGCCATAGTTTCTTAAACATTAAACATAAGCAAAAGTAAACAAAACAACCATACCATCAAGCAATTCCATTTCTAAGAATCTATTCCAAGAGAAATAAAAACATATATCCACAAAAAATCTTGTACATGAATATTCATAGCAACATTATTCATGATAGCCAAAAAGTGGAAACCACCCAAATATGCATCAACTGGTGAATGGGTAAACAAAATGTGGTAGAGCTGCCCAATGGAATATTATTCAGCCATAAAAAGGAAAGAAGGCCAGGAGTACTGGCTTATGCCTGTAATCCCAGCACTTTAGGAGGCCAAGATTGGTGGATTACTTGAACTCAGGAGTTCAAGGCCAGCCTGGGTAACATGGTGAAACCCCGTCTCCACACACACAAAAAAAATTAGCTAGGTATGGTGCTGTGCACCTGTAGTCCCAGCTACTCAAGAGGCTGAGGTGGAAGGATCAATGGATCCCAGAAGGTGGAGGTTACAGTGAGCTGTGAACATGCCACTGCACTCCAGCCTGGGTGACAGAGCGAGACTCCACCTCAAAAAAAAAAAAACAAACCACGAATACATGCTACAACATGGATGAATCTACAAAATATGCTAAATGAAAGAAGGTGACACAAAAGAGCACATGCTGTATGATTCCATTTACATGAAATGTATCGGAAAAATACATCTATAGAGACAGAAAGTAGATTAGTGATTTCCTATGGCTGGAGGTGGGAAGAGGGATTAACTTAATCAGGCATGTGGCTTCTTACTGGGGTAACGACAATGTTCTAGCTTGTGTTATGATGATAGTTATACAACTCAGCATATTTACTTTCTCTTGTTACCTAATTTAGAACTAGGCTGCCCAGGTTTGAATCCACTCCCTAACTTTGTGACCATGAGCAAGTTATTTAACTACATTATTTCATCATTGGAAGATGGAATTTTCATGAGATGTTAAGGTTCTTGTAAAAATTAAATGAGATGATACACATACATGTTAATACATGTGCAGTGCTTAGAACAGTGCCTGGGACATAGTAAGTGCTTCTCAGGTGTTTGTTATTATCTGTATATCCCATATCTAGACAGATACAAAATAATGTACGTCTGCTTGGCTTTTGACTGCCTAGAAGTGTTTGTGTTCACTTTAGGCTTGCATCACAGGCATCTGTACACTCTTCAACAGCAAATGCTCACAGGGTCTCACTCTGCCACTCAGGCTGGAGTGCAGTGGTGTGGTCATGGCTCACTGCAGCCTTAACCTCCCTGGACTCAGGTGAACCTCCCACCTCAGCCTCATGAATAGCTGGGACTAGAGGTACATGCCACCATGCCCAGCTAATGTTTGTGGTTTTTGTAAGGACAGAGTTTCACCATGTTGCCCACACTGGCCTCAAACTCCTAGGCCAAGCAAACCACCCATCTTTGCCACCAAAACCAAGAGATCCTTTAATCCCTAGTCTTGGGTTCTCATCAATGTAGGTTGTCTTTTAGTAACAACTCAACAAACTCTTATTTTATTTTATTTTATTTTATTTTTTAGACTGAGTCTCACTCTGTCACCTGGTGGCATAAACTTGGCTCACTGCAACTTCCGCCTCCTGGGTTTAAGCAATTCTCCTGTGTCAGCCTCTCAAGTAGCTGGGATTACAGGCACCTGCCACCATGCCCAGCTAATTTTTTTCATTTTAGTAGAGACAGGGTTTCACCATGTTGGCCAGGCTGGTCTCGAACTTCTGACCTCAAGCAATCCACCCACCTCGGCTTCCAAAGTGCTGGGATTACAGGTGTAAGCCACCATGCACAGCCAACAAAGTCTTTTGTACTAGCATTTATTCCATTTGTTCATCGATTAATTGAACATTTATTGAATATACATTAATTGAATGCCAACGATATACCAGTGTCCTAGGTGCTGGGGATTATATATGGAATGAGACACAATCTCTGTCCTTAATAAGTTTATAGTCAGAATGAGAGGTCCCCAAAACTAACTGGGCATGAGAAAAACAATAGGATAATAAGGTGGGATGTGGAGCAGGAAGGTTTTAGCCTTCTCTCTCTCCCGTCACTAACCTGCATCAATCCCTGAAAGCTACTTCTAATTTAAAACACAATTGTTTTAAAACTATGTAATATATGAATAAAAACACCTTAGAAATAGAAAACTTTGCTATTTTTGTTGATCTGTAAGAGGCAACGTAAAAGCAGTGTGGTTGTTATGCAGACAATTTTATGGTAATTCTCCTATGGGTCACTCTCTCAAATTCCGATCCTGAGTTTCTTCTCTATAGCAATTCTGTAGCTTTCAACATGCCGTAAAGTTTTGCTTATTCGTTTACTCTATTTTTTGAGATGGCATCTGACTCGGTTGCCCAGGCTGGAGTGAAGTGGCGTGATCACAGCTCACAGCAGCCTCCACCTCCTCAGGCTCAGGTGATCCTCCCACCTCAGCCTCCTGGGTAGCTGGGACTACAGGTGTGCGCCACCACGCCTGGCTGATTTTTTGGTAGAGACAGGGTTTCACCGTGTTGCCTAGGGCGATCTCAAACCCTGGGCTCAAACAGTGCTCCCACCTTGTCCTCTCAAAGTGTTGGGATTACAGGTGTGAGCCACTGGGCCTGGCCAGGTGGTAAGTTATAAAGCATAGATCCACTAGACTTTCTGAATCAGAATCTATAGGGGTAGAGCCCAGGCACCTATTTTTTGTTTTTAACATAAAAATGTTTATATTGGTCACATATGCAGAAGCAAAACAGAAGATTATAAGGGGTATTAATGAACAGAATCATGTGATTAGTTTTGTTTTTTCTGCTAGGTGATATCTTTTTTTAAAATTTCAATAACTTTAGTGGTACAAGTGGTTTTGGGTTACATGGATAAACTGTATAGTGGTGAAGTCTGGGCTTTCAGTATACCCCTCACCAGAGCAGTGTACCCTATACCCAAGAGGTAATTTTTAATCCCTCACCCCTTCTAACCCTCCCCTGGCACCTATATTTTTAACAACCTTCCCAAGGGTTCAGTTTATGGACCTGCTTTTGGGAACCACTGCTGTAAATCATGGGTTGAGGAGGGAATATGAATTAAACTAAAGGTATGGAGGCCAGCTAGGAGGTGAGAGATTGGGACACAGTGAACCAGGCTAGGAGGTTGTAGTAGGCTCAAAAATAACCCCCATGGATGGCCATGTCTTAACCCTTGAACCTGTGAATGTTACTTTACATGGCAAAAAGACTTTATAGATGTGATTAAGTTAAGGCTCTTGAGATGGGGAAATTATCCTGAAGTATCTGGGTGGGCCCAAGATGTAATTACAATTGCCCTTATAAGATGGAAGCAGAGTGAGATTTAACTGTAGGAGAGGAAATAGGTCATGTGACTGCGGAAGCAAAGAGAGAAAAAGTGATGTAGTAGAAGGAAGGGGCCACAAGCCAAGGAATGTAGGTGACTTCTAGGAACTAGAAAAGACACGAGGCCCAGGTGCGGTGGCTCACGCCTGTAATCCCAGCACTTTGGGAGGCCGAGGTGGGCGGATCTTGAGGTCAGGAGTTTGAGACCAGCCTGACCAACATGATGAAACCCCATCCCTACTAAAAATAACAAAAATTAGCTGGGCGTGGTGTCGCAAGTGCCTGTAATCCCAGCTACTCAGGAGGCTGAGGCAGGAGAATCGCTTGAACCCAGGAGGTGGAGGTTGCAGTGAGCGGAGATCACGCCATTGCACTCCAGCCTGGGTGATAGAGCGAGACTCAGTCTCAAAAAAAAAAAAAAAGAAAAAGAAAAAGAAAAAAAGAAAAGAAAAGATACAGAAATGGATTCTCCCTTAGAGCCCCCAGAAGGAATCAGCTTTGCTGACACCTTGATGTTAGACTTGTAAGACTCATTTCAGATTTCTGGCCACCCAAACTGTGGGAGGATACATTTGTGTTGTGTGAAACCACAAAGTTTGTGGTTATTTTTTATAGCAGCCATAGTAAACAAATACAAAGGGAAAACCAAAAAACCTAATACAGACGTAGTAGGAGGAAAACCATTAAAATTTAGCAATTGATAGGGTCTATTTAGGTTAAGAGAGAGGAGGAATCAAGAATGAGCCTAGATTTCTAATCATAGATGGCTGCTGTCATATCAATAACAGGAGGAAGGAAAGAATATAATTAGTTGTTTGGCCAGGTGCGGTGGCTCACAGCTGTAATCCCAGCACTTTGGGAGGCCGAGGTGGGCAGATCATTTGAGGCCAGGAGTTCAAGACCAGCCTGGCCAACATGGTGAAACCCTGTCTCTACTAAACATACAACAATTAGCTAGCGTAGTAGCGCATGCCTGTAATCCCAGCTACTCAGGAGGCTGAGGCAGGGGAATCACTTAAACTGGGATGCAGAAGTTGCAGTGAGCTGAGATCATGCCACTGCACTCCAGCCTGGGTGACAGAGCAAGACTCCACCTCAAAAAAAAAAAAAAAAAGAATATAATTAGTTGTTTGGATGGTTGCTAGTATGATGCACAGGTAAAGAGGGCCAGCAGACATTTGGATATGCAGGGCTGAAGTTTTGATTCTGTCATTTGCAAAATGGACAAAATAAAATATTCTTGTCTAATGGTTGTGAAGACTAAAGGTAATACATTCAGAAGTCTAGCATGAATAGGTATTCAAGTGTTAGGGGAAATATCTTTACCACAATATGGTTCCAGGATCTGGGATTTGTTGTCCATCCCAAGGCATGGGATGAGACTCTGCCCCTAATCCCTACCCTCTTCCCATCAGCCTATTTGGCAGAATGCAAAATAGTAGCTGGAGCAGTCACTGAAACGGTCATTAACACCAGCTAAGACTTTGTGGATTGCAGATTCAGCGCCTGTGGAAAGTAACTCTATTGACCATAGAAGAAGACACGGGCTAATGCAGCTGGTCAATATTTTCTAATCGAGTAAAGCCTCATTGAGACAGAGGCTCAGCTGAAGTTTATCTTTTCCTCTTTTTAAAGAGAAAGAGTTTGGGAAGCAAATGAGTTTAACAAGATTTCCAAAGGGAATATTTAAACGGCTTAGAAAACAAAGTGCTTTTAATCACCTTCAAACACTTGAGAAGCACCATTTGCGATCCAAGTGATACTTGAATCGCACACCATTTTTTTTTTTTTTTTTTTTTTGTGAGACGGAGTCTCGCTCCGTCTCCCAGGCTGGAGTGCAGTGGCGCGATCTCGGCTCACTGCAAGCTCCGCCTCCCGGGTTCACGCCATTCTCCTGCCTCAGCCTCCGGAGTAGCTGGGACTACAGGCGCCCGCCACCACGCCCGGCTAATTTCTGTTTGTGTTTTTAGTAGAGATGGGGTTTCGCCGTGTTAGCCAAGATGGCTACTATCTCCTGACCTCGTGATCTGCCCGCTTCAGCCTCCCAAAGTGCTGGGATTACAGGCGTGAGCCACCGCGCCCAGCCAATTGCACACCGTTTCTAACTCTTTATTGCGCAAGTGCTCAGGGCAGACCTGGAAATCATTTTATAGCCCGGTTCTTTTTCCTGAAAATCATGAAACTGTTTCCTTTAAAATGTGTCTTCATTCCTTACCTTCCACTAATTCTGACTGGCTTTTCTCTAATAAGGAATCAGGCTAAGTTTTGATGGATGTTTTTCCTCCACCATGTCAAACAAAAACCCAGTTCTCAATAACATCTTCTTCCTCATGTCCATATCAAAGCCATTACCGAGACCTAACCATTTCCCTCCATTTCCTTATACTTTCACCTTCAAAATTCTAGTCCCAGCTTCCATCATCTCTTAGCTAGACAGCTGCAACAGGTCCTTCTGTGGTTTCCTGAATCCTTTCTAGTGCCCTTCCAATTCTCCATCCTGACAACAGAGACTGATCCCAAACAAAGTGTAGCATCTGAAGTCGGACTGAATAGGATCGCTAGCTGTGGGGGCTTTAGCTCACAAGTAATCTTAATGAGGCTCATTATCTTCCTCTACAAAACAGGATAATAGCAGTAACTGCTTCTGAGGTTTGAGGTAAGGATTAGGTGAGTGAAGTGCTTCTCATAGTGCCTGCAAATAGCAACTACTCAGCAAATATTCGGTGTGGTTACTGCTACCAGCCTATCAGGACAATCTCACTTGTTATTATAAACATGCACATGTTTATTATAAAACACTCATTCATCTGTTTATATAGGTGAAGTGCCAAATGGCTCAGGACTTTTCTTTCCCATAATTTTTGAGGCAAGCAATAATTAGAAAATGCATATGATTTAAATGAAACCAATCATACTTCTGAACAGTAAATTATACACATTATATAAAAGGAATATAAAAAATATGGGTAGATAGACAGTTTTATGGTTCTCCCCTTAAATAAGTTAACAAAATTCCTTTCATGCTCCTCCCAGTCTCTTCTCCCAAAAAAAAAAAAAAAGGATTTTTTTTTTTTTTTGAGATGGAGTCTCGCCCTGTCGCCGAGGCTGGAGTGCAGTGGCGCGATCTTGGCCCACTGCAACCTTTGCCTCCTGGGTTCAACTGATTTTCCTGCCTCAGCCTCCTGAGTAGCTAGGATTACAGGCGCCCGCCACCATGCTCGGCTAATTTTTGAATTTTTAGTAGAGTTTGAGTTTTGCCATATTGGCCAGGCTGGTCTCAAACTCCTGACCTCAGGTGATTCAGCCATCTCAGCCTCCCAAAGTGCTGGGATTACAGGCGTGAGCCACCCCACCCAACCAACAAAAAAAAAAAAAAAAAAGGATTTTTAAAGAAATAAAAATCAAGTAGCCAGAGTGGGCTATTAAGTATTCAGAGGGGCACTTTATCAGAATATGAAGAAATAATTAAATCCTTAGCTGACCAAATATAAACCATGAAAAGTCAGAAAGTAATGCTGCCCCCAAATTCTCCTCCATTGGCAACTCTTCCTAAGCACCAAAGTGTGTTTTCTGTCAGGTGATTCCTTTTATCTTAGGAGCCCCTCTAATCACTCAGAATGTGCTCTGCATTGGGTAATTCAAAAGCAAAATCTCTCACAACCGAATTTTTCAGGAAAAGCTCATTAACTCAATGTGAGGGAAGCATTCCCTGAAGCAATGAAAATAATATTTTTAAATGAAATGCCGTTTTCTTACTTTTAAAGGACCCAGGGCTGGAGTTAGAACTTCAAAAGGCTCTAAAGACTGACGAGGTTCTGATGGCCATGCCCATACCCTACTTGGTATTTCAAAATAAAATCCCCCTTATGGCCAGGCTCGGTGGGATTATGAGTGGCTCACACCTGTAATCCTAGCACTTTGGGAGGCCGAGAAGTGTGGATCATTTGAGGTCAGGAGTTCGAGACGAGCCTGGCCAACATGGTGAAACCCCCATCTCTACTAAAAATACAAATATTAGCCAGGCACGGTCGTGCATGCCAGTAGTCCCAGCTACTAGGGAGGCTGAGGCAGGAGAATCACTTCAACCTGGTAGGTGGAGGTTGCAATGAGCTGAGATCACACCACTGCACTCCAACCTGGCTGACTGAGTGAGACTCTGTCTCAAAAAACAAACAAACAACAAAAACAATTAAAAAAAACCTAAAGTAAAATAAAAGCTGCCTGAAAAGAAGGCCAAAGTTGTAGTTTTCCCGCCAATACTACATCATTGATTTTCTTGAAACAACATATATTTAATTCTTTCTTTTTTTTATTTTTGTCGATGTGCTTTCAGGAAAGTGTGTGTGTGTGTGTGTGTGTGTGCGCGCGCGCGCGTGTGTGTGTGTGAAATTGCTTTGCTGGTAACTAAGTACATGTTCAATGTGCCTACCAAGGGCTGTAAGGCAAGAACTGTAAGGACAAGGGCCTGCATATGCACATCAAACTAGTCTGGCACAGAGTGATCTAGCAAAGGTGGAATTTAGAGGCCTGGGCTCAAATCCCAGCTGAATCACTTACCAGCTGTCTGATCTTGGGCTAGTTACTCTCTCTGAGCATCAACTACCTTGTTTGTTGTTGAAACACTGATGTGTGGCGATTACAGCAGGTACACAGAAACACAGTAAGGGTCCCCTAAATGGTAACTAAATAACAGTATACAGCGATTTGCCATTAACCAACCACTTATATGTAAATAAAGCCTAAGCAAAGCACTATTGATTTCCTTAAGTAGACTAGCCTGGCACCCTTACAAATGCTTAGTTTTTCACAATTCTCTTAGCATATTTAGAGGACAAAGAATTGCTCAAAAACTCCACAAATTTTAATTTAGCAGAATCGAAGTTAATGAGTTTTCGGTATCCTAAAATGTAGAGAGAAGGAATGAAAAGAGAAGGGAAGAAAATTATATTTAAAATGACCTAAGGAAAAAATACAACAGAATACATACGATGTCAGAGGATTTTAAGCATTTGGAGAGTAAACAAAATGTTATTTCCAGGAGTATGTTTATTTTATTTTATTTTATTTTGAGACGGAGTCTCGCTCTGTTGCCAGGCTGGAATGCAGTGGCACAATCTTGGCTCACTGCAACCTCCGCCTCTCAGGTTCAAGTGATTCTCCTGCCTCACCTTCCCAAGAAGCTAGGATTACAGCCGTGCCACCACGCCCAGCTAATATTTTGGTAATTTTTTTGGTAGAGATGGGGTTTCACTGTGTTGGCCAGGCTGGTCTCAAACTCCTGGCCTCAAGTGCTCTGCCTGCCTCGGCCTCCCAAAGTATTGGGATTACAGGAGTGAGCCACTGTGCCCTGCCTGCAGGAGAATGTTTAATGTCTGCTGGGAAGACCTACTTTTCTGAGAATATGAAGGCTTTCAATGCCTGCTCAATTATTTTGTGTCTTGTCACAAGACGCAA
Organism: Homo sapiens; assembly: GCF_000001405.40. Lineage (NCBI taxonomy): Eukaryota > Metazoa > Chordata > Mammalia > Primates > Hominidae > Homo > Homo sapiens. Next base: position 41,211 of record NW_012132916.1, on the reverse strand, counting down.
AGGATATCCTTGTTCTTAGGAAATACACACTAAAAATAATAATATTTAATACTGAGGATGATTTTTTTAAAAAAGGAAGCTGGGTGCAGCAGTTTATGCCTGTAATCCCAACACTATGGGACACCAAGCTTCCAGGAGGAATGATTGAGCCCAGGAGTTTGAGACCAGCCTGAGCAACATAGCAAGACCCGTCTCTGTTAAAAAATTTAAAAATTAGGGAGGCGTGGTGGTGCATGTGCCTATAGTACCAGCCACTCAGGAGGCTGAGGCAGGAGGATCACTTGAGCCCAGGAGTTACAGCGAGCTATGATGGTGCCACTGCACTCCAGCCGGGGAGAAAGTCTCTTAAAAAAACAAAAACAAAACAAAAAACAAAAAAACAAAAAAAACCCTCCTATAAATCAGTAATAAAAAGACAAATAATCCTGTAAGAAAATGTGGAAGACTTAATGAACACTAGAAAATACACCAAAAGTAAATAACCATTTCAAAAAGATTGAGACCTTGTCTCTAAAAGAAAGGAAAACATGGCTCACGCCTGTAATCCCAGCACTTTGGGAGGCCGAGGTGGGTGGATCATGAGGTCAGGAGATCGAGACCATCCTGGCTAACAAGGTGAAACCCCGTCTCTACTAAAAATACAAAAAATTAGCCGGGCGCGGTGGCGGGCGCCTGTAGTCCCAGCTACTCGGGAGGCTGAGGCAGGAGAATGGCGTGAACCCGGGAAGCGGAGCTTGCAGTGAGCCGAGATTGCGCCACTGCAGTCCGCAGTCCGGCCTGGGCGACAGAGCGAGACTCCGTCTCAAAAAAAAAAAAAAAAAAAAAAAAAAGAAAGGAAAACAAGAGATGCTGTCATTTAACACATCTGAGGACACTTCCTCACCCCTGGGGTAGTCATTCATTCAACAATCTACTGTCAGCCCTTGTATTAGATACTGAGGATAAAATGACCAAGATTCATGTGTGCCCCTCACTCACAGGGAGCATAGAGTTGGTGATGGGAGGGAGAAAAAGTGTACCCTTGAGGACATTTATTGAGACGTACCTATGTGCCAGGCACTGCTTTAAAACATTATATATGTGGCCGGGCACAGTGGCTCATGCCTGTAATCTCAGCACTTTGGGAGGCCGAGGCGGGTGGATCACCTGAACTCAGGAGTTCAAGACCAGCCTGACCAACATGGTGAAACCCTGTCTCTACTAAAAATACAAAAATTAGCCAGGCGTAGTGGCGGGTGCCTGTAATCCAAGTTACACGGAAGACTGAGGCAGGAGAATCACTTGAACCCAGGAGGTGGAGGTGGTAGTGAGCCAAGATCGCACCATTGTGCTCCAGCCTGGGCAACAAGATCAAAACTCCATCCCCCCCGACAAAAAAAAATCATATATACAAGTGGATTTATTATGGACTTCAGTGACAGTACTGAGTCAAAAGCTATGTAATTCTCATCTCTCCTTTTCTTACAAAGTTACCATTGAAAACTGTTAACTGAAAAATGGCAACAACCATTAAATTTAGGTTTCTTGAAAAAAAGTCTATGTAAGCCATTTTAAAATAGGTTTGTGTTCTTCAGAAATGTCATTATCATGAAAGACAAAGAAAGGCTGAGGAACTGATCAAAATCAAAGGAGGCATAATTATTAAATGTAACATGCAACCTTGGTCTGGATTCTGTACTGAAGAAAAAAAATGCAACAAAAGTTCTTTTTGGGTCAATTGACAAAATTGGAGGATAGATGGTAGATTCAATAAAAATATTGATCAATATTTAATTACCTGCAGCCGGGCGCAGTAGCTCACGCCTGTAATCCCAGCACTTTGGGAGACCTAGGCAGGCAGATCACAAGGTCAAGAGATTGAGACCATCCTGGCCAACATGGTGAAACCCTGTCTCTACTAAAAATGCAAAAATTAGCTGGGCATGGTGGCATGTGCCTGTAGTCCCAGCTACTCGGGAGGCTGAGGAAGGAGAATCGCTTAAACCCAGGAGACGTAGGTTGCGGTGAGCCAAGATTATGCCATTGCACTCCAGCCTGGGTGACAAGAATGAAACTCCATCTCAAAAAAAAAAAAAAAAAAAAGAAAGTTTTGCATATGACAAATGACAAAGTAAATAGGCAGACGTTAACAGTTTGTGAATCTATGAAAAAGGGATGTGAGAGTTTTTTAATACTATTCTTATAATTTTTCTTGACACTTGTAATGATTTATGAAAAGAAGTTTAAAAATTACATACATATAAAAAACAGCATTCCTAATAGCACAAAGGTAGGAATGAAAATTCCGAGCACACACCCTCTGCAGCTGGGTATCATTAAGAATGATGTCCCATTGTGACCAAATATTAAAAGTTTGATCCGCCATGGTGAATTTCCATGAATTTGGGCAATAAAATGAAACATTCTCCCAGTCTAGGGTTTTATTATCATTCCCCTGGGAATGTATACTTGGTCAGATATTCTTTATTTTGGCACCAGGTCACCCGCCATTCCAGAATGTGTTTTGAAGTCAATTCATCTCTTAGGCCATCCAAATATTGAAAATGTCATTAAAATATAAGGTAAAACTGAACAGGTTTTTATCCTGAAATTCCCCCAGTCCATTCCTATTTCTCTTCATCATTGGGGAATTTTTGCTTGTAATCTGAAGTCCCTAATGAGCTTAGACTCTTGATTGGTCAAACATAACTTTGCCCCGATTTAAAGTTTTTTCCTCATTTAACAATGTGATTTATATGCTAACTTACACATATCTCAGGAGGTGAAGGATTCAAATACCAGCCATGACTTGGGACTTTAAAAGAAATAACTTTGTGTAGGCTCAGTTATACATGGAGAGAAAATTCTTACCTCATGGAGATGATGTAAGAGACAATTATCATTTGCAAAACGTCTCAAGGTCTTAAGATGAAAGGGGTCATTTGGGTGTATCAGACTGTCATTTTTATTATGGGTTCTCTCACATTTCTTTGATATTATACAGAGCACAATCATTTTAGCCTGTTTCCTCAGAAGTCTATGAAGGTGGTTGCCTCATTTTGCCCATTAAACAAATGAATTTACTTTCCCTTGGCTGCAGGAAATGTTCCTATCAATGGAATAAAAAATAAAGAAACTCATAGGCCTAGCCATGTTGCTTCTCCTTTATTTTCACTGGGTGACTAACTTAGCTATTTTATTTTCAATTATTGTTTGGCTTTATTTTTTATAAGAGATGAGGCCTCGGTCTGTTCTGAGGCTGGAGCACAGTGGCCATTCAGAGGCACAATCATGGCACGCTACAGCCTTGAACTCCTGGGTTCTGGATCCTCCTGCCTCAGCCTCCCAAGTAGCTGGGTCTACAGGGGTGCACCCCCATGCCTGGCTTGTTTTACTCAATTTTTGTCATGTTATTGTTTCAGTTTAATTTCATTAAACAAACTAATTTTACCTTAGTATGTTTGAATCATAAGCACATGGCCAAATAAATTCCACCAATAGTTATTCAGCACCTACCATGTGTTAGGCACAGAGAGAAAACGGATAGACAAATAGACTCAGTCACTGATCTCATGAAGCTCAGAGTCCAGTCAAGGAGAAACAAGAGAAACAATCACACGATTAAGTATTTAATTTTATTTTTCTGTTTTTATTTTTAAATGTTTTTAGATGGAGTCTTGCTCTCTTGCCCAGGCTGGAGTACAGTGGCCCGATCTCAGTTCACTGCAACCTCCGCCTCCTCAATTCAAACTTTTCTCCTGCCTCAGCCTCCCAAGTAACTGGGATTATTGGTGTGTGTCACCATGCCTGGCTAATTTTTTGTGTTTTTAGTAGAGATGGGGTTTCACCATGTTGGCCAGACTGGTCTTGAACTACTAACCTCAAGTGATCCGCCTGCCTTGGCCTCCCAAAGTGCTGGGATTACAGGCGTAAGCCACTGCACCCAGCCAAATACTTCATTTTAAAGTTTGGCAAAGGCATAAACAGAAAGTAAAGAATGAGACAAGGGATTATAAAGATGGGCTTGATGTAAATCAATTTCTAATAGATCTTTCCAGTTCTGGTTGTAATGAATGTGATCACAGATTTTTCTCATAGGTCAGTTATTTTAATAACACATTAATTTGTCAGAAACCATGCATCTAGGCCACAGGAAGAGTTCAGAATCATTTTCTTATCAATGCTTCTTATTTTCTCAGAGTTTTAATATTTTTGAGGATTACATGATGAAATGGAATATTGCAACTGTAGAAAAAAATGGCAAATACTGAGCCAAAATTGGTTCTTACATACTTGTTGGTAAAAATCAAGAGGAAATTAAATATTTTTTAAAAGCACAAAATAAACAATATTGTAGCAATGAATTAAGGAACAAACTATAGGACTCACTTCCATTCCTGAGATAACATCTAGTTAGTTATTAAATGCTTTCTATCTCTATAGAGTAAAGGCTCAATAAATGATACATTTGTTGGGCTCATACTGCCTTTTTCACTTAAAAGTATTGAATAATCTTGCATAGAAATGACCCCCTTCTGGTACACATCCAAGATTGAGTACTGAAATAACTGTAAAACTCTCATAGGCAGTCTCTTAAGTACAGTTACACATCGCTTAACGAGGGGGTCATGTTCTGAGAAATGTACAGGTAGCAGATTTCCTCATTTTTTGCACACCGCAGAGTACACTCACAAAAACCTAAATGGAACAGCCTACTACACACCTAGGTTTTATGGGATAGCCTGTTGTTCCCAGGCTGCAAACCTGTGCACCATGTTACTGTGCTGAGCACTCTGGGCAATTGCAACAGAATGGTAAGTATCTGTGTATCCAAACATATCTAAATATAGAAAATGGGCCAGGCCTGGTAGCTCACGCCTGTAACCCCAGCACTTTGGGAGACTGAGAGAGGAGGATCCCTTGAGCCCAGGAGTTTGAGACCAGACTAAGCAACATAATGAGGTTCTTGTCTTGATGAATTTTTTTTAAAAAAACTAGCTGGGCGTGGAGGTGCACACCTGTGGTTCCAGCTACTTGGGAGGCTGAGTTAGGAGGATTGCTTAAGCCCGTGAGGTGGAGGTTGCAGTGAGCCATGATCACACCACTGCACTCCAGTATAGGAAACAGTAAGACCCTGTCTCGAAAGAAAGAAAGAAAGAAAGGAAAGAAAGAAAGATGAAAGAAAGAAAGAAAGAAAGAAAGAAAGAAAGAAAGAAAGAAAGAAAGAAAGAAAATGTATAGTAAAAATACAGTACTAAAATCGAATGGGACCAATGTTGTATATGCAATTTGTCACTGACTGAAACATTGTTATGTGTTGCGTGGCTTGTGTTAATAGGTCTAAATAACCACAGAGGACTAGACATTCATTGGACCTATCACCTGCTTCTTAAATAAGCATGTGATATTAGGCCCTGGAGGTAACAATCAGCACTTAAAATACTCCCTGGCACATACTGACTGCCCCAAAATATTTGTTGATAAATGAATGGATGGATCAATGAATGAGAAAAAGAAATCTATCTATTTGTAGGAGAAAAGAGGGTTATATGCCAAAAACTAAGCAACCAAACCCAGTTTTTGAATTCTTCTACTCAGCATCTCAAATTTAAAACTTTTGGTTCAACAGCCTGTGTTTACATAGGCTATTGTTTAGAAGAGTTGATACAGCTTTCAAACAAAGCAGCATGTACAACACTTGTTGCAGCTTTGTATATGGTAGCTAAAGGTTACAGCCTGTAATCCCAGCACTTTGCGAGGCCAAAGTGTGAGGACTGTTTGAGGCCAGGAGTTCAAAACCAGCCTGGGCAACATAGCAAGACCCTGTCTCTATAAAAATCTTTCAAAATTAGCTGGGTGTGGTGGTGCGTGTCTGTAGTCCTAGCTACTTGGGAGGCTGAGGCAGGAGGATCTCTTGAGCCCAGGAGTTCCTGTTACAGTGAGCTGTGATTGCACCACTGCACTCCAGCCTGTGTTACAGAGCAAGACCCTATCTCAAAAAAAAAAAAAGTTAACAACCTAAATGACTCCCTGTAGGAGCTTGGTTAAATAAATTACAGAACCAAAAAATGAAATAGTTTGCAGCTGTTTAATAATTTTAAGTACACTTCCTCAGATACCTGAGAAGGTATTTGTTGCTGTTGCTTCATTTCACTGATTAAACAAATTCCCCCCACCACCCATTTACAGGTAGGGTTCATAGCAATAAAATGAAGAATGAAAAATTTTGGTCATGTTGCCCTGTTTAAGAAGCAGCTTAAATATTTTCTGATGCGGAACAACCTCTAAGATACATTTCTGAGCAAAAATAGCAACGGTAATATAGTACCATTTGTGTAAATTAAAGGGAAGATCTATGCACAGAATATCTTAGAAAGTACACACAAGGAAATGTGCAACAACTAAACTGTTGCCTTTGGAGAGAGGAACTGAGATGAGTAGGATGGATACCCTCTTCTCACTGTATACCTCTTTGTATGGTTGGCATTTTTCTAAAAAAACACACATATTTTTACTTAGTCAAAATTTCATTTTTATATTTAAGGGATAAACTCTTGGAAGATTTCACTTAAAAACAAAACAACTTAAAAGAAGATGGATCTTGGAGCAATTCCACCCTCATTCTGATATTCTATAGATGCTGCTGTATTTTTAGAGTGCACAGAACTGTTTCTGGATTTCTATCACCCTTACCAGCTAGGACAATTTGGATACCAGTTACAGAAGTTCCAATTTAAACAATAAATAGAATCTAGGGCCTTACCTAGCAGAAAAGTCTAGAAGCAGAGTATGCTTCACATGTGATTTGATTCCAGGCTTGACCCCTGTTTCTCTTCAATTCTTTCAATCTGGCCTCCTCTAAATTAACACTGTCCCCAGGCTTGGATCCCCTCTTGGTGGCAAAAAAAAAAAAAAAAAAAAAGTCGCCCCCCACCCCACCAGGCCCTGTACCTACACCATCATCACCAAACTGTGCAGAATGAAGGGTGCCTCTGTCCCTGCATTACAAGTACAACCAACCAGCATATTTTATTTATTTTTATTTTTTGAGACAATCTTGCTCTGATGCCCAGGCTGGAGTGCCGTGGTATAATTTCAGGTGACTGCAACCTCCACCTCCTGGATTGAAGTGATTCTCCTGCCTCAGCCTCCTGAGTAGCTGGGACTACAGGCATGCGCCACCACACCTGGCTAATTTTCGTATTTTTGTAGAGATGGAGTTTTGTCATGTTGGACAAGCTGGTCTCAAACTCCTGGCATCAAGGGATCCACCAGCCTTGGCCCCCCAAAGTACTGGGACTACTTCCCTGTATGTTGCGGGAAGTCAGGAACATGAAACGGAGGGACCGGCTGAAGCCATGGCAGAAGAACGTGGATTGTAAATCTTTCATGGACATTTATTAGTTCCCCAAATTAATACTTTTATAATTTCTTATGCCTGTCTTTACTGCAGTCTCTGAACATGGATTGTGAAGATTTCATGCACACTTATCACTTCCCCAATGGATACCCTTGTCATTTCCTATGCTTGTCTTTACTTTAATCTCTTAATCCTGTCATCTCGTAAGCTGAGGAGGATGTATGTCGCCTCAGGACCCTGTGATGATTGCGTTAACTGCACCAATTGTAGAGCATGTGTGTTTGAACAATATGAAATCTGGGCACCTTGAAAAAAGAAAAGGATAACAGCAATGTTCAGGGAACAAGAGAGATAACCTTAAACTCTGACCGCCGGTGAGCTGGGCGGAACAGAGCCATATTTCTCTTCTTTCAAAAGCAAATGGGAGAAATATCGATGAATTATTTTTCTCAGCAAGGAATATCCCTGAGAAAGAGAATGCGTCCCTGAGGGTGGGCCTCAAAAATGGCCCCCTTGGGTGTGGCCATTTTTTATGGTCAAGCTGTAGGGATGAAATAAGCCCCAGACTCCCATAGCGCTCCCAGGCTTATTAGGACGAGGAAATTCCCGCCTAATAAATTTTTGGTCAGACTGGTTGTCTGCTCTCAAACCCTGTCTCCTGATAAGATGTTATGAATGACAATGCATGCCGAAACTTCATTAGCAATTTTAATTTCGCCCCATCCTGTGGTCCTGTGATCTCGCCCTGCCTCCATTCGTCTTGTGATATTCTATTACCTTGTGAAGCACGTTATCTCTGTGACCCATACCCTATTTGTACACTCCCTCCCCTTTTGAAAATCACTAATAAAAACTTGCCAGTTTTATGGCTCAGGGGGCATCACGGAACCTACCGACATGTGATGTCTCCCCTAGACGCCCAGCTTTAAAATTTCTCTCTTTTGTACTCTGTCCCTTTATTTCTCAAACTGGCCGACACTTAGGGAAAATAGAAAACAACGTACGTGAAATATCAGGGGTGAATTTTGCCTGATATCTGGCTGAATTTCCCCCGATACCTGTAGTTACAGCTACTTGGGAGGCTGAGGCAGAAGAATCACTTGAACCCGGGAGGCGGAGGTTGCAGTGAGCCGAGATCATGCCACTGTACTCCAGCCTGGGTGACAGTGAGACTCCATCTCAAAAAAAAAAAAAAGAAAAAGAAAAAAGAATACTGTTTTACCATGTGGTCATTTCACTTATTAATACAAAGTATTAAATGAGCAAAGGAGCACCCATCTATGATATGCACAATCACCAAGTCAAGATAGAAACCCTGCCCCAACTCAGTATCATGAATGTCCCATTTGGATTCCTTTCCCCCACGGAAGGAGTTCCCCATGGTCCTGGTCAGCTTCTATCTGTGGTTTTGAAATAGAAATCACAGCTTTGAATACTGCCGAATTTGCTGGCCTTTTCTAAACCTGGAATCTGGCAGAACCAACTACTCCCAAAATGCAAGCTGCATTTTCACTATTGAGGCTTTCAGATGGTTATGTCAGATTGTTTGAGTTGTTAGACAGCCAGTCAGCCAGTCAATAAATACAAACTGTGCCCTTTCTGTGTGCCACATTCTGAGTAGGTACTTAGCATGCAGTAGTTAACAAGACAGGGTCCCAGCTGCCCCCCTACCCCTTGCCCAGCTTGGTCCAGCAGGGAAGGCAGACGGCAAACATATTTATTTAAACAGCTACATACAAACTGCAAGAAATCCTGTGTGATTTGTCCCTTGCTCCTGTCTTTCAGCTCCTCAAGGATGCCTCCCCCCTCATTCTCTGCAAGTCAGACACTGGATCTTTTATTTCCTAAAACTAGAGCTGTTTCTTTTCACCCCTGTGAACAAAGACTCTTCCCTCTATAAGGGAAACACCCTTCCAGTACCATATTCTTTTGTTGTTTTTTTGAGACAGTCTAGCTCTGTCAACCAGTTTGGAGTGCAGTGGCAGGATCTTGGCTAACTGCAACCTCTGCCGCCCAAATTCAGGCGATTCTCGTGCCTCAGCCTCCCTGCTAGCTGGGATTACAGGGATTACATCCCATGGCCAGCTAATTTTTGTATTTTTAGTAGATATGGGTTTTACCATGTTGGCGAGGTTGGTCCCAAACTCCTGGCCTGAAGTGTTCCTCCTGCCTCAGCCTCCCAAAGTGCTGGGATTATAGGCATGAGCCACTGTGCCTGGCCTGCAGGAGTATGTTTAATGTCTGCTGGAAAAACCTACTTTTCTGAGAATATGAGGGCTTTCAATGCCTGCTCAATTATTTTGTCTCTTGTCACAAGACACAAAGGATATCCTTGTTCTTAGGAAATACATACTAAAAATAATATTTAATATTGAGGATGATTGGTTAAAAAAAAGGAACCTGGGTGCAGTGGCTTATGCCTGTAATCCCAAAACTATGGGAGGCCTGGCCTCTTCCAGTACCATATTAATCACTTCTTCTTCTCTGGATTTCAGTTGAAACTACATTTCCTAAGGGAATACTTCCCTCAGATTCGATCAGGTGTCTTTATAGTGTCTTCCAGCCATGTCTGCATTTTCCGCTTGGCACACAGTCCCTTTAGAATTAGACATTTATTAGGCAGATATTTGATTACTATCTGTCTCCCCAGCCAGACTCTATGCCCCATGAGGGTAAGAGTATTTGCCTATTGTTTTCCACTTTGCTTTTCCATGCCACACCAAGCAGACTGTCATCTCAGGGCCTTGGTTCTTGCTGATCCTACTGCCCAGAACACTGTCTCCCAGATAGCTACTTGATCCACACTCTCACTGTCTTCAAACCTCTGCTCAGTTCTGAACTTAGCCACGAGGCTTCCCCTTATCACCTTGTACATAACAACAATCCTAACCTTGGGCATCAAAAGTCCCCCTTTCCCCCTCCATAGCACCTATCTTCAGAGACTCTATTTTCTACTTTGTGTATTGCCACAGTAGAATGTAAGCTCCATGAGAAGAACGCCTTTGCCCAATTAGTTAAGGGCTTTTCCCCCACTAGTTCAAAAGTGCCTGACATATCTTAGGTGCTCAATAAATATTTATTGAATTAAAGGACGAATCATTACCTAAGGTGTAGCAAATTGGCACATGATAAGCCTTGCAAATATTTTGGGAATGCCTGCATGAGGACGTACACGTGCTGCTAAAACAAATACAAGACATTTAACCTAGTTGGAGGAGTCACGTAAGGTAGAATGGAATAAGAAAGAGGGGGCTGGGCACAGTGGCTCAAGCCTATAATCCCAGCACTTTGGGAGGCTGAGGCGGGTGGATCACTTGAGACCAAGAGTGCAAGACCAGCCTGACCAACATCGTGAAACCCCATCTCTACTAAAAATACAAATATTAGCCAGGCATGGTGGTGTAGGCCTGTAAACCCAGCTACTCCAGAGGCTGAAGTGGGAGTATCTCCTGGGCTTGAGCCCAGGAGGTGGAGCTTGCAGTGAGCTGAGATCATGCCACTGCACTCCAACCTAGGCAACAGAGTAAGATCCTGTTTCAAAAATTAAAAATAAAAAAATAAAAAAATAAAAAGAAAGAGGGTTTCAGCCCTTTTGATGATGTTAATCCAGTAGGTCAAATGTCAGTCAAACTTTCTTACAGTTGGTGGTTAGACTAGAATGTACAAACAGGAATGGGAATAGTGTTAAACCCTTCACTCCCCAAATTTCCATCTCTCCCAACCCCCTTGCTCTTCAACATATTTTCATTCAGCTGGCAGTTTTTGTAGTTCTGCAGTTTCTTGCCAAGAACAGAGATTGAAAATGTCCCACAGAGAAATCAGCATCAGGGTTAACCAACTGGAAGCCAAACCCTGCAGTTATTTTCCAGCGTTCCTCAACTCCCAGGAGAATCAGAGCAAAAAAAAAAAGGAGCAGAGGTTAGAGGGCAGGGTTCTAGAAGTGTCATTCTCTTACATACAATGTCTGAGTTGTGTGGGTGGAGGGACTGTAGAGGGTATGGAACAGAGAGCCTTGTGCCTGAATCTTTTGGGAGATGAATTTCCTCTCCCTCTTTACATGTTCTGGTCTTTTACTTACTAATGATACTAAAGGAGCTATATGGTTTCTCCTGGAGCTGTGTCAGGATTTGCTCCATAAATTACCTGGGAGGATGCCATATGCAAATACAAGAAGAAATAGCAGTCTTAGTATTCATGGTGACAGCTTAGTTATCCTCAGGGGAAGGGAAGGAGAAGTAGGTATCTTTTTTCTTAATAAAGTTTTTCCTATCACCTCCGAATTCCATAGCTGTTCTTGGAAACAGGTTGGAATCAGCCTAGAAATTTTAGTAACAACAATTTAGCCTAAATTTCAACATAATGCCATATAATAGTTATAGTACATTGCTATACTCCTTTGGAAACTACTTTAAAGATCTATTCACACAATACTTTTCTGGGATGTAGGAAGCCTCTCAAGGAGATAAAAGCCATTCAAAATATGATTGTTATCTCCCTAAACCCAGATCAGTTTGCTTTTAATGTAGTTATCACTAAGAAGATTAGCAACACTCAATTCATACACAAAGAAAGAAAGAAAGGAACAAACTATATATTAACCATCAACATCATTATTGTTAGGCTAAATGACACCTCATGTGAAAAGTATTTCATAATAATAGCAATCATACTCATTTTATGGTTGAGGACAGTGGAGCTGATATAGGTTATAAGACTTCTCTGAGGGCTGGGCTCAGGCCTGTAATCCTAGCATGCTGGGAGGCTGCAGTGGGTGGATCGCCTGAGGTCAGGAGTTCCTGGTTCAAGCGATTCTCCTGCCTCAGGCTCCCTCCCAAGAAGCTGGGATTACAGGTGCCCGCCACCACACCTGGCTATTTTTGTATTTTTAGTAGAGACACGGTTTCACCGTTGACCAGGCTGTTCTTGAACTCCTGACTTCAAGTGATCCACCCGCCTTGGCCTCCCAAAGTGCTGGGATTATAGGCATGAGCCACCATGCCTGGCTGAGCATGGGCTTTTATAACTGGCAGAATCAAAGCCCTGTGCTTTCACATAATGTCTAGACATCCTCAGGCAAGTCTTTTTTTTTTTTTTTGGAGACATTGTTTTGCTCTGTTGCCCGGGCTAGAGTGCAATGGCATGATCTCGGCTCACTGCAACCTCTGCCTTCCAGGTTAAAGAGATTCTCTGAGATCGTGCCATTGCACTCCAGCCTGGGCGACAGAGCGAGACTCCGTCTCAAAACAAACAAACAAACAAACAAAAAAACCCATGCTCTAAATCAAGATGTTCTGAGCACTATAATATTTTTATTTTCTGTAAGTTATATGTTTATATTATATACCACATTCTATATTATTTTAATATGTCACAACTTTGTAATGTTGCCAGAGTGGTTTTTTAAAAATTATTTTAGGCCGGGCACAGTGGCTAGCACTTTGAGAGGCTGAGGCAGGTGGATCACTTGAGGTCAGGAGTTTGAGACTAGCCTGGCCAACATGGTGAAACCCCGTCTCTACTAAAAACTACAAAAATTAGCCAGGCGTGGTGGCAGGCAACTTTAATCCCAGCTTCTCAGGAGGCTGAGGCAGGAGAATCACTTCAACCTGGGATGTGGAGGTTGCAGTGAGTCGAGATTGCACCACTGCACTCCAGCCTGGGCAACAGAGGAAGACTCTGTCTCAAAAAATATATATGTATTTAAAATTTATTATTATATATATATATTTTAAAAAAACAGGTCTCACTATATTGCCCAGGCTGGTCTTGAACTTCTGGACACAAGCAATCCTCCCGCCTCAGCCTCTCAAAGTGCTGGGATTGCAGACGTGAACCACTGTGCCTGGCCTTTCTTTTTTTTTAAATGAATTTTAGGTAAAATTGATATAAAATAAAACTCCCCATTTAACCATTGTAAAGTATATGACTCAGTAGCATTTAATAAATTCATAATGTTGTGCAACCATCACCACCGTCTAGTTCCAGAACCTTTTAATCCCCTCCCAAAATAAATCCCATAACCCTTAAGGAGCACCATCCTCACTCCTCCTGTCTTCAGCTCCTGACAACTACTAATGTATTTCCTGTTTCTGTGGATTTGCCTATTCTGGACATTTCATATAAATGCGATCATACAATATGTGGTCTTTTGCATTTTCCTTCTTCCACTCACCAATGTTTTCAAGGTTGTTTTATGTTTGAGCATGTATCAGTACTTTCTTTCTTTTTATGGTTGAATAATATTTCATTGTATGGATATACCGCATTTATTTATCTATTAATCCATTGAGGGACATTTGGGTGTTTCTGAATTTGGCTGTTGTGAATGTTACTTCTATGAACATTTTTGTACAAGTGGTTTGTTTGCACACCTGTTTTCAGTTCTGTTGCATATATATATACCTAGGAGTGGAATGGCTAGGTCATACAGTAATCCTATGTTTGACTTATTGAGGAACTGCCCACTGTTTTCCACAGCAGCTACACCATTCTACAGTCTCTCCAGCAATGTATGAGGGTTTCAATTTCTTTGCATTCTCACCAACATTTGTTATTCTCATTTAAAAAAAAAATATACTCATCCTAGTGGATGTATAGTGGTATCTCCTTGTGATTTTGATTTGCATATCTATAATGACTAATGATGTTGAACATATTTTTCATGGGCTTCAGAGTGTTTTAAGATAAATTTTAATTTTAGAAAAGTCTTAGGTTTATAGAAAATCTGCAAAGATTATATAACAGTATGTTAGTAACACAATCCTCATGTAAAATGTACTGGAAGGTATCTCTATGCTTCCTCCACTTCTTCTGTCTTAGGCCTTAAATTTTTTGATAGAGAAACATGTCATTGGAGCACACTATAGTTATATATTTATTTAGAGATGGTGTCTCACTCTGTCACCTAGGCTGGAGTGCAGTGGTGTGATCATAGCTCACTGCATTCTTCAGCTCCTGGGCTCTAGGGATCTTCCCACTGCAGCCTCTTGAGTAACTAGTACTACAGACATACACCACCATGCTCGGTTAATTTTTATTTTTGTAGAGACAGGGTCTCCTTTTGTTGCCCAGGCTGGTCTCGAACTCCTGGCCTCAAGGGATCCTCCCACCTTGGCTTCCTGAGTAGCTGGGATTACAGGCATGAGCCACTGTACCTGGCTCACACTATAATTACTAATGAAGGCTCTAGCAATATTGCTTATTTTGCCTTAAAACCATAGGGTAGATATTACAGGGATGTTAGAAATTAATAAATGGAAGTATATAGCACAGTGGTTAAGAACATGGTCTTGGTCCTTAGTCTCAGTGACAACAGGTCTGAATACTGGTTATGTCATCTTTGGCAAGATACTTAACCTCTCTGAACCTCATTCTAAATTTGTAAAACAGGGATAGCATCTACCTTATAGTGTCATGAGGATCAAATGAGAATGGCATTGAAAGCACTTATGTGCAGTGTTAGGCACATTGTAAACACTCAATAAATGAGATGTTTACTTTGTTTGCTTGCATTTACTTCATTTTATTTTTGAGATAGACTTGCTCTGTTGCCCAGGCTGGAGTGCAGTGGCACAAACATGGCTCACTGCAGCCTCAACCTCCCGGGCTCAAGCGATCTGCCTGCCTCGGCCTCCCAAAGTGCTGGGATTACAGGTATGAGCCACCATGCTCAGCCTACATTTAAAAGCACAGAACAATCACCTAATTTGTCTGTGTTCTCATAGTTGTTTAGGATCCATGGAAGACCATCATTCCATCTCAAGGTCCTTCATTCATTCACGCATGTATTCATTCATTTTTCAAATATTCATCGAGTCCATGTTGTGGGTCAAGTTGGCAAGGAGCTACCAAGGTAAATAGTAGTCAAAATCATTGAACCAGAAGCAGAAAAACCTAGAATCAAACCCCAACTGCCATTTCCTAGGTTTGTGATGCTCTACAAGTTACATAGCCTTATCAAGCCTCTGTTTCCTCACCTGTAAAATGGGAATGCTAATACTCCCTGCCTTATAGGGTGCAGAGGATTAAATACATGTATCACATAACGCATTTACCAAAATGCTCAGCACCATGAGCACTCCCTCAAAAAACGTTAGCCATTGTTGCTATTGTGGTCATGATTTTTGTTAAGACAAAGACAAATTATTGTAAAGATTTAATGTGACAGTAAATGCAAAGATTTGTAGCAGTGCATGCCATGTTGTAAATGTGTCTCCATATAAATGTTATTCTTCTTTTGATTTGTTTTTCATCCATTTAAAAATGTAAAGCCATTCTTAGCTCATGAGTCAGACAGGGATAGGTTAAGGAATGGATTGACTATGGGTTGTAACCCCTGGCATAGGGCATTGTAGGCAGAAATGATAATTTTTATTTTATTTTATTTTATTTTTTTTGAGACAGAGTCTCACTCTGTTGCCCAGGCTGGAGTGCAGTGGCACTATCTAGGCTCACTACAACCTCTGCCTCCCAGGTTCAAGCGATTCTCCTGCCTCAGCCTCCCAAGTAGATGGGTTTACAGGTATGTACCACCACGCCTGGCTAATTTTTGTATTTTTAGTAAAGACGGGTTTTCACCATGTTAGCCAGGCTGGTCTCCAACTCTTGGCCTCAAGTGATCCACCTGCCTTGGCCTTCCGAAGTGCTGGGATTACAGGCGTGAGCCACTGTGACAGGCCCAGAAAGGATAATTATGGTTTCATGAAAAGTTTGTTTCAACCATATGTATATATGTGTATGTGTGTGTGTGTGCTAGTGATAAAAATACATCTCCTATTGCAAACAGCAATCAGAAAAGTTTGAAAAACATGACTCTAGAGAAGGTTCTCAGCTATCTGGATAGCAGTATCAGGAAATACCAGCTTGCCTTAGCAAGCAGATTGCATAGCTTTAATAGTTTCAGGCTTTAGTGGTATCAATTCAAAAAGTGAAGTCATACTGAGATTATATGATAAAATTAATAACTTAAGGAAGGTAAGTCTAGTCTAAAACAGTCTAGTCTCAAGCCAGGTAACCCTGTATTGTAAGTGAGTTAAAAAAGAAAAAAAGATTGTTTTCTAGTTTTTGCTTCCATCACTCAGCTGTGAGTATTCCCAGCACTCTCAGAGTTCTAGAGGCAAGGTCACAAGATCAAGGTCAAACATCTGAAAAATGTAGATGCTGTGAGTTTGGAAGCAGAAACATTCCCAAGCATATGCCAGCTTGTGCATTCAATAAAGCAGAGGGCTAACTTAATAATGAAAATTGCAGGATCTTCCAACACTTGGCTTAATTCAGCAGTTCTCAGCTGCATCTAAAATCCCTGGGGTACTCCAACTCGGGCAGGCTGAATATCCAAGCCAGGAGTGTCAGGAATGTTCAGGACACAAGGACTCCAAATTTGGGCACTGACTCCCCCGGGGATGTTGCTCATAACCACTCTGGGTTTGTCTAAGTCTCCCCTCAGTTAGGCAACAGTCCATAAAAATGAGTTTAAAATTCTAGGAACGTGCTAAATCTGGAAAGTGAGTAATACATTATCTTTCTGAGTCCTCATTCATCTGGCTATACAGTTTGGTGGGGGCCAATTTTCCAAAGATGGCACAGTTCAAGGAGCAAGGTTGCTCAGACTCCAGATTGCTTCGTTATCCCGAGTCATTTTTCAAAACCCCACCTAGTGTTTGCTGGATCAGCTTTGTGGCAAGATAGCATTGTCCTTTATGGAACTATATATTCACATCGTGGGCAACTTTAACCACCTTAGAACTCTGTGAATGCCTCCATAAAACATATCTTTGAGTATCATAATGTAATCATAAAGCTGGACTTTGTCTTTCACTTCTCAAAATACTTGTAAAATAAATTAGAGGAGAGGAGACAAGAAATTCTTCTAACAATGGCACTTTTAATTTCTAATGCCATGTTTACAAATTAAAATCCTCCCTAATGAGATGTCCTCCACGGTAACCTGGGTTTCCCTGTCATTGACCTTACCAAGTACTGATCTTTTTTCTTGTTTCAATATCAAATTGGGAGGTAGGCTTCCTCCGGGGGTTGGGGTGGGGGGGAAGTGTCTTTTAGTGCTGTGCCATCAGTCCCTACAAGGAGTTGACAAAATAAGTGTTTAATCAATAATTGCTAAAAAAAAAAAAAAAAAAAAAAAAAAAAGGCCAGCTGTGGCCAGGTATGCTGGCTCATGCTTGTAATCTCAGCACTTTGGGAGGCTGAAGTGGGTGGATCACTTGAGGTCAGGAGTTCGAGACCAGCCTGGCCAACATGATGAAACCCAGTCTGTATTAAAATACAAAAAATTAGCTGGGCATGGTGGCAGGTGCCTGTAATCCCAGCTGCTCAGGAAGCTGAGGCAGGAGAATTGCTTGGAGGAAAAAAAAAAGTCAGATGTGGTGGCTTACACTTGTAATCTCAGTACTTTGGGAGGAGGAGGCGGGAGAATGGCTTGAAGCCAGGAGTTCAAGAACAGCCTGGGCAACATAGTGAGACTCAGTCCCTGCAAAAAATAAAAAAATTAGACAGGTTGGTTAGTGTGTGCCTGTGGCTGAGCTATGTGGGAGGCTGAGGTGGGAGGATTGTTTGAGCCCAGGAGTTGGAGGCTGTAGTGAGCCATGATTGTGTCACTGCACTCCAGTCTGGGTGACAGAGTGAGATGCTATCTCAAAACAAACAAAAATTGCTGGGCTGGGCACGGTGGCTCATGCCTATAATCCCAGCACTTTGGGAGGCAGAGATGGGCAGATTGCTGGAGCCCAGGAATTCAAGACCATTCAAGACCAGCCTGGGCAACATGGCAAAACCCCGTCTCTACAAAAAATACAAAAACTAGCCAGGCGTGGTGGTGTGTACTTGTAGACTCAGCTATTAGGGAGGCTGAGGTGGGAGGATGGCTTGAGCCCAAGAGGCAGAGGTTGCAGTGAGCTGAGAATGCGCCACTGCACTCCAGTCTGGATGACAGACAGAGCCAGACTCTGTCTCAAGAAAAAAAAAAAAAATTGCTAAATGAATGAATGAATGAATGAATAAAAACAATCTACCAACTGTCATGTGCCATCATGGGATATTTAATTGTTATTTTCAGTTTAGCCTCAGAGAAACTCAAGACTCATTTTGGGACATTTGAAATCAATGTTATGTAGTTTAACGAGCCATCTGTATTAAACAAGTATAACACTTGACTGGCTTCCATTGTAAGGGGTTCAATCCTGCAGTGTTGCCAGCTTTAGAATATCTTCAAAACATCTATAAAAATATGGGCCAACCACTGCAGCTTTGATTGAAATCAAACTCCCACTATACTTGAATTCGTGGAACCTTTAGGTAACTGCAGAAAAGGAGACCATGATAAGAGTCTGCAGAGGAACCCACCTCGATGAGGTTTCCCTAAGGAGCCCCAAACACTCTGCCAGGCTTGATTAGGCAGCTGATGAGGTTTTTGAATCACTCGTGTTTATTGTGGAAGCCACCGCAAAGCAGGCAGACTCTACCTCTACCCTCAACAACTGAAATTGCTTTATTAGAGACTGAAGTTTCTCTATTCCTTTTCCCTCCTGTTAGTGAAAATCTCCTTTTGGCTGGGATTGCTAAACCTGGATCATGTAGGCTGCTTGTAGCTAGCTATCTTTCCTGGCTGGCTGGAGAAGACCCATCTGTATGTAGTGGGAGAGGGTGAGGGCAAGACAGCAAAGGAGAATCAAGACACAGAGAGAGAGAGAAAGCTGAGGATGTCACTTGAACCTCTTCATCCAGACATATTGAAAACTAGTTTCACCTCTGGTCTTGCCACTTACATGGAGTAATATATTTCATTTTTTGCTTAAGGTAGTTAAACTGGGTTTCTGTCTCTGACAATCAAAAACACCCTAATACAAATTGTTATTTTAGCCTTCTTCAGAATCCTAATCATCAATGGACTATTAAGATTAAATAAATTTGGAAACATTCAGAGAATAAAATATTATTCAATTATTGAAAGTAATAAATGCAAGTTCATGTAGGTCCAGTATAAGATTCACCAAATATAAAAAGTGGTTAATTATTGGTGGTAAGATTACAAATGATTTAATTTAATGTGCCTGTTTACTTGTCTGTTTTAAAAATTTCTTGCAAAAATTTATATTAGTATGGTATTTTTAAAAATATGGGCATTTTACCCTTAGTTTCAATGTGTATTTTCCTTTTTCTCCCTCTCAGTTCTGTTTTGGTACAGTAAATTGATAAAGATATACAATAAAGAAGAGGAAGGTTGGGTGTAGTGGCTCACACTTGCAGTCCCAGCTACTCAGGAGGCTGAGATGGGAGGATCACTTGAGCCTGGGAGGTGGAGGCTGCAGTGAGCTGTGATCTTGCATTCCAGCCTGGGCAACAGAATGAGACCCTGTCTCAAAAAAAAAAAAAAAAAAAAAAAAAAAAAAAAGAAGAAAAAAAGAAATATAGAGTAAGCCATGTTCTAATTACCATATTTTGACAAAGTTGATGGGAGACAATATAAAAGAGGTACACACGTCTGTTCTCGGGAAAATGAGAGTTTCCTGTTCTCAAGGAAATTAAGTGTTAGTAAACCATCAG
The DNA here is from genome assembly GCF_000001405.40 of Homo sapiens. Taxonomy (NCBI): domain Eukaryota; kingdom Metazoa; phylum Chordata; class Mammalia; order Primates; family Hominidae; genus Homo; species Homo sapiens. The sequence continues at coordinate 21,314 of NW_012132916.1, read as the reverse complement.
GTATAGTTTCAGTGGAATTATGGAGGATGATAGGATAATTTGAGATACTTAGTGTTTTATATAGCTGAACCATTTGGGAAATTTTAGGAGAGATACTCGTGATACATTTTTTGATTTCCCTTGGTTCCTCAGACCAAAAGTCTAACCAAATATTCCAGTTCCCAAGATTTATTTTTTTTTTGCACTTAAGTGAAACAGAACATTAACCAGGATTTAAACCCTTCCTGGAGTTACTTCCAGGGCTATTAAAATAATAGTTCATATATGATGTCTTGAAAAGTCACACAATTGTCACACAATTTAATATTTTATTTATTTATTTATTGAAATGGAGTCTTGCTGTGTCACCTAGGCTGGAGGGCAGTGGCATGATCTTCGCTCACTGCAACCTCCACCTCCTGGGTTCAAGCAATTCTCTTGCCTCAGCCTCCCTAGTAGCTGGGATTACAGGTGTGTGCCACCACGCCTGGCTAATTTTTGTATTTTTAGTAGAGATGGGGTTTCACCATGTTGGCCAGGCTGGTCTTGAACTGCTGATTTCAAGTGATCTGCCTGTCTTGGCCTCCTGAAGTGCTGGGATTACAGGTGTGAGCCACTGTGCCCAGACTTATTTTGTTTTTTATTTTTATTTTTTGAGACAGGGTCCTGCTCTGTTGCCTAGGCTGGAGTACAATGGTGCAATGATAGCTCACAGCAGCCTCGACCTTCTGGGCTCAAGCAATCCTCCTTCCTCAGCCTCCTGAGTAGCTGAGACTACAGGTGGATGTCACCACACTTGGCAAATTTTTTGTATGTGTTATAGAGATGGGGTTTCACCATGTTGCCTAGGCTGGTTTCGAACTCCTGGGCTCAAGTGATCATCCACCTTGGTTTGCCAAAGTACAACATTTTATTTTTTCTTGCTTAGCTGAAAGTACTAAAGGGAGGAATACTATGGTCAGAGGAAGCTACCCTGGCTTCAATCTCCCCTACTGGTCTTCTGCCCTGAGTTACCTGTTTGGAGTCGGTTACCCTACCGTATATAACCTATTTATACTAAAACCTCTAATGTATGCCTCCTGATAGCTTTCTTCAGAAATTAAAAAAATAACCAATTTATATGTCCTCCTTTGCCCCTGCAACTGACCAACTTATTTCCCATCCTCATATTTTCAGAAAAAGGAGGAAAATTACCACTTTAAACTGCAATGACACATTTCTTTAATCACAACTGGAAAACTTTGGAAAGAAATATATTTCGGAGAAGGGAAAGAAATGCACATTTCATATTCGTTTTTTTTTCTTCCCCCTAGTAGAACTAGCTATATACAAATAAGATCTTAATTTGTCTAGTGTTTATTCTGTTATAGTTTATTTCTCAGCTGAATCTACCCTCTGTATTAGGAGTTCATTGTTGAAATGCTTATGCAATAATATAAGACTGTTTGGCATGTCACCTGTACTGCAGCCTAAACACTGTAGAAATGTTTGCAAATTAATTCTCTTTGCATTCCTGAATTATTTGAATCTTCAAAGCCCATAGATGGAGAACAGGAGATTGAGTTCTGGAGTGAAACACTGTATCCTTTAGCTTAAAGTGAAGAGACAGAAAGGAGGGGGACTTAATTACTGTGTATACACTATGTAGCAGATTCAAGAGTCCAGAGCATGCTGTTACCCAAATATGCTAAATGGCCACATCCTATCCTCTCAGACTACAGTGTTCTGAGCATGGGTTTTGGGTCATGCCTCCGGGTTCACTTCCTGGTTTTGTTACTTGTAAGCTCTGGGGCAAGTTTCTTCACTTTCTTAGCTTCATTTTCCTCAGTTATAAAATCAAGGTCATTCCTGATAGTTCCTACCTTACACAACTGTGGTGATTGCATAAAATAACTCACATCAGCTGGGCGCGATGGCTCACGCCTGTAATCCCAACACTTTGGGAGGCCGAGGTAGGTGGATCACCTGAGGTCAGGAGTTTGAGACCAGCCTGGCCAACATGGCAAAACCCTGTCTCTACTAAAAAAGCAAAAATTAGCTGGGCATGGTGGTGTACTCCTGCAATCCCAGCTACTTGGGAGGTTGAGGCGTGAGAATCACTTAAACCCAGGAGGCTGAGGTTGCAGTGTGCCGAGACGGCACCACTGCACTCCAGCCTGGATGACAGAGTGAGAGTTTGTCTCAAAACAAACAAACAAACAAACAAACAAAAACCAAACAAAAAAACCCCCAACTCACATCACTACGCTGACATATACAGTAAGCTTGAAAGTTAGGTATTTTATAGCATTATTTCTCCCAACAGAATGTATTGCCAAATTCATAGCTAAAGTGAGACAAGTCAGAATACTAGGATCTTAGATCTATTCAGGAAAAATCTACTTCACAATGACATAACTATAAGCTCTTTTCATTGAAAGTAATGGCAAAACCTGCAATTACTCTTGCACCAACCTAATATAAATACCCCTGTTTTGGCAACCAAATCTAAACTGGCTTTGGATCAAAGGTCACATATTACACAATTTCATGTCATACTTCATCCATTTATTCAACAATTTCATGTCACACTTCATCAATTCACTCAACAACTGTGTATGGTGCACACTCCACACAAGGCATGGTTCATGGTTTTTGGTATTGAGGTTTCAAAGGTTGGATAGGAGAGAGATGATCTCTGCCTTGAACTTCTCCAGTCTGGGACACAGGAACTAGACCAGGTGAAACACCAGCCGGGAAGATGCAGAGGGAGCATCCTGGAAACTGGCAGCCTTGGCTACTTTGAAGGTTCAAATTATTTTTCCTTTTCCTGAATTAGAATAATGTCTATTCTCTCCATATTGCCCTCTGTGCCCACAGGTACTACTCCTTCTTTTGGGGCTTTTCCACATCTAAAACCTGACGTATGCTAAATTCCAAGTTCTTTCCTTTCTCAGCTGCTGTGGTGACACCTGGAATCCTGGCAAGAGGGGGATGTTGTTGCATTGGGAGGAATCACAAAACGCCTGGTCTTGTCCAGCCCTTGGACTCCCCCAGGCAGAGGTGAGAGTTGAGTGGAGAGGTAGGGGACTCCTAATTCAAGGTTGGTTGTGGGTATTCTTAGCAAACAATTACACTTTACTAGAATATGAAGTGGCAAAGTGGGGAAACACACAAGGCTAAGCTTACTAAGCTTACTAATGATTTGCAGGGGAATCTGTGACTCCCCACTAACATGGAAAGTAAAAATGTACATTTTTGTGGAAAGAGTCATTTGACAAATATTTTAGCATTTGCTAGTACGAGGCACCATTCTAGGAACTGGGAATAATACATCAGTAAACCAAACTGTCAAAGTGTCCTGACCTCCTTGAGTTTTTATTTTACACAGAGATGTGGATCACAGGTTTATTTGACAAAAAGGTCTGGGACCCAAACAATGCTTTGGAATCAAGATACTAAACCTATGGTGCTCAGCGTTGTGTACCAACAACACATAAGGGGAACCTTAAAAGTTCAAATGACTTAGCCCTTCCTTGACATTCTGATTGGCTGGATCTGTGCTCGGGTTTGATAATTTATGTTTTGAAGTGCTGTTCATATTGACCTAGATTGCTTCTGAAAAAAAGCTGGAGACAAAGTTCCTCTCACCAAGCAAAGCCATGGAAAATTGGTCACCTCCTTTTTTCAGAAACACAACAATGCAATGGGATTTTCAGTTCTGGATATCCCAAGAGAGAAGCATCAACATCCCTCCTTACTTTTATTAGCTTAGAATAGCACCCTACAATGCTTTAAAAGGATGTTTAAACGTATGCCTAAACCAGGTATGGTGGCTCACATCTATAACCCCAGCACTTTGGGAAGCTGAGTCAGGAGGTTGGCTTGAGCCCAGGAGTTTGAGACCAGCCTGGGCAATCAACATAGGGAGACCCCCCCATGTCTACAAAAAATCAAAAAAATAAAACTAGCTGGGCATGGTGGCATGTGCCTATAATTCCAGATACTCAGGAGGCTGAGGTGGTAGGATTGCTTGAGTCCAGAAGTTCGAGGTTACAATCAGCTAGTCGAGCTACTGCACTCCAGCTTGGGGACAAAGCAAGACCACGTTTCTAAAAACACCACCACCACCATCAAAAAACAAACACACAAAGTATGCCCATATTTTCTAAGTTCTAGAAAGGAGAGGATAAATTATCATACTTACTAACTTGAATCCCCAAATGATTTCCCAATTTTCTTCCCAAATAGTAATACTACTATTAAGAATATAATGAGTTTTTATTATTTGCCACTTTATAAGTGTTTTCCCACGTAATACTTCCAAGAACCCTGTGAGGTCTTGTTCTACTTATTTGATCAGCGAGAAACGGAGGCGCGGAGGTCACCAAGCTTGCTCAAGGTCACACAAGGGTGGACCCCTGAGCCTACCTCTCAACCTCGACTGCTGTGTCCATCCTTTCTTCATCGTTTCAACGTACCCCCCTCATTTCTTGGAATCTCTCCTGTGACCAAAGATGAACAAAATTATACATCACTAAAGAGGAAAACAAACTGCTGGGGAGACTACTCAGCAGCCTGATTTGAGGAGTATTTGGGAAGGGCAGCCTTCCTGTGGTATGGGAGTCTTTCTGTCCGCCACCTCGCCGGGACAGAAGTCACTCCATCCGCACCCCCGGGCGACCTCCGGAGGCCGCAGCTACCCCCGGGCTGCGAATTCCGAGTTCTCTCACGCCCCCGCGGGCGCCAGGACGCAGGGCATGTCCGCGCCCGGCGGGGATCCTTATCTCCTGGCCCCGGAGTAGGTCCGCAGGCTTCTCGGCCCTGCCAGGAACTTGAGGCCGGGGCAGATGATTGACTGGGTCCAGCAGTCTCTGCTGGCAGGGCAGTTGAAAAGCTAGAGGGATCTCTTTTTTGGTTGAATACCTGAACCCACACTAGCACCATGGCTTCTCTCTCTTGCCTGTAGTTTCCCGTGTCCTAAAAAGTTGGTCCCAAAGTTTAAGGATGCGGGTGTGTGTAAGAGCGCGTGTGACCCGCACAGGGATCCCAGTTGGGGAACCGGAGGATCCCACCGTCCCCCTCCCCCGGGTCGCAGAGACCCTGGCAGACCCCGCGCCAGGACCCGAACCCGCAAGCGCAGGGCAGGCAGGGAGGCGGCGAGCGCCCCGGGGCGGGTCTCGGGGGTTTCAGTGGGACCTGCGGCAAGGGGGGCGGCGAACCAGCCGGGCTGGGTGACCGACAGCCTGGCCAGCCACTGGCCGAGGGCGGTTAGGAGGCTTAGGGCCGGCGCGAGTGCGTGCGCGTGTGCGTGAGTGTGAGCGCCAGGGTGAGTGTGGCAGCCTCCCCAACCCCCACCTGTTTGAAATGGTTTTCAAATGCCAAAGCCAGATTGCCCGGGTTTCAAAAGTTGCAAACAGTTGGAGTAAAACACGTGTGCGGCCCTCCAGCCCCAAAGGAATCCGCGGAGTCCAGGGCACTGAAAGAAAAGGAGAGAGGATAGGGGTTCAGGAAGGGTTGGGGGGGAGTTGCCTTCTCCCGGCAGGTCGGTTTTAGGACCCATCGGGAAGCACGTTGGAATCTCTCCCTTCGGGGAGGAGGGGAGGGGTGGGCCGGCCGGCTGGCGGCCGCGGGGCGCATGCGCGCGCGTCTCCTGTCGCCGGCCGCTGCGCTCCGCGGCGCGGAATAGAATGAACTGTAACAAAACAAGCCGAGCCTTTGTATCTGCTTAAAGGGGCCGCGAGCACTTACCTCCCGCCCTGCTCCCCGCCGCCCCGCCACCGCGTCTTCAGGGCTCCCGGCAACTGGCTGGAAGGGCTTCCCTCACCCTCAGTAACAGCCTGCCAGCGAGGAGAGGCGAGCCGGGCGGGAGGCAAAGAGGAGGCACCGCATTTGTAAAAGGCAAGAGAGAAAGGAAGGAAGGAAAAAAAAATAACCCGAGCGGCGCAGAGTGGACTCTGGTCCGGGAGAGCACGGGCGGGCGCCGGAACGTGGACCCAGAGGCACCGGAATGCAAACAAAGCTCGCGGGCGCCTGTGCGGGGCTCGCGGGGAAGCCCAGAAAGTTTGTTTTATGATGGCTTGAGTGCGCGAGCGTGTGCAGGGGAGCGAGGCTGCCAAGTTTCTCTCTCCTGTTTTGTGATTTGGGGAGAGATGTTTCTCCCATGAACAAGCGGAGGCTTGGGGGCTCGTGCTGTGGGGGGCACCTGTCTCTCGTTTTATTTTTTTGGAGGAGGGGTGTAACTCATCATGTCCAAAGTGATCCAGAAGAAGAACCACTGGACTAGCAGGGTTCACGAATGCACCGTGAAGCGGGGACCCCAGGGCGAGCTGGGGGTGACGGTGCTGGGAGGCGCGGAGCACGGGGAGTTTCCGTACGTCGGAGCGGTGGCGGCGGTCGAGGCAGCGGGGCTTCCCGGCGGCGGCGAGGGCCCGAGGCTGGGCGAAGGGGAGCTGCTTCTGGAGGTGCAGGGGGTCCGGGTGTCCGGCTTGCCCCGCTATGACGTGCTGGGGGTCATCGACAGCTGCAAGGAGGCCGTCACCTTCAAGGCCGTCAGACAAGGTAAGGCAGGGCGCGCCTTTGGGGGGCGCCCCGAGAAAAGGAGGGTGGTCTGTGGGCTGCCCCTTATTCTCGATTTCCTGCTTCCCTCCTCGGAGCGCAGTGAAGAGAAGTTGAGGCCGTGCGCCCTGTGGTGGCGGTGAAATACACAAAGTTGTTGCGAGGTTGAGGGTTGTTTGCCCACCTGCGTTTCGAAGAGGGGGCTGGGTTTGCGCAAGGTAGCGGGGGGACGTTTCTCAGGCCTGGCTGGCCAACCTGTTATCTCCGCCACTAAGTGCAGCGCAGTCTCGCCTGCACCCGAGAGAGAGTTGGGGAACTGAGTCAGGGGCATGGTGGACGCTGTCCTGGCTCCTTGGGGGAGGGATGCAGCTGGCGTTCTTTGGCCACGAGTCAGTTTCCATACCTGCTGAGTGGGTATACAGAAAGAGAGGGTCTGTAGTTTATTGGACCTCCCCCATCAGAAAATCTGCTTCACCCCGCGACCCCTCCAGGTGAGCTAGGACACCACTGCCTGGCGGTTCCTGAGCCCGCCGCCAGAAGAGCCTGCATTCACCCCTCAGCCGGATGACGCATGTGTCTCCACCGTGTGGCTCAGCCATACACTTGGGAGGGGGAGAGGGGGAAGGGGTGCTTGCTTTTAGCTCGAATCGGGTCCAAGTTTACCCTCCCACCACCACCATCATCGTCATTATTGATGATGAAAATGAAGCTACTATTCATTGTTGGTTTACTACATGCCCGGCTCTGTGTAAAATACTTTACTTGCACTATCTCACTCCGATTCACAACAGTTCTAAGAACGAGTTGTTCTTATTTATATACCCCAAATTAGAGATAAGGAAACTGGGATTGATACTGGTTAAGTGACTTGCTCAAGGTCACACAGTTGCCAAAAGCGAGGGTTTGAGCCCTTGCTGCAGAGCCTTAAGTATGGAGGAGGAAGGAGTGGGGGGATGACCCTACCGCACTGAAGGGGCTGATTCCTGAGGAGGGAGTGGAAGCAAATTCCTCTCTCAGAAATCTGTAGAGGCCTTTTAAAAGATGCATTTGCTGGCTGCTGGTGATGTAGGTCCCTTACATCTCACTTTGGTACAGACAAGGGGCTGTCCTCATGTCAACCCAATGGAGACCAGCTGAGGCCCTTAAAGGGCTCCCTTGTGCAAGCAAGTGCCATGACGCAGGTTCTCCCCAGTGAAAGCACCGAAGGAAGTCGTGAAGTTGAACATGGTGAAAAGTTCCCATGTGTTTCCATAAGGACAGGCAGCAGCTGGAGGAATGTGTCAAAGGAAGGGCTGGGCCTAGCTGGTCCTCTCTTGGAAACAGGCGTGCTCCAGATGAAATGGAGGAGGGGGCGGCCGACTCGCCTGGCCTTTTAGCAGCTTTGGGAGCTGAGGAGCTGACACTTAGCTATGGAAAGCTCCTTGTATTTATGACTTCATTCTCCACTGGGATACCTCCTCCAAGAAGCCCTCCAGAATCCTGCTAGGATGCACAAATTCTTCCTCCTTTGGGCTCCTTTAATGTCTACTTTGTGGCTTTTTTACTTACTCTGAACTCTGAGTTAGGTCCTCATTTCCATACAAGGTAGTGAGCTCATTAAAGGGAGAGATTGTGCCTCATTCCTGGCATACCTCTCCAGGTTTTGCTTGAGGTTCAAAACCTTTCCTGGCCTGACAATGCGTCTTCCTCACACTGGCTTTCCTGTGGGTATTACATAAGCTAACACGTGGAAAGTGCACCCAACAGTGCCTGTACATAGTAAGTGCTCCATAAAGATTAGCTATTTATGTTTGAATTGATTTTAGCAGCTATTTATTTCTGAAACTAGTTTTTAGTGTCAGGAACCTGGATAATTATGACTTGATAGGGCTGTAGAGAAAATACTGTGTGAAGGCATAGGATGGGAGCAGCTGCAGGTCTCAGTTCAGGACCATTTTGGAGAAAGGGTGGAGGAAGGACAGGCAAGGGTACCTGCCCAACTAGGGGGATGCCTCGCAGTGTCTAACGGGTCCTGAATAGGGGCTGGCTTGCAGTGTTTGCAGTGTGCAAGATGCTGCATGGGCTTGTGTCTCTTCCTTCCACTAGTTGCCAAATTTCTGGGAGGCGATGTCCCAGGGCTCTCTCATCATGGAGTTTAGGAAGGCTTGGTGAGATAATCAAGTGGGTTTGGAAACAGACACCTCTGAGTTGAAAGGAAACTGTAGTGTCTCCAGGTGTTAGCTCTCTTCACCCCTTGTGCACAGATTGTTCACAGCAGGGGCGAGTGTGTGGGTATGTTTCTGTGTGTGTGTGTATATGTATGTATGGATGGATGTACGTGAATCTACTTGTAATGGGATAGAAATATGATACTGATTGGGAAACCTGAATGGCCTGGAATTCATTGCAGTCTGAAAGTGACTATTTCATGTAATAATTACACAGGCACAGTTGGATCTTCTGACGTCTTCATTACCAGTAATGATGGCCCTAGAAACCATTTCACCAGTTTTCTGCTCCCTCTTCCATGTTGAGAATATGATTTAGATTGTATGACAGAATTGCTCTTAATGTGTCTTCATTACTGTGCCTTTTAAAGTCATATCAAGCAGGCTCATACTTGGTATATGGTAAAGAAAAATACTACTTTTGTGTTGTTTGCATCCCAAGTTAGCCACTTCCAGGGACACAGATCACTCTGGATACTGTCTACATGGTGGGAGAAAATTCTGTTTTTCTACTTCATGGCAGTTCTCTGGAAAGATACATGGACCAAAACTGTCTGTGACAGGACTGGATTGTGCAGGAATCAAACTCAATGGATCTGCCAGGTTGGACTTGGTTCATTTTAAATGGAGAAGACAGTCCTTTGTCAGGTTGGAGTTGGTTCATTTTAAGTGGGGAAGACAGTACTTTGTCATAAAATGCCTTTACAAAGTTATATATAATTATGTGTATTCAGGTATCATTTACCTATAGTAAAATGCATATCTTAGATATATAATTTGATGAGTTTTAAGCGATGTATGCACTCATGTTAATCACTCAAATGAAGATAGAGAACATTTTCATCACCCCAGAAATTTTTCTCATGTTCCTGTCCAGTTAATTCCCCCCTCCCCCTGCACCATAGATCTACCATAGAATAATTTTGTCTTCAACTTCATAAAAATGAACTAATGCAGTATGTACTCTTTTGTGTTTGGCTTTTGTTACTCAACAAAATATTTTGGAGATTTCGTTTTGTTGCATGTGTACTTCATTTGGTTCTTTTTTTATTGCTAAGTAATATTCCATTGTATACACATACCAGTTTGTCCTTTTGCTTGTTTATGGACATTTGGAGTATTTACCATTTTTTACTATTACGAATAAAGCTGTTATTAATGTTTCAGTTGCTCTACATCTTTGGCCATCTTTGATTTTGTTTGTCTTTTGAATTTTAGCCGTCCTAGTATATGCTTCGGAAAAATGTAATTAAGGAAACTTTGATACAGGATATAAGATGTCGCTAGTATGTATTAAGATCTTGCCTTAGAATATAATAGGTGCTTGGCTAAGCTGATGCTTCGTGGGCATTCTCTTTTTCAGTCCTTACAATTGGACTCAGATGTTAGAAGCTGAGGTTCAGAGAATTTGGGTAACTTTTCCAAGGGTCATACCACAGTGGCAGTAGAGCTGCAACCCAGCTCTGTCTGATTCCAAAGCCTGTGCTCCCAATTCCTGGGACAGTAGGTCTCCAAGTGAGGTCCTCAGACCAGTGGCATTAGTATAGTAACCTGGGAACTGGTTAGAAATCCAGATTCCTGGGCCCCACCTTAGTTCTACCAATTCAGAAGCTTTGCGGGGGATGGGGTTGGGGTTGGGGGGTGGGGTAACAACCATGGGGTGTTTTAATAAACCCTCAAGGGATTCTGATGGGCTTATTAAGGGATTCAAGGGTTCAGTTTTAAGAACTACTGTACTAGGGTATAGACCAAAATTGAGAAGATGACATCAGATGAGACAGGTGACCTGGGTTCTAGAATAAGCTCTGCCAGTCACATTCTTGGAGCCTACATTTCTCTATGCCAAAAATAAGTGGGTGAGCCTCTTCAGGTTATTTGTGCTCGTGAAATCCTTTGTTTCCATGAATCACCCAGACTCCAAAGGTTTAAAATGGTATGATTGTAGTTTCCCAAAGTGGTGTATTACAGGTCATGCTTACATATTTTTGCAGGTGAATTTTGTGGTTTTTCAAATTACCCAGGAACTGTAACTATCCCTCTACTTTTTGTGTATGTGTGGCAGTGTGGAGATAATAAAAGAGATACAATTTAAAAGCCAAACCAAACCACCACCAGACCCTTCCCCTCACTGTAATGAGGGAAATTGTGATCACATATGGTTGAATATAGTTCTTTGTGTGGTTTTTTGTTTTGGTATTGTTTTGATTCATTGGAATGTATGACAATAACTCTCATTTTAAAACACAGGGCCTTGTCTTTCAGAGTTGTTTGGTTTCTCATGAATCTCTGGTCTTGCTTCTTTCTCCTCAGTGACCTCCTTCTGGTGTGCTGTAAAATGCTTAACAACCAGTGCTAGTAGTGGGTAGACCCTGATTTATAGCATAGCTGGAGTTGGGAAGAGACGCGTATACTTGCTGTTCCCAAGCCAATGTGAGCTGGCCCCCACACACCACTGACTGCATATAAGATAGTGCCCTTGTGGTGGCTCACCTGTAATCCCAGCACCTTGGGAGGCCAAGGTGGGTGGATCACTTGAGCTCAGGAGTTTAAGACCAGCCTGGGCAACATGGTGAAGTCTCTACCAAAAAATACATAAACTAGCTGGGCGTGGTGGCGAACTTCTGTAGTCCCAGCTACTCGGGAGGCAGAGTGGGAGAATCGCTTGAGACCAGGAGGCAGAGGTTGCAGTGAGCCAAGATTGTACCACTGCACTCCAGCCTGGGTGACAGAGTGAGACCCCCATCTCACACACACACACAAAAGATAGCTCCCTGAGTAAAGTGCCATTCCCTCACCCTGTTTGTTCCTTCATAGCCTTGACACAATCTCGTATTATCTTCTGTTGTTGTTGTTGTTGTTTTTTTTTTTTTTTTTTTTGAGATGGAGTTTCGCTCTGTTGCCCAGGCTGGAGTGCAGTGGTGCGATCTCGGCTCACTGCAACCTTTGCCTCCCGGGTTCAAGCAATTCTGATGCTTAGCCTCCCGAGTAGCTGGCATTATAGGCATGTACCACCATGCCTGGCTAATTTTTTGTATTTTAGTACAGGTGGGGTTTCGCCATGTTGCCCAGGCTGGTCTCTTGAGCTCAGGCAATCTGCCTGCCGCCTTGGCCTCCCGAAGTGCTAGGATTGTAGGCGTGAGCCACCGCAACGGGCCCTGTTTCTTCTTTATTGTCTGTTTCCCCTCCCATGAGAATAGAAGTTCCATGAAAACAAGAAGCTTGTCTCTCTTGTTCACTGCTGTATTTCTCAGTGTCTAAAAAAGACCCAGCAGGGCCAGGCGTGGTGGCTCATGCCTGTAATCCCAGCACTTTGGGAGGCCGAGGTGGGTGGATCACAAGGTCAGGAGTTCAAGACCAGCCTGGCCAAGATGGTGAAACCCTGTCTCTACTAAAAAAAAAAAAAAAACAAAAAAATTAGCCGGGCGTGGTGGTGGGCGCCTGTAATCCCAGCCACTAGGGAGGCTGAGGCAGAGAATTGCTTGAACCCGGGAGGCTGAGGTTGCAGTGAGCTGAGATCGCGCCACTGCACTCCAGCCTGGGTGACAGAGTGAGACTCATCTCAAAAAAAAGACCCAGCAAATAATAGGTGCTCACTAAAATTGGTTGGATGCCTGAATGACTATTCCATTGTTTCGGAAGGTAAGTGCAACTAGGCCACTTGCAACATCTTTCCTCCCTTTCTCTCGATTTGTCTTTTACTTCTTGTTTAGGATCCAGAGGTCTTCACTTTCTCGTAATCAGATCTTCCAATTAGCAGGCTTTCTGTGTCTAATAATTTATACTGGGCTATAAATGACTGACAAGGATTAATGAATCCTATTCAAGTATTTCTGCCTGTTGACTCTAACTGAAGTTTAACAAGTGAGCCTCTAAACGTGAAATTTCAGATGTTCAGCAGGCAGGATGATGAGGATTTTTTTTGTTGATGTGGGACCTGTGTCCTCATGCCTAAAAATGATTCTTTCCCTCCGTTTTCTTGCAGCATTGTCCCTGTGTACTTTTTTTTTTGGCTAATAGCAAATCAGATCTTTGCTACAGAACACAATCCAATTTTAGCCCTCTCGCTCTTAAATTGTACTTTGTATTTATGTCTTTTTTTTTTTAACTTAAACTTTCAAAAATCAACCTGTTTTTGTTCTTGGTGCCAAAAGACCACTCTTGGAAGGATATTTTTAGGTTACACTGTGGAACACTGTACAGGTTTTACAAAAAATGAAGCAAGGACGTACAACGCACTTGTCCATCGTTTCCAGTGGCCACCCCTTGTCATTGGCTGTGTTATTTAAAAATAGATTAACTTGACCTTCTGTGGCAATGGCATACAGTTGGCTCACCGTGTTTCTTGGCATTCATTACCCAGCTGGTTTTAGATGGCAGAATTGATGATATCCACCAAGGGGAATTAAGTGGTTTATAAGAGAAAACATTCTGACATCTCCTTACCACAAGGGTTTACATGAAGGATGTTGCTTTGTAAACGAGGGTTATTTAATGCAAAGCACCACTCTCTGGTGTTAGTGGCCCTTTCCTTGAGTTTGTATATACAAGTAACAGGATATACTGATTTTGTATACACTGAGAATAAAGGCTGTCAAATTCGTTAAGGGCTGACATTCACATCCTAAAAAAGTAGGTTACTGCATGCCTGCCTGTCTTTTTGCAGCTCATATGTGAGATCTGTAACCTTGAAAAATCCCTAGTACACACTGGTGCATTGCTAGACTTCTCCCCTATGGAGGTCGGCATCGATGTAGTATTTCTTATGAATTCATTTTGTTGTTTCAACAGATGTCAAGGTTGGTCCTATCATATTGACTCTGCTTTCTAGTTAAGTGTCCTGTGGAGGGTCTAATGTGTTCTGGATGTCAACTTTTCCGAAGGCATGTAGCAAAATTAGAAAATGTAATTTGAGCAGTGTCTTTTATGATTAAATAGAAATCTTCTCTTTTTATGGCTCAGTAATTACATAATGGAATAATCCATTATTAATCATTTCTGTAGTCTCTGTATCTGAGTGAAAGCCGAAGTCCTTATAGTGACTTCCAAGGCTGCCCGTGACCTGTCCTAAGGATATTACTTCTCTTTCTCTGTCCTGCCTGCTAGTGCCCACCTGATCATCTTACAGGCTTGCTATCTCTTGAGCTTCAAGTCTTTCTGAAATGTCACCTGCCCAGTGAGGCCTCTTGTGAGCACATTATTGAAAACCATAACTCCACTGCCACGTGTCATTCCCTGTTCCCCCTCTCAGCTTTATTTTACTCCATAGTATGTAGATCGCTTCACCACAAGTAAATTTCTTATTTTACCTCTTTCTCTAGAATGTAAGCTCTGAGATGGCAGGAATGTTGTCTTGTTCTCCCACAGTATCCCCAGTAGCAAAAACAGTGCATGGTGCCTAGTACTTGCTTGGGTATTTGTTAAATGTTTACAGTCAAGTTTAGAACTAGAATAAATCTCTTCTGAGGTCAGTTACCTCTGAAAATGTAGATATATAGAAGTCCCTGAAAATTTAGGTGACTGATGATGGATCACATTAAAGTTGGTTAGAGTTTAACATTTACAGTCAATGGCTGGGGCTAAAATAGAGCTTAGCCGATTGATCCAGGAATATTCTTAAAGTCAGTGAACATTGCTGGCCTGCTTCAGTTGGTCTTAGTATTATGGGTTTACAAGTAAGAACATGTGGGTCCTTGGTTTCTTGTCAAGAAGGGGAGGGAAGAGTCCACTGGAGTCTCCTTGGAGTCAGAGATAAGGTCACATTTCCAATTTTAGGTTTCCCTGCATGGAAGAGGTCCTTGACTTTAAAATTAATTGAGTGTCCTGATTTTCAGAGGTTACTTTGATTTGGGAAATGACGGTAACAAGGGGTACCAGGTGGCTGATCCAAACAGGAGAGCTGAGGCTACTAGAGTCACCATGAAGATCTTGTCGAGTTAGGGATAGGTCTGTGCACAGCATCCCTTACTTAGCCAAGTCATTGGCCTCAGTCCACTTTCAGTCCTGTGTGCTCCCCACCAACATGAATCCCTAGAAGGCAACTCTAGGTCAGGATTTGAATGCACAGGGCTTATCTGGGAGGTGCTCCCAGGAAGTTCCAGTAGGGCAAGGAAGAGGTGAGACCAGTGAGTCAAGAAGGCCAATGGAGATGCTTTAAAGAGCAAGTCACCACTGTGTGTCTAAGGCAGCCCCATGCTGAGTGTGTCATGGAACTTTGCAGACTCTCTCACCCCTAAACAGACTGAGAGGTTCTTCTGGCTGTGTGTATAGACTTTTTCTGTTACCATCTCCAGTGTCATGAAGATGAGTTCCATAAGATAATTACATTCTCATGGCTAAGGTATCAACCCCACCATTACTGTGGATGGAGGCATTTGTGTGTCTGTTTAATGGGCCACAGTTATGCTTCTTACAATAAGGATAATCTTTACTCCTTTATGAGACAAGACTCGAGGCTCTCTTTATGGACAGGGGCATGATGGTGCAATTAAAAGGCGATCGTGCCCTGATTATAAGCCATGTTTCAAAATTACTGCTATATATAGTGTCATCAGGACCGTAGTACTGCTCATAAAATGATCCACAAATAGCAATTTACTGATGTGTCATAGAGTCAGATTTTGGACCCAAGGTTGGCTTGGGTGAAGAGGCAGGCTTTACACTTTATGAGCTGGGTGTTCTGGGGCAAGATGCTGAACCTCTTTGTGCCAGGTTTCCCCCTCGGAAAATGGGGATAATAATGATACCTACTCTCTAGGGTTGTTGGAAAAGTAGAAAGTAAACCACATGACACAGGGCTTGGCACATAGTGAGTGCTCAATAAATGTTGGCTTCTGTAATTGTTTGAATGCTCCCCATTTGAAAGCCCTTGGGAGAGAAGAAAGAATCTCTTGAGAGATGGAGATTGCAGTGTACAGTTCTCTGGAGAGCTTTTCAAGTCTAGAAAAAAAACACTCTTTTTTCTGCTTGATTCAGATGCTGCCTTTTTGAAAGGCTGAGACTGGATTAGTTCAGACAAGTAGGAAGGAAGCCTCCGGACCTCACGGAGGTTTGAGTTGCCCGAGTTTCTCCCACATTGTCCTCGGTGAGGAATTGCTTTTAATGATTGTTCGCAGGTCGCAGGTTGTGGTAGTGTGGAGGGAGGGCGAGTTCTTGCGTGTTCAGGCAGGCTTTTACCATCAACGATGATTCTTGAGAATGGGACTCTGTGGTCCTCTCATCTTCCTGGTACCACGTCTGGGCTCCTACATCAGGAATGGCTGGGGAAGCAGTGGGGCTTAGTGGTCATAAGGGTTTGGAGTCAGACCGCCTGGGTTCAAATCCAGGCTCTCGCACTTCCCAGCTGAGAGACCAGGGACAGGTTAGCCTCCCAGAACATCAGTTCTCCCAGTTGAAAATGAGAATGTTACCTGTGTCATAAAGTGGTTGTAAGGATTAAATGAGATAATGTATGTAAAACTTGTACTACCCTGCCTGGCTCTTAAGTGGTGCTCATTGAAGTACCTACCCTACAAGCAGCTGTGATCTTTTCTTTTCTTGATCTCAGCTCACTGCAACACCCACCTCCTGGGCTCAAGCGA
This sequence comes from Homo sapiens, assembly GCF_000001405.40. NCBI lineage: Eukaryota > Metazoa > Chordata > Mammalia > Primates > Hominidae > Homo > Homo sapiens. Next base: position 5,014 of record NW_012132916.1, on the reverse strand, counting down.
TCCTCCTACCTCAGCCTCCTGAGTGGCTGGGACTGCAGGCATGCACCCACCACACCTGGCTATTTGTTTGTTTGTAGAGATGGGGTTTCACTACATTGCTCAGGCTGGTCTCGAGCTCCTGGGCTCAAGCGATCTGCCTGCCTTGGCCTCCCAAAGTGCTGGGATTACAGGCATGAGCCTTCGTGCCTGGCCAGCTGTGATATTTTCAGCTGAGAAATGGAGGTACGTCAGTTAGTGCCTCTGAATCAGTGGTTCTCAGCTGGGGGCAAGTTTGTTCCCCAGGGGACATTTGGCAACGTCTGGAGCCATTTTTGGTTGTCACAATTAAGGAGAGGGTTGCTTCTGGCATCTAGAGAGTAGAGGCCCGGGACCCTGCTGAACACCCCACAATGTACACAACAGCCCCTCAAGGGAGAATTATCCAGCCCAAAATGTCAGTAAGGCTGAGGTTGAGAAAGCCCCTCTACAGGCATGACTCCATGCTTGATACTGGGAATCTGAGTTAGGAGGGATATGCTAGTAATTGTAACTATTATTTATTGTTCCTCTGATACATCACTTAAACCCAGGTTAAGGGTTTGTCTAGGTAGATGAGCTTATTCTCATTTCAGCTGTGAGAAAATTAGCTTGAGAAGTCAGGTTCTCCTGGTTCCCTGACTGCTGACCTAGGTGAGATTCAAACTCAGATCTATCTGATTCCAATAATCTTACTCTAGGTTTCCATGTTAGAAATGCCTTGACAGCAGGGGCATGGTGGTTCATGCTTGTAGTCCCAGCTACTAGGGAGGGAGGCTGTGGTGGGAGGATTGCTTGAGCCAAGGAGTCCGAGGCTGCAGTGAGCTATGATGGAACCACTGCACTCCACCCTGGGTGACAGAGAAAGACCCTCTCTTTTTTTATTATTTATTTATTTATTTATTTATTTATTTATTTATTTATTTATTTATTTGAGACGGAGTCTCATTGTCACCCAGCTTGGAGTGCAGTGGTGCGATCTTGGCTCGCTGCAAGCTCCACCTCTGGGGTTCACGCCATTCTCCTGCCTCAGCCTCTCGAGTAGCTGAGACTACAGGCACCCGCCACCACGCCTGGCTATTTTTTGTATTTTTAGTAGAGATGGGGTTTCACCGTGTTAGCCAGGATGATCTCGATCTCCTGACCTTGTGATCCGCCCGCCTCGGCCTCCCAAAGTGCTGGGATTACAAGTGTGAGCCACCGCGCCCAGCCGGTCCTCTCTTTTTTTAAGAAAAAGAAGAAAAAAAAAAGAAAAAAGAAAGAAATGTGTCTACCCCATAGCCTGGAGCCCTCATGTCAATGTAGAGACACCGGTCTTAGGCTGGCCCTTTTGCTGCCAGAGAGACATGCTTGGTGACCCCACGGAAGATAGTCCGATAAATAAAAAATGGTTTCCCAAAGTGTTTCCTGCCAAAAAACGGTGTGCTGCTATATATTTTCAAGCAATTCTGCTTAATTGCCGCCATCTCCTCTTCTCTCTGATCAGTCTCACCAACACTGTCCATTCTTTCCTCCCGTGTGCCCTCTCTCTATCCTCCATGCACTTCATTATTTCAAAGAGTCACAATGGTGCCTTGTAACTATAGTTTTGCCCAACTGTCTCCCATACTAGATTATGTGTTTCTTGAAGGCAACATCCTTATTTTATGGATCTTTGTAGTCTCTGCCCTCTGTAGGTACTCAGGAATATCTGTTGAATTGAATTCTTTTTGAGGGTAATGAGTAGGCAAAATTAAAAAAAAAATTGTCTGAGATCTTGTTGGCTAGAAAATCCATGTCTTATTTTTAAAGCATATTAAATATACTTAGCCATATGTCTGACTTTTCCGTGATGATTTAAGATGGTTGTCTGCCAGTTGTTGTAGCATTTTGAACTATAGAGAAAAATATTGAATTAATTATGTTGAAGGTCTTAGAGGGCCTTTATTCTGGCCAGATGTGTGCATCTGCTTGCGCCTGTTGCTTATGTAATGTGGCCGTGGAAGGTACCACCTTGGCCTGGTTTAAATAGTATTTTACCACCTGGATTCTTGGCCAAGCGTTAGAATTTACATCTGATAGGGAGAGCATGTTCATTTCCTCCTCCATCTATCAGCCTGTTTAAGTCTGTGTGAGTTAGTTAAGAATTCAGAACTCAAGATCAAGTTGTTAAAAAAAAAAAAGCTTTCTCCGGTGTTGCAGCATGTGTTTTTTTAACATTTTATTTTATAAAAAGCGTAGGCATCTAGATTTTGGTTTCTAATCTTTTAAAAACTTAAATAGTATCGTGACCTTATATGACTATCAATCACTATCTAAAATTGGTCTGTGATTCCACAGCTTATGTATTTTCCTGGTGAAATTTAAATTTTTTCTCATTTAAACAATGTATACAATACAGAAATATGTTAATATGGCAGAAAAATATGTCCGAATTGCCCGTAATCCCACCCCAGAGAAATACATGTGTTAACACTATTTTTATCCAGACGTACACATACACACACACAGACACACACACATACACAAACAGAAACACAAACATATACTTTTGAAGATGGGGGGGCTTTTTCTTATGAAAATAAGACTGTACAGTACATGCTGTTTGGGTGGGAGTTTTCTTCATGCCTAACAGCATATCATGGACTTTTTTTGTTTGTTTGTTTTTTTGTTTTTTTGTTTTTGAGACAGAGCCTTACTTCTCTGTCGCCTAGGCTGGAGTGTAGTGGCACGGTCTTGGCTCACCTGTATCTCCTGGGCTCAAGCGATCTTCCCATCCCAGCCTACTGACTAGCTGGGACCACAGGTGGGTGCCACCGTGCCCAAATAATTAATTTTTTTTTGGGTAGAGACAGGGTTTCACTGTCTTGCTCAGGCTGGTCTCAGAATCCTGGGCTCAAGCAATCCACCCACCTTGGCCTCCCAAAGTGCTGGGATTACAGGCGTGGGCCACTGTGCCTGGCCAATCATGGACTTTAAAAAAATACTATATGTAGATCAAGTTGACTATTTCAGTGACTGCAAAATTTATTTTTGGTTACTTTATAATATAATAAGCTCTACTTTAAGGTTGAACATTTAGAGTGTTTTCAGTTCTCTTTTATATAACATATTGATGACTACCCTCATACATACATTTTAGCGAACATCTTCAGATATTTTCTTTGGATAGCTATCTAGAAATAAAGCTGTTGGCTCACATGAATTATTTCTTTTTAAGGCTTTTGGTATCCATCATCATTTTACCCCCCCAGAGAATATATTAACTAATATCCCTTCTGGCTGTATATCGAGAGTCCTGTAATTTTTCACTTATCTCACTTGTAAAGATAATACCTTCTACTGGAATTGTTTATTTATGGTGGTCTTCACAAGTCAGAAACTGAGTAGTTTTTTGTTTGTTTGTTTGTTTTGGAAACGGAGTCTCACTCTTGTTGCCCAGGCTGGAGTGCAATGATGCGATCTTGGCTCACTGCAACCTCCGCCTCCTGGGTTCAGGCAATTCTCCTGCTTCAGCCTCCCGAGTAGCTGGGATTACAGGCATGCACCACCACACCCAGCTAATTTTGTATTTTTATTAGAGACAGGGTTTCACCATGTTGGCCAGGCTGGTCTTGAACTCCCGACCTCAGGTGATCCGCCCACCTTGGCCTCCCAAAGTGCTGGGATTACAGGCGTGAGCCACCGCGCCCGGCTGGATACTGAGTAGTATTTTAAAGGACAATTAGGGAGTGGTGGGGACTAGGATTACCTGGAAGGGCTTATTCTGTTCAATGGGAAAAGCTGCCATTCTGCTTTGGCCTCTTGCTGCCATGTAGGAACATTGGCCCGGTGTTTCTAGTGTAGATTTTTCAGGTTTTCAAGAGAACCAGAAGCCTGTTCTTTTTTTTTTTTTTTTTTTTTTTAATGAACTTTGCCAGTTTTAAAGCACTGGTTCAAAGTTTTCTTTTTTTTAAAAAAAGGGTGAACCAAACAAAACACATCTGGGAGCCATATTTGGTCCTCAGATGACAAGCTTGCAATGCCTTGTTTATATATTTGTCTCTCACTTGGTTTCTCTCATACTTCATCTCTCCAAAAGCAGTAATTGCATTACTCTTTCTGTATTCTCAGGGCCCAGGATACTGACCAACTCACAAAAAGGGTCAGGAAATGTGTGTTGAAATGAATAGTACATTTTGGAAGTGGTCTACTTTGGCATTATAGTCCATGTAGGTTTATTTGAGGCCCAGCTGGTGACAGCTTTCCAATTCAAGTTATGAAGAGCTGGGGAGAGAGCATATTTTGACAGCTGATCATAATTCTTGGAATATTTTGTCCCAGGGCCCTGGTCTGCCGGGTCTTAGAACTGGGTGCAAAGTCACATCTTGAAATTGATGTTCACGTGAATTTGAGTTCTTAGTACAGGAATAGAATCTATTCTCTGCCCTGAAGTGATTTGATTGTGAAATGTGTAGCTTTACCAACAAGAACGAATGAAGTTTATGTATACCATTTAGGGAGGTTTTAAATTTGGCAGGAAAGTTCCTAATAATACAACTTGTTTGGACTTTTCTATAGATAAATTGGGACCCTAACCTTTACCCCAGGAGTGGACAGTGTCAGAACATGATTAACCTCTAAGACCGGTAGTCATCTGTTTTTCAGTGCCAGCATTACATGGTAGAATTTTGTTTTTTGTTTTTTGCAAACCAGTGTAGCCCTTCTTGCTTTCCTGCCTGCATAATGGATTGTTCTGCATTGCATAATTCATGTCGGGCACCAGGTTTGCTGCACTAGGATGAGGAAAGGGATTCAGGTAATTCAGATGAGAAATTTAGTCAGTGCAGTTTTTTTTCTATCAAGGAGCCAAGAAAGGTCCTCTATTAAATTAAAACTATAAAATTGTCAGCAAAAGTCCAATGCAGGGTTAAAATCTTACTTGGTTTGGACTTGTACTGTGTGTCTTTTCTCTCCTTCTCTAGTCCCCTTTCCCCCTCCATTTCCATATCAGAATGGAACATTCCAATAGACTGTCTAG